>NC_000014.9:33551106-33854137 GCF_000001405.40 Homo sapiens
TATCCCCAACCAGAATTTCTGAACTATATTTGTAACCATCAAGTTCCTTTGAGTACAAATGTTTTTTAATGCCTTTTCTCTGGAGATACAAATAAAATGTTCCTAGAAATAAAACACATGATTGCACCAGATTAGTGTCTGCGGTCTCTAAATGGTCTTTTAATATTCTAAATTCATTAAGGGATTCTTTAATCATCGTTACTACTCCCGACACAAACCTCCTTACCTAAAGAAATACCTGTACAAAGCATTTATTATTTTGTCTTAAGAGCCTGTTTTTAAAAGTCTCCCACTGCCCAGTAAACAGTCAGGTTCACATCATAATTAGCCATAACAGAAGCACTGTGGGTTTCCCTGCCAACATCAGGGGTGTGTTTTCAGGTAAGTGAGGCTGTACTTTCAGGTAAATATGACTATAAAATAAATTTCTGTAGACTATCTTATTTTCACATTGACTTCTATATAAAATGGTATGTATATACTACCAGAGAAGGGGGAAAAAGCTAACATGGAAGTCTGAATGAAAAACTCTGGGACAGGAAATGGGGTCAGTGTTCTGGCCAGCTTGTATGTGGTGTGGTCCAGTCTTACATACCAGCTGCCTATTTGGAGATGTGGTTCTACTAGGGATTATTTATTACCCGTGGGGTCCCCTGTCCACTTCTGGGCTCTAGGATCTTCTTCCAACTCATGGGAATTTCTTCAAAGTCTGGTGGTCTTTTGACTGCATGTTTTCCAAATCGAGCACTCCACGCGTTTCCCCAAAACAACACCAACCTGCAAGAGGTCTGGAGCTGGGTCATCCAGGGGTCCCCACTGTGTATTCAGGGTATCCTAAATTGGAAACTGCCTTTGCCTTGGGGCTTTCTGTTTTATAAAGTTAATTTTCAACTTTATTCATTTTCTTAGTCTTGGATCCCACAGATGAGTCGTCTTTAAGAAAGCAGCTTGTGACTGGGAACCTTGTCTCACTCCCCTTTGTGAACCTCAGGCTGTCCTGGGCTTGATGTATAATAAGAGCTCAACAGGTGCTTTCTGTTGCAGTCAACAGGTGCTTTCTAAACAGAAAGAGCATGAGACTCACTCGTGTGGAAAGAAATGCTGGAAGAGGCAAGGATTCCACACAGCTATATCGAGGTGTGAAACAACTAAAATACCCAGCAGGTGGTCTCAGCAGTGGGAGGAAAAGCAGTCAAAGGATCCTTTGTTCTCAGCTCTACCACATGTTAGTTAGGTGACACTGAGCAATGTACTTAAATGCTCTGAACCTCAGTTTCCTCATCTGCAAAGTAGGATTAAATAATACCTCTCTCACATGTGAGCTATGTAATGTGACTAACAAATGTTTGCTTCCTTTTCTTTTCCCTGGTGAATACTGAGTGAACTGAGCATTGTTTATGATGTCCGATAACAATAAATGCAATATATATTATATATAATACGTGTAACAGCATATTTGATTCATATATAACATACATATAATGAAGACCACTTCCTACTTTCCAGTAGTCTATATTCGACAGGATGTAAGGTAAACAGTTGTTATTTATTCTTTTCTTTCAGTTGTTTTTTTTAATGCCAACAACTTGAAAGACACCTGGTACCCGCGTGTGAGTGAACAGCATATATTTCTAGCCAAAGCAAAGCAGTGACATTTTTAGGCCATTCAGGACCAGTGCAATGTATTGTTTATATTACTTCTGCCAAGGTGGGAATTCCTCCTCTACCTTGAAAAAGAACTCTGAATTCAATGAGAGAGAAGCACAGTAAGGAATGAGCCCTTAGATTCGGAAGTCTACCGTTCAGTAATTTAACATACCACATGTGTGCACAGCAGATGTAGCATTGCAATGAATATTTGTGCTCTAGAATAACTATTGGAATCCTCTCCTTGAGGCAAAAGGAGCCTGTGCTCACCTGTGCTCCAAATGGAGCCCCGGTTCCTCTGGGACAAACCAGAGATAATATGGAGTTGCCCCTGTGGATCAGAAGCCAGTCACTGTCTTTTGACCAGAGCCTATTGTCCATTTGGCTGGATGTTCAAATCAATAAATCTGCATCCCTCAAGGCTGGAAGTAAAGCCTAAACTAGCATCCCAGAGGAAAAAGTCAGCACTTTGATACACAGCTCCCCCAAAATGGAATTTTAAGGAGCAGAAGTAAAACCTCATCTTGCTCAGAAAGTGGGTCTCTTTGTTCTTCTCATGTTTTAACACTTTGCTAGCTCAGTGTCTCTCCTTTAATTCTGCTGCCTCTTTATTCTGCTGCCTCTCTTTTAAGGACTGAAGAGAGGCCATCTATGGCTCTTAACTGTTTTCTCACCTAAGAGGTTTCAATTTACATGTTGTGGGAAACCCTTACGAAAGGTGTTTTGAGGCATCACAGTTTGCTGTTCTGGATTTATTTTTTAGCAGAAAAATAGTCAAATTTAACTAATCCAATTTGGTGTTGTGATTGGGAAACATGTGGCTTTTGGTACCTGACAGTATGAACCTATGCTATCCTTTGTGCAGTTGACTCATTGAAAGGCAAAGGAAGGAACAGAAAGCTCTTAGAGATTCTTAAGGGTTAAATAAAGCCTAAACCTTTGATGTGTGTGCTTTTATCCACTTTGAGAAAATATACTTGACTTAGATTCTTATTCCTGAAAATAAGGCTTTTGTTTCTGCACAGTGCTGGATTGTTAAAAGTCAGATTGCAAAGACACAATTTGTGAATCTTTTTCTTCCCCGTAAACAGACACATGTGGGCACTTTGGGCACCATCCAGGTTCTCCTTGAAGTCGCTTGGAGTCCACATGTGTGTGCCTGAGCAGTATAGCATCACTTCCTGAGTGCATTCGGAGGGCAATATGGCATTTTAATGAGCGCTATCACAGTGTGATTGTATCAAAAGGCCAAAAAATTTAAGAAATATTTGTTTCTTTCCAACTCTTTTAACTGCTGCCAAAACAGAGTGGAAAGATAGGCAATGGAGTCCTGTTCTCACTCTCCAGCCAGGCTTCTCATATGGCTCAAGGGCAGACCCACTTCTTCCCAAGGCTAACCCATTGCTTACGGAATGGAGGCAGTTTTCTCACAGAGCCTCTCCTTATTAACAGCAAAGCTGTCTTAGCAGCTATTAAATGCTCACTTCTAATGTCTGATATGCATAGTGCCCGAATTCAGGCTCTGCCGTTGTCCTAACGGAGTTATGTCACAACAGTGAAGAACTCTGGGTTTGAAGGGAAAGTTGAGTATGTCAGAGATTATACTCTATCACGTATGGGCATTTTCTCTGCAGTCTGAGCCTGAATTGGAAGAACATCACAGATGCATGGCACATTGGACAAGGAGCACATGCATGCATTTAAATCATGTATATCTTACTTTTTTACTGATGTAATTGTGAAATATGTTCTTTTTGCATTCATAATTAGGGGGTGGAACAGATGGTGAAGGCTTAGTTTAAAATAATCTGTCATTAAAATAACCTAGCCTACTGGTAATTCTTCTCTCTAACTGGAGTTAAGTCACAGGAAAAGAGTTTGGGGGTGATTTTTCCCCCTTCTGTACTGGAATGTCAAAGAAAGAACTACTAATTTCAGAGTGCTTACATACTCAAAACTTGTCCCTAAAGGAGCACCATGGTAAGATGTCACTCTGTGAAATTTGGCTGCAGAGGAATATGCACAAAAAGGAAAGCAGAGGCAAAACTCCTTTGACAAATATAAATCCATTTAGCACAATGCATTAAACATTAGTATACCTTCAGTCATGGACCTGTGGTTAGTTCCACACCCTGCAAGGAAGTAACCTCATCATTTGACAAGTACTGTTAGAAGCATTCAGCTTTTGGGGTTAAGAAACTATGCCTTACACTTTATATGTTACACTAATGTCAGGGGATATAAATTATAATTACAGGCTTTATTATTCAGAGATGCTGTAACTCCTGACTTCTGTATCCAAGCCTCACTTCTTGCATGTGTACCTCATAGACTTACTGGGATGTGACAAAGGAAATCTCCGATCAGCCCTGTCTGGATGGCTAAGAACTGTTTTCAGTAATAAGAAAACTGTCTTGATAAATCAGATACTTGCATGTCTTTAAAATGTCTGTTTTACTGTTTCTTCTAAGATTGCGTTTCCCATCTGCTTTGAGGAAAGCAGATAGATTTCAGCATGGCTTTATAATAAATCTTCTTGAGGAGGGACTAGCATTAACATTTGTGTAGGTTCTTTTTCATCTTAATCCAACCTTAGTTAATAATCAGAAAATTCTACATAGTGAGTAAGAAGATGTAATTAACCCTTTGACCCCAGAATCTTAATTGGCGCCTGTTGAAAACAGTGGGCAGTTGAAAAAAAATTAAAAAGTAGCCTGCAGTGATTGAACTGCATAGTATATAATAGCTTTCTTGATTCAAAATTTAAAAAAAATTCCACAGAACTTTGAGATTAATCACACTTGGTTTCCAAGACTAACTGACTGAATGTTTTCTTCCTCCTCCCACCTTTTTAAGTTGATAACACCCAAATTAAACCAACAATGATGCTACCCTTCAAACTTTTCTAAGTGGCAACATGCAGCTACCTTATAGCAGAGACAATCCTGAATCAGAAGGTAGTGGCTATGAGAAAAGTGACCTTGGCAATCCACTTTAGACCTGACTTCATATCCCATTTTTTATTTGAAAGGTAATCAAATCTGAGATACGGACATTGATCTGAGACTATAGGTATAATTGACTAAAATGATAAGCATAAAAGTGAAAAATATGGTAAATTAACCAATTGTTGTTGGTGTGTCTGTGTGTGTGTGTGTGTGTGTTTCACTTCTGTGATGACTAACAACTAATTTAACTAGTTGTTTTCCCCCCTACCAAATTGGCCGTTATTTTTCATTGAATTGACTGGATGTCTTTGTGTCATGTAGACGTAGACTCATTTTAATCTCACCAGGAAATTGGAACATGTGTTGAAGCCTCTGTTTTTGCCAAAAAAAACTGGCCAGTTCTTAGATCGCTACTGCTTAATAGCATCAGATGTTTAGCCTCCAGATATTCTTTTACCCTGCTATGGTGCCCAAACCTCCTCAAATATTTTAGTAAGTACATGAAATCTGAACCTCATGTTAAAAATCACAATCCCCTTTAGTGAGGAAGTAAAGGATATGCGTAGACAGCAAATGACACATCTATTCAGAAATAGCACTGGGTACTTTGAAGGACAGAAAAGAATCCATTCTATTCTGAATATCAGGAGGTATCCCAGACCATAGTGGAAATCTGTGGAATCTGAATCTGTAAATAATCTAAGTCCATAAGCTGGACTCCTCAAGAAAATAATTTCCATCCTTACTAGTCATTATGGTATTTGTGATATAAGGAAAAGGGAGCACTGAGCATGGAGGTAGAACTGGATTTCATAAATCTTGATTGAGTGGTTGTTAGATGCCAGCTAGAGAAAGATAAATAAGGCATTGCCTCACTGTTGAGAAATTCAGTGATTCAGAAATTCTCTAGTTGAGAGCTGAATAAGCCAACCAGAGGCATACAATGCCATAAATGCTTTAATAATTGTATGGGAGTGAAGAAGATTTAATCCTGGCTCTGCCACTGACTGGCCATCTGATCTTGTCTGGCCACTTAGCCTCTCTGTGCCTCAGTTTCCTCCTCTGTAAAATGAAGGTTTAGAACTATAGGAGATTATCCCCACACCAGCTTCATCAGTCCATCCTTCTGCACCCAACCAGGCTTCCAACTGTCCCTTGTGTCCTTGGAAGTTCTCCTGTGATCTTTCTTTGTGTTGTTGCTCTAATTGACAATGACATATTAAAATTTGAGAAGATGACTTACACAGTTCTCCGTGATTGTGTACCAAGCCATGGCTATCAGGTCGAATGGAAAATCTAATAAGCCCTTTTATAAGATTCAAGGGAATAGTCACAAAGGGGAGGGTCCTAATTTTCATGAGTCATCCTCAGGAGACATCTTGTTTGAGGTAAAGATATGTTGAAATTAGATCCTTCCCAAACTTGTAGGAAGGAAATATCTCTCCCCTTGCACTGCTTCAAAGTGAGGTTCCGCTATACTACATCCCTGCGCTTGAAAGGCTCTATCAGAAAAGACTGCAGAGGGTTTGGCAGTTTTGTCAAAGGTAAGGAGCCCAGTTCCCTTAGACAGTATTTTATTCCCAAAAGCTGGTTCCATGGGAAATATTTCGCAGCAAAGGTGGCCAGGTAACCTCCTGTGGAAGTAACTTAAGTAATCTCTTGCCATCCTACTTCCCCTCTGTCTTCTACCCACAATGAAAGGATTCTATTGTTTGAACACAAATTGTTCAAAAGCAAGGGGTGATGTTTAAGATGTACAGGCTGCCTCTTAGGGTAAATATTTTAATTTCAGAAATGCTGTGAATATTCGCCTTTTCATTAATTTACACATGTCAATTAGAGAATCTTTATTTTTATTGTAAGGCAGTATAGTTAGTTATTAAGTCCCACTGCCAAAGTTCAAATCTAAACTCCAAACTAGGAATAGGCTTGTTGCCTAACTTCACTAATCCTCAATTTCCTTGTATATAAAATGTAGATAATAACAGCTGGGCGCAGTGGCTCACGCCTGTAATCCCAGCACTTTGGGAGGCCGAGGCGGGCAGATCACGAGGTCAGGAGATCAAGGCCATCCTGGCTAACACGGTGAAACCCCGTCTCTACTAAAAATACAAAAAATTAGCCAGGCGTGGTGGCGGGTGCCCGTAGTCCCAGCTACTTGGGAGGCTGAGGCAGGAGAATGGTGTGAACCCGGGAGGCGGAGCTTGCAGTGAGCTGCGGTCTCGCTACCGCACTCCAGCCTGGGTGACAGAGCAAGACTCCGTCTCAAAAAAATAAAAAAAATGTAGATAATAATACTATAATTTCATATAGTACTTGTGAAAATTAAAAGAGACAATATGTGCAAACTGCTTAGCACAGAATGCTTAATAAATGTAAGTTGGCATTATTGTATTATTGTAGCTAAAAGCTCATCTATCATGTAATCTGCTCTTTAGTGGAACAATATAATGTGACTTTTGAATTGTTTTCAGAACCCAAGAAATCAGAGGAGGGGATTGGGTGTCATCCACAGTTTCTGACCAGTGGGGCAGTGAAAACAGGTCAGGAAACAGGAAAATTCACTTTTTTTTTTTTGAGACAGAGTCTTGCTCTGTTGTCCAGGCTGGAGTACAGTGGCGTGATCTTGGCTTACTGCAACCTCCTCCTCCCGGGCTCAAGTGATTCTTGTGCCTCATCCTCCCAAGTATCTGGGATTACAGGTGTGCCACCACACCCAGCTAATTTTTGTATTTTTAGTAGAGATGGGGTTTCCACCATGTTGGCCATGCTGGTCTTGAACTCCTGGTCTCAAGTGATCTGCCAACCTTGGCTTCCCAAAGTGCTAGGATTACAGGCATGAGCCACTGTATCTGGCAGAAAATCAAAATTTTATATATACGTACATACATATAATATATGTGTGTGCATCTGTATGCATACATATATATACACATATATATATAAGAATATATATAATATACATTCCCCCAAAATTCAGTATTTTAGGAGACTGAAATTATTGCTAGGATTTGAGAAGGCACATATTTCTAACTAAATTTACACGCTTCTTCCACCTTTCTATATTTTACAAATTTTGTCATTAATTTAGTGTTTTCATACACCTTGCTCCTAGCGCGGGTTTCCTGTATTTGCAAATTCACGGCCTTTTTTTTTTTTTTAACACCACTCACATTTAAAAACTTTTTTTCCTGTACAAGCAGCATTTGTGCAACTTACCTTGTTAAAAATAACTATAAAGCAAAACAAAAGACATGCGGATGACAGAGGGTGTAGGATGCACTGGATTGCAAGAATGTGAAACAAATTTATTCTCAGTTTGAATGCTGTATTGCAGTTGGAGTTCATGATGATTTACACCATTCATCAAACTGAAAATGCAACCCTCCATTTGGAAAGTGGACTGAGGTTTTAGGAGTTACAGATGATGTGTAGCATCCTTTTTCTTTCTTTATTCTTTCTTTCTTTCTTCTTTTGTTCCATTTCAGGAGTGGTGATAGAAACTAAAACTGTCACTATAAAACTTTAACAGAGAGTTTTGCAAAACAGGATTACAGTTTGTAAGATTGCAGCCCATAAACATTATCCCTTAATGTATTGACATTTCCTGTTGTTCTAACACAATGGGCACTGGGAGTAAAGAAGGCATAATTCCTTATTAATTAGCAAATTGTTGATGTTCATAGTAGTGCAAGTAGTGATTTTACTTGCTCTTGATATAGGAAGCCTTTTTTTCTTTCATTTCATTACGATCTTTATTCCTGTTCAACTATTTAATGGAGAATCTTGCTGATTTAATCTCAGTAACCACTGAATCCAAAAAAAATAAAGGCAACAGCTCATAAAATCAGCATGACCTTATTTTGTACATGAATGTAATGTATCTTGATCAAAATGACAGAGACATAAGTCCCTAAAGTAAAAGAAAGCTTTCAGTCTTAATTCAGACATTTAATTTGTTCATGTATAATGCAATATTAAAAGATCTTAGGACTTTCGTTAAACATGGAGAAAAGACGGTCTTAAATTCAGCGTGGCCGGGCGCGGTGGCTTACGCCTGTAATCCCAGCACTTTGGGAGGCTGAGGCAGGTGGATCACCTGAGGTCAGGAGTTCGAGACCAGCCTGGCCAACATGCTGAAACCCTGTCTCTACTAAAAATACAAAAATTAGCTGGGCATGGTGGCACATGCCTGTAGTCCCAGCTACTCGGGAGGCTAAGGCAGGAGAACCCAGGAGGTAGAGGTTGCAGTGAGCCGAGATTGTGCCACTGCACTCTAGCCTGGGAGACAGAGCAAGACTCTGTCTCAAAAAAAAAAAAAAAAATTCAATGTATTGCTTTTTCTCAGTTGCCTTACTAATTAAATCTGCATCCTTTGTATTTATTAATCTATTTATATATTTATTCTTTTTCCTGCAGTCCCTGGATGGCTTTGTATTTGCACTAAATCAGGAAGGAAAATTTTTGTACATTTCCGAAACAGTCTCCATCTACCTAGGCCTCTCACAAGTAAGTAAAACAATTTTAGATTCTTGGCAGCGATTATGAAGCCTTCTTCAGCCTCATGTTTTTCCTTCTTCAAGGAATATTCTGTTTAGCATGAATTATCAAATGTATTATTTAATGGCTTTACCTGACTGTTCTCTCAAAGTCAGTGAGAAACCTGTGTGTCAGTGTTGAACATTCAGAATAAACTTGTGCTCAAAAACTTTAGTTCCGCTCCCCACCCCCCAAGGATCATTATTAATTTATCGAGAACAAATGAAGTTTCTTCCCTTGGTTGTTTTGAACTTTGAAACCTCTGTGCCCAGTAGGAGAGGGACACACTAATAGTGCTTCCCTTGTGTCCTATTACTGGATGTTTATGGAGTACCCTGCATTATCCTGGGAGCTGACACAATGGCAGGAGTCATTTGGAGTCAAGAAATGCCGAAAGAGACCATTAAAATGCGTTGCAGGGAGGGTTCCAGCAAGGATATATTTTGCTGCCTTTGCAAATGCTTCCTAATGCTGAAAGATGATTTCATAAAATAAGACAGCTTTTCATTATTTGCCATTTAATTACTCACATGTGTTTTTCGGAGGGGAAAAGAAAAGAAAATGGAGGCTGATGGGCCAGGGACAAAAATCCTGGATGTTACTTCTCGATATTCCCCTGGAACACAAAAATTTAAGTTCCAGTGAATGCCAAGACACGGGCTGCATCTGGTGAATGCCAAAATATCCTGAAGCAAGGTTTGCACTTCAGCTAATTATCCAGATGTTTTCTCCATAAAAATGCTGAACATCTGGGTATTTGCGCCCATACAGGTGATTGGCTGAGTTTGACCCCTTTCATCTGGTAGTTTGGCATGAGGAAAACACTGCCTCAGTGGGAGGGATTTTGTGTGTGTGTGATAATCTGCCAAGTTGGATAATCTACCGCTCGTTCAGTTGCCCCTTGAAGCTAGAGATAGAGATAAGATTTGTCTCTCTCCTTTAAAGCAGGACCTACCCCAGACTCGTTGCTTCTGAAAGTTGGCACAGCTCTAAGGAGACATCCAGCAAGGCTGGACTCTTTTGGCTGTGAGTGAGTTTGCTGGGTAATAGCTAAATCAAGAAAGACATTGGAAAATAATAGAGAGAGAGATTTGGCATGTAAGGAGGCTTGGGGAAGGAGGAGAAACACTGCCAAATTTGATTATTTACTGTTGAGAATCCAAACAAGGGTCTGGTCTGTTAATGCCTTTTGAAGAACATGCAAGCTCTCAGCTATAGTGTGTGGAGTAATTCTATTTTATGTGGACTTTAGCAAACCAAATGATAGAAACCGAGCTTTTGTTAACTCGGTATTACTATTCTTGTATCTTATTGAAAGATCTGGTTTTGTAATAGCCTTTAACAGACTTTAAGCCTTGTCTTAATCTGTCTGGGACCTAGTATTGAGAATCTTCAATTTTGAAATCGGTGAGCCACCATGTCGCGATGTTGTTATTACCATACAGAACTGGAAACACCACTGTTTGTTGTTCTGCAATGCACATATTCATGTTTCATGCAGGGTATCCAGCAAAGTTTAATAAGCCAGTAAAGAAGAAGGGTGAATAATTAGTTTAAGCAGGTAAATGCTAATTAGGGAACTCCTGAAAAGCATCCATTATATACTAGCTCAAAACACATTTTACAGCCCTGCTTAGTGGTGTAATCCAAATTCTGTCAAGGCAACTGCATTTTCTGTAATTGAGATGTGTATGTTTGCTTTGCATAACAGATGGCTCTGTATGCTTAGACTGATAGCTAGGAAAATAATAATTGCATTATTCTGGCCAAAAGAATATTAGCTCTTGGGTTTTGGCCATTTCAGTCAGTCCTCCTGCCAGCACAGCATATGCACATATATGGATCGGATTTTCAAGGAAATTGATGCATCTGGAATAGTGCGGCCATCTGAAATATCATCTGTTCAAGAAAAATTTGGCTTTAACCCTATGCTGGTTTCTCCTTAAAAGTATTTTATTTAGCTGCTTTTCTACTGTATCATTAAGTAAAATCTGAGACAAATAATTGACGCTTCTGTGAAATAAAGCAACTGTGTAGACATGGTACAGTATCTGGCAATTTTTGTGCAGTCAGTCCTTGCTTTTATATATAATGGGTTTTAAAGCACGTACCAGTAGTCGGCATCTTGACTTATCCAGGGGCAGACCCTGGCCAAAATGTGCCATTGCCTTCTTCTCCTGTGGTGGATGTGTTCAGTGTTGGCAGAAACTGTCAAATATGCAGGTAGAGGCTATGAGATAGGAGACATGGGCCTTCATTTGGCAGCACTATACAACTGAATTGATGAGGGGTCAATCAGTAGAAAGTGATTTTTGCATATACCAATTTATGTATTTAAAAGTGATTTTTGCGTATACCAGTTTATGTATTTAGAGTTCAAAACTAAAGCTTAAGTATAGTTCTGCATTAATATGAAAAGAATCTGATAAGAACATGATATATTTTTAAAAGCCCAAAGCATGAGGGAAAAACAAAAAATCTATGCTAAAACTCTGGAAAAGAGTTTTCAACCCAGTTTGAGTCCTAATAGAGAAATAGAGGTCCCCAAGATACAACTCTTTCCAAGTTTCATCAATGCCCTTTTTCAGTTTTAGGGGTTGTGGGGTGATATACAAAGTAAATATACTCTAAGTAAATTAAGCATTTGTTCTTTTATGAGCACACACACACACACACACCCTTAATCAAATGCAAACCAAATGCTCTGCTTGTATGCTACAACTTTGGCTAAGTGGTTATTCTATCAAATTCTAGACAGTGATAAGGAATCTGTAAAGTTATGGACCCTCCTTTCCTTTCCAAATAGTTTTGTTAAATAAAGACAATGTGTAACTCTGTCATCAAAGACTTGTCCAGTGAAATTGTTCAGGAGGACTGTGAGCATGTCAGTTTGTTACAGAGCATAGCTATGTCTGTATTGCTAACTCTCAAGATATCCCTTCCTCAGTTTTATTTTCTTTCAATGTGTACATAAATGTGGTGGCTTTAAAACAGCTTATGCTCAGGATAGAATTAGGATTCTTTTTTGGCTCACAAGAAAACAAGATAGGGAAACTTCTACTGAGCTCTGTTGTGTAGCATGGGGATAGAGACAGCCAGAGCGGATTTTCTCTTTGACTCTCCCTTGGGTGGGACAGCTCCTGGTGTCCAGGGCATGTGCATGCCAGGTATTCTCTTTAAAGTATTCTCATCTTGTTGTAATTATGGGAATGAGTGAATGATGATGATTTCTGAAGCTCCTCAACAGTCCTCTTGACTTTGCCAGATACACATACATACACACACACACACACACACAGAGAGAGAGAGAGAGAGAGAGAGAGAGGAGAGATGTATATATTTAACCTAACAACATCCAAGAACTGGTTTCAGGTTATAGAAGTATGCACTGTTGACTTGCTTTCCTGTGTAAAAATGATGCCCAGTTACTCACCAAGAGGCCTTATCTTAAAGGAAGATTCCCACATACTGATGCTGAGTTTGGCTTGCATAGAGACTGAATAACTTGTTATACCTGATGATGGCATTCAGAGCTGTTCATGACAGCTCTGCTTTCTAGCTATAATGGAACAGGCAGAAGTGAAAATGAATTAAGAAAACAGAATGGGTTCCCTAACACTGAAAATGTAGCAATGATATATAGCCAGCGTTTATGAAATCTCTTCCAAAATGTAAGGGGCTTAATCGCCAAAGAATCCAAAAGAGACTTTACATGATAAATAAAAAGTATTTCTAGTTGATACAGGATTTAAAGCTTAGAGAAATATTTATTTGTTGGCTTATACTCTCCTCTTTCCACAAAGGATTTCAAATAGCTTACATAAACACATATGATAAAAATAATGTCAAAATAGAACTAGGGAATAAGGAAAAGGAGATAAGCAAAAGTAGGTAAACTGTTACCACATAGTAGGAAAACACAACAAAGAGGCTCATAAAAAGACCATTTATTATAAATGGTCTTTATTAAAGTTTCAGATGTAACCATGAGCTTCATGGTAACCAAAGCAAAAAGGGAAATCCAGTAAACCATCAAAAATGAAAAACCATTGTTTCTTAAGGAAGGCAAAGTTTTTCTGGGACTGAAATCTGAAAATCTCACGTAGGATTTTGGAAGAGCTAACCTGTAGATTATGACATTGATTTGCTTCCACTGGAGTCCATATTCACAGCAAGGCTGTCGTGATCTACACAGCAAACACAAAGACCCAAATTACAAATCTCATAAGCAGGCAGAAGCCCATTCCCCGCCAGCCATAGCTGTGCGGAAGACCATCGGAGAGCGATGTTCTGTTCCCGCATCCAGGCCTCACAATAGCATTGGCTAGTTTGGTGGTTTACAGGGTTTCAAACTGGCTTTCCTTCACCCATACTCACATCCTGCATTTTCTTCTAAGCCCTCATGAGAAATTCACATTATCGTTGCCAGAGGCAGAGGACATGAGAGACTCAGTTAACCAGAGAATACAATTGGACTCACATCCTCTGAAAACATTTTTTCTGGAAAGTGAGGTGAGACAGGATAATTCTGATGCACACCTATCCCAGCAAAGTGCATTCAAGTTAATATAGGGTCCTGTTTACAACAAAAATGAGATCTAGAGCAAGCCAGGAAATTTACACATTTGTATGGGGTGATACCATTAGAAAATACCCTACGTGCCAGCTAAAACCTCTCTTGAAATGTGTTCTAATCACCCCCCACTGCCTCCAGTCCCCTCCTGCACATAATGAGTCACTTCCCTTTTTCTCACCAAGTCCTCACCCTTATATAAGGTATTTCCTGACTATTGTAAGCCAGCCAGAAGGTAGCTGCAGACAAGGTTACAAATTGGCTTGATTCAAGGCAGCTTGCTGAAAAGGGCAGGGTGGCTGCAGATTATAATAAGAGTTAATAGAGGTGAAGGTGAAAGGGGGTAAGTGGTTGTTTTAAATTTGGTATTTTTTTTAAGCCATGCAGATATATTTGCCATAAACTCCTTTCCTTATCCTGTTGTTCATCTCCATATTTTAGATTTCTCTGCATTTGTTATATAAAATGGCAAATAAAATTACAGCTACAGCACACAAGTACAAGGTCAAATAAATGACAGAGCTCAGTCTATTTGTGAAGCTATTCTGAAAGGGAACCATGGTGCCAAATGTGGTTTATTTGAATAATAAAGAAGAATTAGATTCCCCTGATAACTTGGCCGAGGGCCAATAAATCACTGGAGGTTAAAGATGCTTTGCAACCGCCATGTCTTTCTTTTGCTTTTCCAAAGTGCAAGGCTCACTCTTCCATTCTGTGTTTTTCAATGCAAATCAAGTTGAGGTTAGTATGTGGCTAATACTCTTACTTCCCTGCTTGTAGAAGATATATATATTTCTTTAGTGGGGTTGAAAAAAAAAAGAAGACATTAGCTTTCCTTGTAAGTTATTATTCTTGTTTGGCATCATGACATCCTAAAGAGCTGGAATATAAAGACAAAAAAGGTATTATTTCAACACAGCAGAGGGATTACAATGATGGAGCCAAGTGTTAGCATTTTTGCAGTTGGTGTTCTAAATGTATTCAATGCTAGGATAACTGGAGTTCTTTTAATAAATGAATGCAAATACTGCTTTATGGCCCCCCTTTTCAAAACGTTTCAAGTAGACATACCTTAATTTTTTTAAAAAAAAGCAGAAAAATATATAATTTTCTGCAGCTTGTGACCACCCCCCTGCCACCCCAACCAGCAAGTCTACATTTGTCTCCTGTACACTAATCATGAAAAGTTCATCACTTCTGGGTGTAACAAAGAAAAATGCCCTTTTGAATGTGGAAGCTCTGAGGGTTTGGAGACTATTGAGAAAATATAAGTATCAAAATAATTCAGAAACAGTACAAGGCACAGTGGCACATTATCAATTTACAACATTTAAATTGATAAATGCTTGGTGGTGAAGGCCTACAAGGGCACTTTGAAAAGCAAATAGCGACCTGGTGAAGAAATTGATTTTTCCCCCCCGAAAATGACTGCATGATGCATCATTTGACTGCATGCTGTCCGAGTGCTTGACAGAGATAATCTCAGCAATCCCACGGGTGACCTTATCGTTCTCACCAGGGCAACTTTGTCTACGTTCTGACTTTGTGCATGTCAAGGTTCCTCCCGGCAGGATCCTTGGGGGAAAAAGTTCCTCTGTTCGATCCAGATATTGAACTGCTCGTTCTTCCCCCCTTTTCCTTCCACCCCACCCTTCCAAATAGGCAAACACGCCTCTTTATTTCATCCATAATTATGAACGAGCCAGGCAGAAGAATACAGCTCTGTGCTCTGTATCTTTGTTGAAGCTCCTAATGCCTTTTAGTTCATAGTTCTTAGGTGATCATCTATATTGGCAGGGATCTTTTCATCAGAAAGAGTAGAAAAAATCCCTAATGTTCTCCTATAATGCATCGCCACCTTGAGCAGAGTGGAAAAACCTTACCAGTTTCTTTCTTCTCTGTAGTTGCAGGGTGTTTTATTTTCCTCCCTCCCCTGTCATCTTTACATAGAACCCTTCTGAAACTGTCTTAAGTCATACATGTCAGTATCTAACAATATTATTCTCTTGCAATCCAGTGATTTAAGGTATTTCTCTTATAACCTTAAAATTATGTAACAATGACATAAGGCCCAGAAAACATGTCACCTGTGCTATTTGGCTTTGAATCCCAGTGGCAGCCTCTTTGCAGAGATTTGATAGAATCCACAGGGCTTCTTCAGGACCGTTGGTGTTTGGAAAGTATTTTTCTTCCACAGGGTAATAATCGACAATTTTTTTACGCCTAGAATTTTTCTGTTGATATGTATGGATGTGTGGATGTGTATGTCTGTTGATCAGTAATCTTCCTGCCACACAGCTTGTCGTTGATAATTACAATTCTTGATTAGCCACTTCTTGAAAGCAGCAAATACCCTGCCTGGTGTGGCACCCTGAAGCTTCAGTCCCCACTGCCTCTGACACCCTCAGTTCACCATATTCAACCCCTTTTACCTCCTTCTTTCATCCACAACATTAATTCTGAGTGAACAAGACGTGCTTCCTTGCTTTTGACAAGATTTGCTGCAGTCTCATGCGACAAAAACCCAACACTCATTCCAGATTCAGAAAGTAGGATTTATAACAGCATTTTAATTTAATGTTGGATGTCGAACATATAAAGAGATCACAGTAGTACTAGAGCTGAAAATTGATGCCTTTTTTATTAGTGTCCTCTCAGAAGTGGGTGAGACGCTGTTTGTGCAATGGAGCACAGAGCAGCACAGTCAGATGAATGAGGATATGCTATCTGCAAGGAATCATATTTCAAGCCACTGTCGGCCTCTATTGATGTGCTCAGAGTTGAAAGGTTATGCTAGTAAATGCCATCCGAATTTCCAGCATTAGAAATCGGTAGAATAATCTGCTGGCTGTCACTCTATGCTTAGCCTGAATGCACTGCGTGGGGATGTTTTACTTATTTTAACTCCAAATTAATTTCTTATTACAGGTGCATTTCTTTCTCTCCTCATGCTTTCATCAGTGCCCAAATGGGACTGATTTTTAACAGGTCTTCAGAGTAGACCACTATCTGTGAAAGAGAATGAAAGAAATGTGCGTCATCATACGTGAGAATCATGTTATTCTTATTTGTTCCTTTGAACATATTTTTCCAGACAGTGAGGCTAAAACACAGGAAGTTTGTGCACAGCGAGCTGTTCTTGTTAGACTGAATCATAGAATCTCAGGATAATTCAAGATAAGCTTACCATTTTCAAATGTATGAATCGAAAACCTACATTGCTTCTTAATTTCTGGACTTAAAGTGAGCAAGACAAAAAAAGGAAGATGGAGTATTCTTCATTTTATAGTTGAAGAGATCTAAAGTCAGAAAAAAAATACTTTGTAAGGAGCTAGTTCATTTTATTTGTGTGGATTAAACAGTATTTTCAGATTCATTTTGAAGTAGAGCACTGAGCAAAAGTAAGATTAAGAAAATTTAGTCATCATTCTAAGTCTGTAATTTATTCATATTTAAATAATGAAACGGTGTTTTTCTGAATTAACCCATGTATTATTCATGCAGGCGTTGGCAATATAATGTCCCTGGTTTTCTGGAAAGCAATATGCATTTCTTTGCCTGACAAGCAGTATTTTCTATATGGTATTAATTTAATGGCTTATTTTATTATGCAAAGTTAGAAAGTAAAGATAATTTCTGTCCATAATGCGGTGCTTATATGGGCAATATATGCAAAATAATACCTCTACACTAAAGCCAGCTATCCTTTCTCAGTTAGCTTGGACCCTATAAGAATGATGAGTGAATGCAAACTGCTCATATGAAGAAAAAGAAATAACTTGACCTTCTGGGAAGGAGGTCTAAAATCATTAAATTCATGTGAAATCCAAATTTCATTTCTATACACACACATTCAATCTATATTGGGTTTTAGCTCTTACATAAGAAGATAAGGTTTCATGACAGAAGTAACATGGCAACAATTTCAGTGATAATTTCAGTAGGACTGTAATAAGGAAATTGACTTTAGATTTTTGCATAAGTTCTAGAACTAGGCTGGTAACCTGAAAATTGATGTCAGTTTTAGACAACAAATGCCCTATGGCTTTTTATCTTTCATCCTCACTCCCTTCTTTGGAATGACAGTCCAAAGATATAATCTCTTTTTCTTAAAATCATCATTGTTAAAGAGACTGATAGCAGTTGAATTATTTAAAGTATCTTTTGATGCATTTTTGTGTGAATATGTGTTTATTCACATGCCTATATATGTTTATAAATGCATACAATTTGTTTCTTTCTGATATGGCTTTCGTGCCTACTGCATTTTTATCTACAGATATAAATAATTTCCAAAATGACTCACTAAAGCAGCACACCAGGTTTTCCTCTGGGCGTCTCCTCCTTTCAGGCTCCTACAGCTGCAAATTCACCACATTCAATAATAAGACAAAAACTTTCTCTGATGCTGTTAATTTTTAATGTGCTGGCAGATTAAATCTATTACTTTCAATAACTATGCAAACTTTTTGAGAGCAAGAGAATGTATGCAGAAAGAAATTTTCCCTGGGAAGGAAAAAATATGGCCTAGATTGGATGTTTTCAAGGCAGTTCAAGGCCCTTGGCAGAGGTAACACAGATACCTGTGGGCCATGTGTGGGTTTTGGTGAACCTAGGAAGTATGTCAGTAATATGCATCTGGGTATCAGGTAAAGAATTACAGATGCTGTTTAGATTTTCATCTAGGTTTTGGAGAAGCAAGCTTTATATTAAGAAACCCCTTCCCTCTTGGCCTTCTCTCGCCAATAGAAACATTGTTTTAGGACCCCAGGTAATCCTGTTTAGCACTGCTTTGCCATGGAAACAAAAAAAAAAATTGGTTCTTCACTAGGAACGCGCTAAGGCTTTAAGGAACATGCAGATAGAGGATGGTTTCCTGAACCTCTGAGTTTTATTCTATAGCCTTGACCTTCACATATTTGTTCCTACTCTACTTTCTTCGATACTTCTTTCTGGCTAAAGTCCCTAATTGTTAAACTTGGTATTTCTTAGGAACTTAAAAAACGTTTGTACTAAACGTTCTTGTCCTTATAAACAGGGGAGACGCAGAAATATTTCCAGAAAATGTGAATGATAGTGCTAGCTCTATCTATGGTAAAGATCTGGCTCTTTACCATAAAATGTACAGGCTCGCCTTGCTTTAAGAAATGTTAAGGCTAAAAACCTGCCAGATGACTAAGTAAGAGATTATTTGTATTACAATACAGATGGGGTATTTGTGTTCCTTTAAGTGGTGAGTTCCTTTTTTGGGCTTTAAATGTCTATACAGAGATTGTTATCTAATCTACAAAATCAAAAGGGAGTGAAGGAAAGAGAGAGAGGCACAAAAATTAAAGTATTCAGAGGCATTCCATTTTAAGATCAATCAGAAATGAGGATGGAAAATGAGATTCTTTTGGCAGACAACTTTTTAAGATCGCTCCTAGTAAGCACAGATCTCCTTAGCCTTGGTTGCCAAGTGCAATGGGAATGTTGCTTGCAACTTGGTCATCTGGAAGAGGAAAACATGATCCGACTGTTCAGTCTAGTTGTCCAGGGTCACTTCAGAGTGCTGTACAGCAGCAGTTTTGCATGCTTGTGATGTCCTGTCTACATAACTGTGTGAATTAGAAAAGTCTACACATCCCTGAGGACAGAAGATGCAAATTCAAGGAAAATAAGAGGTGAGACTAGGAACCAATTCCCTGAAATAATAATAAAAAAACCCATAATTTTTCCGGCTCATTAATTAAAGTTGACGTTGCCGGGTTTGCAAAGACCAAGAAAGGACCGTGCCATTCCACTACATTTCAAAACCTTTTCACTTGAGCAGACAAGTAAATCATGCAATTACTGGGACTCATTCAGCTCTTTAGTAAAAACACGGGCCTGCAACCTTGGCTGTAGCATACATGGAAATTAGAAGAGTTGAACTGAAGATATTTCTAAAATGTCACAACTGCTCTGTGACACTGGATGATATGTTTATCCTTTCATTATCACTTAGAACACCTGGGGCGGTGCTCAGGAAATCAGATAGTGCCTTTTAAAATAATTATAAAAGAAGCATAGATTAGCAAGCTGAAGGGAAAACAGACAATCCTGAATCATGATGTTACTAATTTTGAGCTGTTTGGGGGCATCAGCTTCCAAGTCACAACAGTGTAATAACTGACTGCAACTGTCAGCAGTACTGAGGAGAGAGAGTGCCAAGTACGAGTATTTCTAAAAAGCAAATGTTTCCTGGAGATGAAATCCAAGCATTCATATTCTGTTTATAAAATTAAGACACTCCGTTGGTGGTGTTTCCTATTGTCAGTTTCTGGCTGGATCCTTTTGTCTGTTAGACATTGAGTCTTTGGAAAAGCAGGAGAAAGGGCTCTGGACTGGGATCCAGGAGACCTGGTTCTGGTCTTGCCGCTGCTGCTAGTCAGGCCAGTGACCTTGGAGCAGCTTGAATCTTCATTTTTCTTAAGTGTGAAACGAAAGGGCAATTTCTCAGGCTCCTTCTTCTTTAAAATGTGTGCTCTCTGCAGTTCATCCAACGCTGGACATTTTTTCGTAAGCACTGGGGTAGGGCTCGAGGAGGGGAGCCTGGCGAAGTAGGCTATTTTATTTTTACCCTTCAAAGGAATTTAGTTGAGCAGATGCTACCCTGAACTAGTCAGAGTAGAAAAGAAATGATACGGCTTTTAAAGGGCACATCTAGCATATCTACTGGGGTAAAGTAATTCTGGCAATGCTTCAAAGGATATAACTTTTGATGGTAAAGTAGGTAGGCTACGGAATGAAATCACATATGGCAGGCTGTCAAAGTCTCCTACACTTTCAGTACATTTATATAAGTGCAAAAGGAGGCTGCTTAGATGGCGTCCCTAGCAATTGCCTGCTAAGACTGCTTTCAGATTATCTGATATTATTTGACTAAATTATCTCTGTAGAAGCTGAGGACAACTTTTATGATCAAATATTTTGAAATTAGTTTCCCTTGTTGGCAGATTATCTGAAATATGAATTGCTCTCATTTGAGCACTCGAAATTGAAAGGCTTTTGGTAATAGCAATTATACAAAAACAAGGGTACTGAAGTGCTGTATATCATGCTGAAGGGGATATGTTTATAGGTCAGTGATGTCAATAACTTGAGTTCTCACAGATACCTCATCGCTACCCTTTTATTGTGGGCTAATGCAAAGGACAGACTGACTTTCTTTTTCACAAGGGTATTTCATTTTCTAGAATAAATACTGATTTTATTGACTCTAGACACTTACACATAGTCAATTCATATTTATTATATTTCCCAAACCTTTCATAGGGTGGCTGAGGGTCTAAAAAGTGGAAAATACACAGAAAATATATAAAATTCTAAACAATTCAGAGGTATTATTATTCTAATGATTGACTTGTGCATTCCTGGTGCCTTTTCTGTGAGGTATTTCAATCATTCTGTGAGCCTTATCTCTTCATATTTATAGCCTCCTAATTAACAATAATTACATTTTTTTAAAAATTTAAAAGGCTTTAGAACAAGAAAGAAAGGAAAGGACGCTTGGAAGAAGCCCAAGCAGGTGACTTGAAGAACAAGTGCCCTAACTAACATTTATTAAGCTATTACTCTGTGCCAGGCACTGTTCTAAGTACTTTAAATACATTAAGGTTTGTAATCCTAACGATTGTTAGGTACAATGACAGTCTCCATTTTCTAGGTAAGAAAACTGAGGCAAAGAGGTTAAATAGCTTGCCCAAGATCATACAACAAGGAAGTGGCAGAACTAGCGTTTAAACCCAGCCCACTTGACTCCAAAGCACTCATTGTTAACCAGGAACGCTAGTTACCTCTGGACGGTTTACGTAACTGGCATGTCAAATTATTCGTTTTATGTGTTAAGAGAAACTGAGACATGGTACAATTAAGCATCCTGCTCAGAGCCATAAAATAGTTATTCTTGGCCAGGCGCAGTGGCACACACCTGTAATCCCTGCACTTTGGGAGGCCGAGGTGGGCGGATCATGAGGTCAAGAGATCGAGACCAGCCTGGCCAACATGGTGAAACCCTGTCTCTACTAAAAATACAAAAATTAGCCAGGTGTGGTGGCGGGTGCCTGTAGTCCCAGCTACTCGGGAGTCTGAGGCAGGAGAATCGCTTAACCCCGGGAAGCGGAGGTTGCAGTGAGCCGAGATCACGCCACTGCACTCCAGCCTGGAGACAGAGTGAGACTTCTTCTCAAAAAAAAAAAAAAAAAAAAAAGTTAATTCTCACAATGCTAATGGTGTAAATGAACTTGTGAAAACATCAGTAAAGTTATATAGATATACCTGAAAATTCTGATACTCAACATTTTTAGAAATATTCCAACATTCAATAGTAGGGCCAAGTAATCAATAAAACAGGTCCAAACCCAGGTTTCCCATGACACTCAACCACGCTTTTAACCATGCATGCCAGCATTCAGCTAGTATTTGCTGAATGACCTACGTGTGCAAAAACTGTGCTGGAAACTGAGGCTATTGATCACTAAGGCATAGTTCCTGCCCTTCAGGAGCTGGTTTCTGCAAGATGCCTTAGACATGGCAACCAAGCTACGATGACCTACAAGTAGTAAGTCTCAAGTATTTTAGTGAATACTGAATGTCATGGTCACAATAGAGAGATCCACTACAAATCATGAAGATAGAATGTGGATGACTAACTCTACCTGGAGAAGTTTGCAAAGAATTTACTGAAGAAAAAGTAACGCTTTTGGTCAGGGTTTGAAAGGCATTTTCCTTGTAGGAAACGGAAAGGTAGCATTCCAGGCAAAGGGAGGCATGTATGCAAAGCTATTTCTTATGGGAGAGATGAGTCTGGAAAGTTAGGACTTGGCCAATTTGGAAAGGGTGTCAGAGTAAGCTAAGGAAATTGGAATTTTTCCTTTAGACCCTTGGGAGCTGTAAAATATTTTAAAGGGAAAAGTGCAATATTAGATTTGTGCTTTAGGGAAAAAAATTAATTTTGGCTAAAAAGAAATGGAGGATAGAAAGCACCCTCCAATTAAAAGACTGATAAATAGTCCAGAAAAGAGGTGAAAGGTAATTACATTAGGGCACACCAGTGGAAATAAAAGAAGGGGATGGACTCGAGAAGCCTTTTTCCGGTAAGATCAATGCCATGGTGACCAATCAAATGTGGTGGAAAGCAAGAAGGAAGTACATTTTTAAAACTTAGTTTGGATTTACACATGTGGCATTTGAGAAGCTCGTGGGACATCTGTTGAATGGACAGACTTCAGAGCTCAAGAGAGGTTGGGTTCAAAGTTCCAGGTTGGGAGGTGGTTAGCATATAAATTATACCTGGACCCAAAGGAATTAGATGAGATTACCAAGAACAACCTGCAGTTTCAGAAAGAGGGAGTGTAAGCTGCTGAGAAGGCAAGCCTCAGAAAATCTCAGTTTACTGACAGGCAGAGGAAGAGAAGGCAGCATATACGATACAGCACAAATGATCAGAAAGTGACCTGGCTGGTATCCTCCTCAGGAGGAACCCTGAGAAGTTGTCATTAGGAAAGGCAAAGAAAAAGCCTTTCAGAAAGGATGTGGTCAAGTGTCCGAAAGCTAAAATATTATAAGGCAAGATAAAAAGCCATCAGACCCATCAGTTGAAAGATTTCCGTGATTTGACTGTCATTGGCTAGCGCCCATGAAGGCTGGGGCCAAAATGCAGTGGCTTGCGGGGCCAGAGGTCCAAATGTATTCAACAAATGTTGGCCTCTCTTCCAAGCAGTTTGGTGGCAAAGAAAGGAGGTGAGGTGGATGGAGGGACCAAGGGGAGGGTGAAAAGTAGTTTGAGGGAGAGAAAGTGTTGATGGATCTCATTTTGAAGCTGAGGCAACTTTAAGTGGAGAAGCTGGGGTGTATAGAAAGATATATTTAAAGACTCAAGAGAGGGATCCTCATTGAACCCAGGTCTCAGAAGAATAAGCTTGATGGTATGAAAGGCATGAACCTGAGAAATAAGTAGGGTTATCTCTTCCTCTTCTGCTGAGAAGTGGGGGAATGGACTTTGGAGGTGGGAGGGGGAAAGGAGAGAGACCAGTTCTGAACTCATGGTGGCTCTCACCTGGTAAAGGTGAAACCAGAACAAGAGTATGTAGTGACTTTTGCTAGGATTGGTCAACCTTGGTCCATGCACACAGTGGTGCAAGGGACAAGGATGCTGAAGTATCAGTAATGCCAGGCAGGAGGAAAGCTCAAAGCAGGAAAGGCCAGTCTCAGGTCAAGGCAAGAATAATTCTAACTCTTTTCTACCAAACACGTTAGGAGGTCCTGCCCCAAGACAAAAATCCTAGGAAATTCTAAGGAGAGTAATGGATTCCATTGTAGACCAACATATCATGCAATTAACTTTTACCATTTAACATAGCTTGTTAACCACTGCTGTATGGTCTCCTGCCCATTAGCTTTCGACTATTAACTGATGATCGAGTCCAGTAACACTGCAACAATCCAAGATTCATAGATCGTATTCATTGTTCCTATTTTTTAACTCTGATAATTTGAGTTGAAAGGAAAAAATTGAGAAAGTATTTTCTGTAATATTTTAGACTTTGAAACCCTCATTTCCTTTTCCATGACCCTTAAATCACCTATAAGCAGCCCATATGAAGTAGTTTTGCCAGATCTCTCTAATTTGTAGGTTTTCCAATTGTTCCTAACATTTCTGTGAGTGCTGAGGCTCCCACATTCCTTTTCTGCCTCATTTGTGTCTTTGTACTATCAGAACATAATTGGTAAAAAGAATATTCATGTGGAGGTACAATGTCTAAGGATGATACAGTCCTTCAGTGAGCTCTTGGTAAGAGAAATGATTTGTTTGCTTTGTTGTTTGGAGCTTATTTTATGGTGAAAAATTTTTAAATGCCTTTGGGCTTTTAAAATCTATTTCTAATTGTTCTTTTTAACAGTAAATGATTATAAGATAGAAAACTGTTTAATAATTGTAACTAGACATATCTACTCTAGTAATGATTTTGTTCACGTCAAAGTAGATAATATAGAACATGTACATTTAAGACCTTAAGAATGTGTATCAATACTGCTTTTCGTTTCCTGAGAAAGAGAAAATGGAAGGAAAGAGAGAATGAGAGAGGGTGAAGAGAGAGAGAGGAAGCTAAGAAAGAATAAATATATTCCTTGTAGCACCCTCCCACCCCCCTTGTAGGCACCTCAACCCTTAGGTTGCCAAATACAAACCTGTGGCAAACTGGATTTTACAAATATTTAAATGGAATGTGTAAAGTAAGCCATGATCTACGCCTGCTTGCAAAAGTGGGCCTCTTAAATGAAACAAATGCCATCCATGTCTGTTTCCAGCTGAGGTTATAATGTGTGGGATGGTTGTAGCACCAGATTCCCTTTGCATTTGGCGTCATAAACTGCACAGTTTATAGTACCATATGAACTCGTAGAGCTGATTGTTTTATTATATTTGAGTGTAAATTTTTCATCCCTTTCAGTTCCACCACGATTCTCAGAGAATACAGGTTTTGTGCTGATACGATGTTTCCTAGCTCTAGGCATGCCCTACCCAAACTACGGACTGTAATTTACTTTTTGGTGTCTGTCGCCTTGAGCTTGCCTTCTGACTAGCTTGTTGAATGATGTGCTAATCCATTATATTTTTCAGACAAGTGTATCGACCAGTATAAACAGACTGGAGGGCACAAACCTAAATGAAAGCTATACTACCCTGAATCATTTAAAAAGCTACTGCTTGGTGGCAGTGTGAAATAACTTGGTTCTGTACATTAAGTAAAGGAGAGGGAGATCTCAATAAATAAAACAAAAAATTGAAATATCCCTGCCTGCAGGAGTTGTGTCCGATTTTCAGATGTTCACCTTTATTCACCTCTATTGTTTTAACATGATGATCAGAAAGGGCCACTTTAAAAATGCCCTCTTCTGATACGAATCGAGAATAAAACACAATGTTTAGCGTCTCCTGCTGTTTGCGAGACATTCCTACCCAGTCCCGAGTATCTTTCACTTATTATAGCATGTTTATACAAATAAAGAGCAGAGAGTAGGCCCTCAGAGGAATTTCAGCAGAAAACTTAAGCCTTACATTGCCCCCTTTTGAGTCCTTCTCTTTGAAAGAGATTTGGGAATGAATGGCCAAATGGGTTGGAGGAAAATAAGTCTCAAATTAATATTCCTATTTTAAAAAACGTGTCAGCAGGACCCAAGCTCTTCAACTTGCAAGGCCAAAGCCATGAAGCAAAGATTTACCTGTCTCAATATGAGTAAAGACAATGTAGCTGATGAAACTTTTGGTAGGTACATTCAAATCTAACCTAACACCAAAGGACCATGGCAGAAATATGGTGTTCTTTAATTATAATTACAACTTGACCGAAGTGAAGCAATTCCTCGAGGATAAAGAAGGGCTCAGTTTTTCCCTGAGTACTTTTGATGCATGTGATTTTTACATATAGTTATACCAGGAATTACTCATACCTCTTCAGATTACCAATATGAAAAATCTAAACCAATTCTTCTCAGATCTCTTCCTCTGCTTTCTGAGATTTGTGAGGCTTAGGGTGTATTTTTCACGTTTGTTTTATCTTTAGCAGCCAGGTACAGCCCATCACGGACTCTATGGTCTATAAAGAGGGGGGAGGTTTCAGAGCACGTTCCTATACCTCTCATTTGATGGTCAAAGTAACCTTGTGAGGCTGAGTATGAAAATTTTATGCCCATTTGACAGATATGGAAACACAGAGAGAACCAGGAAGTGGTAAGCCAGGACTCTACCTCTGCATTCCATCTCATATCCCATGCCCTTCTTTTTCAGAGGCCGTCATCCAGTACTGAGACTTATTCTCCTGCTGGGGTGACGGGGTAAAGGGGAAGGGATAAACTGGGACTGATATGATATTCTGTCTTCTCTAAAATATCCCAGTAAATAGTGCCTTTCAACCGACAACAGCCCCAAATAGCTTTACTCCATTTAGGGACAGAGAAAATTAAAACATTGTTGGCCAAGAATGCCTGTGCAGATCCTGAGCCATAGTCCTTACGACAGCTTGAAATTCTGAACCTGCAGGTGCACTGACCTGTATAAGGGGGATTGGCTAACGAATCCTCCCCCCAATTCCAAAGGCAAATAAAAAGGAGTCTTAGTGGCCACATCTTTGATCTCTGATGCAGTGTCTCTCGGCCTTGTGCCAATTTTGAACATACCCCATTGAGTTTGGAATTTACTTCTGGGCCGTAGAAAACTGTTGGGATAGCATGTTTTTTCTAGTTCTTTCTAAAGGCCGTTACTGCTCACAGATCCCTTTGCTGCTTTGAGAGTTCTAAACCTACTCTTACTTTGCCTCCTTCTCTCTTCAGAAGCCAGATGAACTACCAACACCTTTGTTTTTTTTTCCCTCTTTGAGACGGAGTTTTACTCTTGTTGCCCAGGCTGGAGTGCAATGACGCGATCTCAGCTCACCACAACCTCCACCTCCTGGGTTCAAGTGATTCTCCTGCCTCAGCCTCCTGAGTAGCTGGAATTACAGGCATGTACTACCACACCTGGCTAATTTTTTGTATTTTTAGTAGAGACGGGTTTCTCCATTTTGGTCAGGGTGGTCTGGAACTCAAAACCTCAGGTGATCTGCCCGCCTCAGCCTCCCAAAGTGCTGGGATTACAGGCATAAGACACCGCACCCAGCCCCAACACCCGTCTTTTGCACACTCAGGGGTTTGGCCAGTGGGGCTAATAATCTATCCTACATTTTTAAAAAGAGCCATCAAAGGCCTGGCTTATCATAGGCACTAAACAAATATTTGCTGACTGACTGAATATCTTCCAACTTCCATAGAGGATTTTGCTCATATGTTAATAATCCTGCAATCAGGGGTTTTCCAATGGGTCAGTCAATGCTGAAGTCTGTTTCAGTCTTCCACTTTAATCAACCAAGAGGAGGCATGACTAGGATCAGAGGTCATTTAGGAAGACTGGTTTTACTGGCCCAATTTATTCATCATCTAATGAAACCACAGGGGAAAACAAAACAAAACAAAACAAAAACAGGGTTATCTTTTCTCACAGAACAACACATTAAAATAATTAAAGGGAATTCAAATGTTATCAGCATCTACATAGCAGGAAGTAGAAATGAACTTACATTTATTGAGAATAGACTAATGTGCCAAGCTCAATGTCAGCAGTATGAGCATTAATGACAACAGCAAGTTATACCTGTTTGAGCAACTGCTATGTGCCAGAAACAATATTAAGCCCTCATACATGGTTTCTCAATACTCTCAACAATCCTAATGAGGTAGATTCTGCTATCATTCCAGTTTTATCCAGAGCAACCAACACCAGCTAGAAAGTGAGCTCTCACCTCCCTGATGGAGAGGCGAAGGTGTCTGCTCAGGTTTTATGAAGAAAATGAATTCTAGGGTATGTCTCAAATATAAGTCTTCTTATTCACACATCTCAGTAATTCAGACCAAAATAAATAAAGAAATGCAGAAATCAATCTCTACTGGGTTTCAGTAATAAACCTTTACAGCTAGAGAAGCATCATATTTTATTGGATGATTTGGGATGGGCAGTTGAATGATCTACAGGATCTCTGTATGTGACTTGACAGATTTCATATTTCAGTTCCTCAGGAATGTTCACCTGTAAAACAAGAATAATTATTCAGGCTCTCTATATATTATAATGAAAGATGATAAAGACTGATGAAATATGGATGCGTAGAATGAAGAATTCAGAATCAATGTACTCCCCATTTCATAGACGTGCTATTAGTAACGATAGAATTGTCCTCAAATAGTTTCCCTGTTCAGTTGTGCATTTAATTAGGGGTCTTTTTTTTTTCTTCATTTGACCAACATGTACTAGGCATCTACTTAATAATACTGTGAGGAATAAAAAGAAGAGCAAGTTCGCCTTAAATTGGGAGTATCAAAAATAAACTGTGTAATGAAATATTTTCCTTGAATTTTTTTTCAAAGCTGCCAAAGTTGGAAGTAAAGGCCTTATTGTATCTACACGAAGCCAAACATCAATGAAAAATGGGAAAGTTCAAGCAGAAATACAGATGTTTGAAAGCATCTGGATGTTTGGTATCTTGTAGGTTTACCATATGGATCTCCTTATAAAGTTCTTCTGTTTTATTTCAGACTTTCAAAACCAATTTGAAGTTACATTTACATTTTTGTGTTTTATAGACAAGCCATTTTATGAACATACCTTTGTTACTCATACAATACTAAACCTTCCTACTGGGTAGTCTTGAAGCTACTGTCACAATGTTTATAGACTCTCTGGCTATGGTTGGTAACCATTTTTAATATATTTAAAATATTCTAAGATGCAGAATTTGGCCATTGGACAAACCAGGTAAATGCTGAATGGGCTTACATATGCACAAAGCAACTAAGGGTCAGAGAACCAGCTTCCTGGATGGAGAATTCAGAGCAACCAACGTCTTCTTTATTAACTGGGCAAAAGAAGCTGCCAAAGGTGTGACGTAAAGCTGATATCTCTAATATGTTAGTAAAAAAAAATCATTGTTTGCTATGAACCTAATCCCATGCTTAATAATTCCCTTCTAAGATGACTCCAGGCCAATAAAGGGAGAGGGAAATGATAAGGGAACTGTGTGAGGCCAGACGGCAGGTGTATTTTAAAGGCCTAACTGTGACCTGTGGGCTTTAAAGGCTGGTGAGAGCCTTTTGCAACCCGTGTACCCAGCCTGCAGAGGCAGACGTACAGCCACGGTAGTTCCCCTCCATCCCCCGGGGCAATGCAGAACCAGGTGTGGTTGCCTGCTGCCTCATTTCTTTACAACTGAGGAAATAATCTTTACGACTATAAAACAAAATTGCTCAGCTCACTCTAAGTTTTCTTAGAAAAATCTCATTTTTATCCATATCTGTGGGAAGCTCCAACTTCGACCTAGAACTACCACGCTTTGTCTCACTTTGTTGGTCCCCCTCCCACACCCACCCTCCACCGCACCCCCCTACCCCAGGGTGGCTTACTTCACTTTAATTATTTTCCATCAATATTTGGAAGAGCTGCTTTTGAAGAAATTCCCCTATTTCTCTACCCCCACCAGCCCCGCCAAACATGTTAATCCATTTATGCTTCTAAACCCAAGTATTCATCCCACACATCAAAATATGTGAACCTTAGCAAGATAAAAGCTGTCCAAACCTGATTTTGTTTCTACACAGATGGCTATAAACATGACACTGGGATATTAGTCTTGGCTTTTCTTGACAGACCTGAAAATTGGCCATGCAGAACTGTTTAAAATTGGTAGGAAAAACTTACCCTGAAGTTTACTGTTGATGAACACAAGCGAAAACATGTAATTAATGGAAATGCATGTCAGAATAAAGAAAAATGTGTTATCCCCTTCATTTCTGAGTCCCAGCCAAAGGTGTTGAATAAAGCTGATATTTCAGAGGCAAAAAGGGGACTTGTGCTTGTTTTAGAAAAGTAAAAATTTGTATCATACTTCATATGGGCAGTAATTAATTTATATCCTGACAAGTCCTTTAATTAAAAATGTTTTAATACATTTTTAATTACAAAAGCATCAAATTCACAACAAAAATTTGAACACTGTAGACTGACAGAAAATACCACCTCCATTCAAAAAGATATATTGTAAAAAATCTGCTGCATAGTTTCTGAGATCCTTCACAACGGATTTATATTTACATGTTTGTTTTATATTTGTGACCGCTTTGTAGCCCTTTTGTAAAATTTAAAATACTATGGGCGTTTTTGTCTTTTTGAAACAGTGTCTCACTCTGTCGCCCAGGCTGGAGTGCAGTGTCACGATCAGAGCTCACTGCAGCCTTGACCTCCCCTGGCTTAGGTGATCCTCCCTCCCCAGCCTCCCAAGTAGCTGGGACTATAGGTGTCTGCCACCCTACCTGGATAATTTTTTTGTACTTTTAGTAGAGATGGGATTCCACCATGTTGCCCAGGCTGGTCTCGAATTTCTGGGCTCAAGCCATCCACCTGCCTCAGCCTTCCAAAGTGCTAGGATTATAGGAGTGAGCCACCATGCCCAGCCACCTTTTTTCAGTATTAATACATACACTTACAAAGTATTGTTAATGGGTAGATGGCCTTTCTTTCTATAGGTGTGCCATTTATTTAACCAGGCTTAGATTATTGAACATTTAGGTCCTTTCTAATTTTGTATATTGCAAATTGTATTTATCCTGTCAAATATACTCACGGCAAAATTTTTATATATGTACCCATTCTTATACCCTCAGGATAAATTTCCAGAAATGAAGTCAAAAGGACAACATATTTTAAGGGATTGTCATACATTTGGACAAATTGTTCTCCAGAAAGATGGTACAAATTGACCTTCTCATAGCATGGTATTAGATCATCCATTTTCTCATACCCTTAACGGAACTGCATTTTATGTTTAGAAAAAAATTTTTTAATAAATTGAAGGTGAAATGGTATTCTCTTGTTTTATAAGAGATTTTCATAATGTCTGCTCTAAATATGAAAAGGATGATCCCAAAAGGCTTGGTTATGTTTCCTGAAGAGCACGTGCCCAGGAGGCTGATTTGTAGAGAAGCAATGTGGTTTTTATGTTGCTGTAGAATTTGCACAGGACTTTGCTATGTTCCTGAAGTCCATTCAATGTCAATATTGTTATACCATGTTTATCTTCTTAGGTCTATAATATTCCATGTTTATGCTTCCAGTTTGGTTTTATGTTAATCCTGGAAATAACAGAGCAACAGTATGCACTATTTAATAGGTTGTTTTACCCTAACCCTTGCTCTCTGAAATCATTGTTTTTTCCTTTTCATTTCTCTATTTCTGCCTAGTACCTTTCAAATGTTCAAGATCCTACTCAGAAAGAAATGCAAAGTTCATAGCGGATATTAAGATAATAAGTCATGTGACAGAAAAACAAAGCAGGCATTATTTTTTAAAATAATTATAGATATGTATGCTATAACTAATGGAGAAATCCCTGTCTTAAATCAGAACTTCAAAATAGTTCTATCGAATAAGCACACAAAGAGCATAAAATGTTTGAAGTAAGAAAGGCATTTAAGTAGACTAGTTGATTTTAGTTAAAAATACATAGATATTTCTTCACCTCACTACTTCCTTTGGACCTAGATATTTAAAGGGTTTTTTTTTTTTTTTTGGCTACTGGTTTTTTAGTACTAGAAGATATGCTGTAGTGAACCCTAGGTAAGTTCTAACCACTACAGAAAGCCCTAGTCTTCTGACACCTTACTTATCACTGTGGGTTGGTGGGAGGAAAGTGAATAATTGTTCTGTAGGTCCAGGCTACTATTGAGGGTTGGGGGGTTCTAGGTTCTAACATTGTGTAATTGTAAAAGGCTATTTGCAGTTTTGGTGAAGGACAGAGAAAGAATAAGTTAAGAGCCATGCCTTGTGTGGCCAGTAGAAGATAATACGTTCGCTCAAATAAACCTGACCTCTTCAGGGTTCCAGTCGCACCTACAGTGTATCTGGTACTGTACAACAGAGAACTGCAACCTCAGAGTGAGAAGACAGAGAAATCACCTACCATGCCTCACAGTGGGAAAATAAATTGGGGTAACTATAAATCAGTCTCTTGGTATATGTAAGTATTCTTGCTTAGTGGTCTTTTAATAAAGGTATATCTTTCAGTAAACGATATATGTAATAATCCCCTAAGAATTGATCTATGAAGGAAAAAGATGAGCTAATGGCATACCAGTTATTAATACTTGATCTAGTAGATGTTTAGGTACAATGTAAATCTGTAATTCCATAGCAGAGAAACAAATCTCTTTTTCTTTCCAGTTTGTGTTAGGATTTATTGGAAAGGGGAACAACACCTGGATTTAAGAGAAACTTAAAGATTTTAAAGAGACTATAGACATATGTAGTCAGCAAAGAAAGGGGCAGATGTCAATGGCATTTTAAAAACCTAAGTGTAGCAATTTAAGAAAAGTAGTGGATTAAAGTTGGAGAAATTACTTCATGCTTGTTCCAGATGACTTTGCCATAGCTGAGAATGGTTAGAAAAATGTGGTAAGTTGGCCTTCTTCAGAGTTTAAGGGTTGTTAACCTGGGGTCCATAGACCAACATGGAGTCTGTAGATAGACTGTAGGGAGCCAATGAATTTGGATGAGGGAAAATCACTTTAATTTCACTAATCTTTAAGTAAAATTTGGCATTTCTTTCTATTACTAATGTAGACTATAACCACTGAAATAGCAGCAGTACCTTTGTCACCAATAGAAATCACATGTATTTTCATATTATATTTTTGCTGTCGTAGACATCTTGGAATATCACTACTTCAAAATGTGTATAGTTATTAGACCAAACACTAGATGTTATTTAATACATAAGCAAAGTACATATATTACTATAAGATGTTTGTTCGTTTTGATATTTTGGTAACAGAATTTCAGTATAATTGATTGCCGGTATAATCCTAACATTTTATGCATTTGAAGACATGATTTTAAGAAACATTGTATGCAGCTGTCACCAGACTGCCAAAAGGGTCCAGAGTAGAACAAAGTTGCTGAATGCTATTCATAGATGGATGTTTATTTAAAAAAAAAAAGGGGGATCAATAGAGATGAGAGAGAGCTACAGGGAAGCACTTTTGCCATTTAAAAATTTCCAGAGTCAGCTTAAAACTCATAGGTTAGAAACTTAAAAGAAGTCAAGGTGTGGGCAGTTTAATTCCATTCTTTTAATATTTAAATTCCCATTGCTAAAGAATGGCTGGCAGGACAAGGGCTTATACTTAAACTTCTAGCCAACAGGAGGAAATATTCTGATGAGATAACCTGTCCTTGGAGTACCCACAGAGTTTAGAGCCTCATGAAACATACCCAGATTGAAAGGTAACTCAGATGAAAAAACTATGGAAATAATTTGACAGCATTTTTTTAGTACCTCCCATGTCATCACAATAGTGTTAGAGCACAGCCCTGACTTCCAGGAGTTTACTGTTTCTTCAGGAAAAGTTAACACTTACTGAGGACATTTATGACTACCTATTAACATGCACATGTTAACAGTAAATAAGGCGCACCCTGAGGGTGTAGCTAAAGACTTGGTTACCTTGGGTTGATGTAACTTGAGAACCAGTGTAAATGAATGGGGGAATGTGAAGTGTGGGAAGAAGGAAATGTAAAAAGGTGTTCCAGAAGTTTTAGAATAAAGTTCTGCAGCATTGAGCTAGGGCAGCAGAAAAGAAAGTTCAATTCTTTCTTTTTTTTCGCTTGGCTAATAATACTGAGGGCAGATTGTTAAAGCCACTGGATACAGGATGAAATGCAAGAAAGAAACTGTCATAGGAGAGACCCGAATAGAGCCTCTCATCTAGAAAGATAGGTGAAGTGGTGAGAGTCCATGTTAGAGTAAGGTGGCCATGGCGAAACTTAAAAGAAACAGGTAAATCTAATAAATATGAAGGTCTGACGAAGGTTAGCAGTGTGAAGTGATGAGTGGAAGGAGATAAAAAGGACATAAGAACAATATGACTGGAATCTGAGAAATCTAGAGGGACAATGCTATAGACCAGCAGTCGAGAATCTGGGTCCCATATCCTGCCTTGACCATGGACTTCTCCACCCATAAGGCAGTCAGGTCACATTTTCACGCTTCATTTTTCCTCTCCCAAGTGGGGCAAATATGTAAAACTAAGTAACATCTCAAGGAGTTTGATCTTTTGGATTGAAATAACCTTATCATCTTTTACAAATTTTCTGATTTCTCAGTAGGCTGAAAACAAAAACCCACCATGTAAGAGAAAAACAGAAACAAACCAAATCAGAGATACATGACTCTTATATTAATCTTAAGCTATGCAATGCCAACCTATTATCAGAACTAATGTCATTAATGTTCCAAAGGGTTTACCTCCTCATAATTTCTTTTAGTTTTCCGCTGAGAATCATGCTGGTGCCTAATGTATTTTAGATGCAGCATGAAAGTCTCAAAATGTGGGCTTGAAAACTCAGGCAAAATTTTCAGTGGGCTACTGAAGGACATTATGTTCAGTAGCTTAAAAATCTGATGGTCTCTTTTAAGCCCCTGGACTTTGATGTTTTATGCCTTTTTAGTTTTATTTTCTGATCATATTTTCCTTTATAAATACACAGGGAAGGATCACATCCTGAAATCTGTGATTATCAGAAATATGATAGATTCTCCTGCTGCCATTTAGAATCGGGTGAGTGGTTATGAGGCACCTAGCAAGGGAACTAGGGAGTTATCTGTTAAGAGACAATCATAAAACACCTGAGAAATAAGGCCTCAGGTGCTTTATTTTCTCTTCTTTGGGGATGGGAAAATGAGGCATCTTGTTTTCTTCTCTTAAAAATATGTTCTATTTTAATAAAACCAAATAACAACAATCTTTACTTTCCAAGCAATCAGATGTTTTATTGACTGTTTCATAGCATAATAATTCACTTTCCAAAAGGATTTTGAGTTCCCCCATCTGAAAAGTGAATTCTGTACTAATTTTTAGAGATTAATTGATTTACCCAAATTTATTTGCAAAATAAATTTTATAAACAGATACTTTCTTGGTTAAATAAATGTGTATATAAAAGATAAAAGAAGAATATAATAACTGAAAGATACTGTTGAATAAAGTCAGCAGAAGTAATGATTTAGGAAATAGTAATATAATTATACATAATAGTATAAATTTCTAATTAGTTACATGTAAATGCAATTTTAATAAATTATGTTGCCTTTTAAATACATTTGGAGATGTATCATTTAGTAGAACATAGAAAGAATCCTTTTAGAAAACTAAGAATTATTTTTTAATGCCAATACATTTTCTAACATTCCCTTTTGTTAATTTAGCAGTTGAAAAATATAATTTTCTTTAAGCAGTATTTGCCAGTAAATAAAATAAAGTAGGTGAACAAACACGTATGTTTCGACTTTATTTGGCATTGCTGGGCCATTGGCTTTATTAGGAAGAGGAGACAATGCTTACCACACCATGTAGTTTGTAAACCTGTACTTAAGTGGATATCATGCAACTCGAGAAATGCTACAGAAGTATTTCCAGTAAGACATTTTGGAGAATATAGAGTTTGGGGGAGCACTGAGATGCAGTAAAAGACAAGAGGAGTCTGCACAGTGAGAGTTCCGTGATAATCCGAGGACCGGCTCCCCAAACAAGGAGCTTTTGTCTGTAGCTGAGTGCCTGGTCCTGTTCTCTCCTAGCCTCTTAAATAGTTTCATTCTTCTTTTGCCTTACTTTCCCCATCTGTATTTCCCCTACATATAGTAATTCATATGGTTTCAATTTGAAAACTATTTTTGTGCCCTTTATTCTTCTCCCAAATAACTTTAGTCTGTTGTCAATTGATCAAGATTGCTATACGTCCATATTTAGTGTTGTCTCCTATATAATATAAAATAGTTTTATGTCAGTCATTGTGAAGGATAAATTTATTTAATATCATACTTTACCCATGACAAAAAAAACTAGCACTTATGACAGATGTAGAAATTCCTTAAGATGGCAGTCCAGTGTCCTTATTTAAGATGTGATCATAGATGCTGGAACCAACTGTCTAGTGCAAGCCCTAGTTCTCACATGTAATAACTGGGTGTCTCAGTAGGTTCCCTACTCTATGCTCTTCAGTTGCTTCATCTATAACATGGGAATTATAGTGGAATCTACTTCACAGAACTGCTGTGCTGACTTCTGGAGATAATTTATATGACACACTTAGCATAGTACCGGACACTTCTCCTCCTCCTCCTCTTCATTGTTGTTATCAGGCCATCAAAGAAACTCTGGTTTATTGTGAACCTATCACTAAGTATATTCTTCTTAAAGCTCTGATTTCGGTGTATACCTGTAGTATACTATAGTGTATCTTCTCTCTCAAAAGGATTTTTGAAGAAGCTAATTTTATGACTCATTTGGGTTGGATCACTTTAATCTTGACCAATTAAAAGAGTTCTCCAAATCATAAATTATCATATAAAAGTCTAAATCCCACAGCTTCAACAGCTATGTCTGCACCAGTTACGTTAAGGAGCACTACAGAACCTCAAATGAATCCAATATGTAGAAGAACTCTGCATCTTGGGCACAAATGTTTGATAAACCTGATTCACCACACCATATGATTTCTGTTACCAGGGACATTTTGTTGCTCTACTTAAAGATTATCTGTCTTAGTCGAGTGTGTTCCCTAAAATGAAAGGTTTTACCCTATCATGTAATTACTGTTGTAAAAATAAAGCCAGATTTGTTTTATGGTTTGGGGAATGCAAAAATATAAGGCACGTTTTTCTAATTATGAAGCCGCCGTCAAACAGGCCTATAAAGCAGATGCACTTTGCAAATTAGAAGTGGAATCCAAGGTTCCTATGGCTCTAAAATGTCTCCTTCTTTTGCCACTGATGTAGCCTGTGGCACTGAAAGCAGGTGTGATATGAACATATTGTCTCCAAGACCAAACTTCCCTCTGTAATCCTCCCAGATGCAGGGCAGATCCAAATATCCTTCGGCAGTCATATTCTGGGTTGGCACCACCTGCCAGCAAAGAATTTGCAGAAACTCAACTATGGATGCTTGATCGATCTTTCAAAGCTCCCGTAGACCCAAGTCCCCCTGACATAAGAACTTAGTCTAATTTCTCAACTTGTCAGATGGTTCATCTTGAGAACTCTTCCTGCTTTTCTTTTTGCTTCTTAATTCCTTCTGCTGTTAGCAGCTTGTAGGTTTTCTGAAAGCTATGAAAGATTCTTCCTAATTCAGTTTTATCATAAAAGATTTTGTTGTTGCTGCTGAGATGGAGTCTCACTCTGTCACCCAGGCTGGAGTGCAGCGGTGTGACCTTGGCTCACTGCAACCTTCGCCTCCCAGGTTCAAGTAATTCTCCTGCCTCAGCCTCCCAAGTAGCTGGGATTACAGATGCCTACCACCATGCACAGATAAATTTTTTTGCATTTTTAGTAGCGACTGGATTTCACCATGTTGGCCAAGCTGGTTTCGAACTCCTGACCTTAAGTGATCTACCGGCCCACCTCAGCCTCCCAAAGTTCTAGAATTACAGGTGTGAGCCACTGCACCTGGCCCATAGATTTTTTATGATTAAGCTCACAAGGTGAATCAGAATAGCTGAGGGAACACTGTCTTGTTTCCTATATTCAGACTGGCTGTCTCAGTAATGACTGCTGGTAGAATCTTTCTCAAACCTCTAATCTCTTGTAAAGAAATATACTCTACGTTTGTCCTCATCCCCCAAAAATTGTGTACTTAAAAGCACATATATTGAAATATCTTTCAGTTTCTTTTTGAGACTGAATGTCAGGCTTATAACTAAAGGAAACTTTCTCCAGTTCTGTTTTCCTTTATGTAGAAGCAATATAATGACTTTTGTCCATCTTCTATTAAATAGAGTCACTTAGACAAGAACCGTCTCCCTGACCATGAAAAATGGGAGGGAGGGGATTAAATTCTATTTGTAGTTGAATGCTGCTTATGACAGTGAGGAAGAACAATCAATATAAGAAGCTAGTACAGCCAGAACATGGTAAAAAAGCACCTCCCTTCAGACAGCAACCTTCAAATACTTTATTCTAACTGCTGATTTCCATGCTGGTCAAGCAGGATGAGGTTCTATTGTTACGTCAGCACACACCTGGGAAAGTTGCCTGAAATTAGTCAGCGTTGGATGAGTAGCCCTGATTACATTTTGTGTGCTCAGCTCATACCAGTGACCTTGAGTCAAAGCATTGCTTAATAAGAGTTTGTAGTTCCAGATCCCACATCTCATCGCTCCTTCCACCATCTACTATAAAGTTTTTTATTGTTGTTTTCCTTAATCATACTTGAAAAAAAGATATAAAGTATGTCTTTGATAAATTTTAGGACATTGACTTCTTGACCATGGTGTGGATGCTAATTATTAACACCTGATTAGGAAGTACCAGTTCCCAAAAGTGGGAAATACATCTTCCTTTACAGCTAATTGCAGAAATCAGTGCTTTAATTTTGTTGAGGAAGTTTTGCCATGAAATGTTTTGTTGAGATGCAGATAAAGAATTTGTAGAAGCAAGGAGCACTTTTCATTAGAGAAGAAGAAATTCTTTGGGATGGAGGTGGTTTGGGAAAGTATCAGCAAGATGAGAAGGCCATAAAGGTGGCAATAAAACCCAAATGTGCTGAGATTTACAACAGACCCCAAAAGACAACATGAATGTGCTCAAGTTATCCCACCTCAGTTTTTGAGATGTCTCTGGAAAAAATGCAGATTATTTATATAAGTTCAAAGCCTCATAAGAAAATCATGAGCAGAAAATTCCTCAGTATATTATTTGCTATGTAAAAAAAGGCAGAAAAAGATGGTCACCAAATGAAGTTTTAGAGTCTTGGACCACAGGAAGTTTTCTAATCCTGGCATTTCACAATAATGAAGACCTCCATCTGTTGGTTTTTAAACACTGAAGTCAGAGCTCTGCATTTTGTTTTGTCTTCAGTGGCTTTCAGTATTTATACAAATATATATATAATACTTACTGCTAGATATTCTGGACAGTGTCCACATCTGGACACTGAGGATTTTTGACATGTGAACCACTTGCTTTGAATCTCCTAATTGTCAAGGTGAGTGAGATATATAGATTTGGGGGGTGGTTGGTTGAGGCTTTCAGAGAAGGATAATAAAGGTGTCAAGACCAAACCCATGTGTTTTGCTCATCTAAGAGAGCCACTTTTATTTTTTGAATACTCAGGAACCAGCTATTAATATTTTGCAGCAATAATGAGCTTATTATAAGTTTATGTACATGTAATCCCAGTTACATAAGACCTGAAGAGCAAAACCCCCAATCCACATCAATCCCCCATGCGTTGATGTGAGCCAGATGGAGAAGGGGTTGTAGCAAAACACCAATGTCTTTGACATTTGCAGCCAGTTTCCCTGGCTTTCTCTGGATCCAGGTGGCTCAGGATGAGCTCACAAATATCATCCTCCATCTATTCATTGCTTTCGCTCATTCATTCATATTTATTCCAAAAAGATTTATTAAGCACCTACTATTGTCCAGGCACTGTACTAGCACCAGAGATACAGTGATGTGCACATTAGGCAGGCCTCTGACTTCATGGTCCAGAGGTTTTTGGTGACCCTACATCCCTGTTAGGAAGGAAAAACTTGGGCAGAACTCCTACCCTGAGCAGATCTCTGCCTTCCTACCACACACGTTGTGGAGGGAAGTGCTTGTTAAGAACATGATGACTTCATTTTCTCTACAACTGTTTCTTAAGTGCAGCCACAGCTTCCTGAGGAGCAAGTTTCCTTCACTTCTCCCTTTGTTTTAATGACAACTTATCAACCCTGGACAGCTGTCCTTGCCTGTATGGGACTACAGGTCCAGTTTTACCTTTACTCCCTCACTGCCCACTCTTCTCGACTTTGCTCTGTACTTTTAGGTGACTTAAACTGTCTGCCAATGTCCATCATGACTCCTTGTCATGCAAGCCTAGCCTGCACAAGCTCCACACAAACAATTATACTAAACCATCCCCCACTGGTTGGACTAGAGAGTGGAAAAGCCATTTGTCTTGGGAAGTGCAGAGACCATTTGTCTTGGGAACTACAAGATTCTGGCAGTACGTGGGCGGTAAAAGCTCTGCATCCCCACTACTAAAGCCACTGACTACCATCCAACCCCTAAAGTGAGCAAAAGCAAAGCAGAATTCCTAAAAGGTGCCTTCAACCTCAGGTAGTGTTCTAGGCCTTTCAGTGTCTTACCAGCCTAATCTCAGTTGATTCTCACAACTGAATTCTTATAGAAACCATGTGTAGGAAATTTTCCATCTACCACATTTAATTAGGTATGTCCCCCCAAATTTCACCTTTGTGTCATCACTGCAGTTTACCTAAGCACAGTCAAATCTCTTGATCTCAGCGTATTATCCTCATTTTCTTCTTGAGGGAAACGTATGTAACATACCCTTTAACTTGGAAATATGTGACTGCCAAGAGGAAGAATATCCACAAGGAGAGAAAGAACAATCTGTGGCCCAGTTGCTTAGAGTATATGTGCACATTAAAAGAAACCATGTGCATCTTGAGAATCTCTTACTCCCCAGACACCCTTACCTGGTACCTTGTCGCTTGTTTTATCTTCACAACATTGCTGTGATGTAGATGGAGCTGACCTTACACTAGTTTTTACACAGAAAAGTGACAGCATGTGGGATGACCGCTGGGAGACCAGAAATATATGCAGTTAAATGACATTAACACACCTTATTCACACCCCACCCCCTCCAATTTGATGTGGATTAAATCAGTGGTATGCTCTTGGACTGGGTGGCTCAGACCATGGACCACTAGGAAAATTATCTTCTGTATTTTCCTCCTTCCAGTGTTTTTTCTTCTCCCTAAAACAAAGGTAGCTGACTTTATCACATGGAAAATCATGTATAGTCATCAATTACACAGGTATTTAAAAGACCCTTGAAAGTTGCTAAAAGGAAAATGAAGTTTGAAATGTGGTCCCTGTCCTTGAGAAGCTTCAAACTTAATTGGAGAAACAAGACACAAACATATTAAAATTTAAGAGGCGAAGCAGAGCCATATGTGATTGAGTGTTGGATGACTCAGTGCTTTGGGAGTTCGGAGGAGGCAAAGAATGCAGTGGGCTAAAGAAGAGGTGGGATTTGACCAGACTATGATGAATGAGTAAAATTGGGATGGGCTGGCAGAAGGGCATCCTGGAGGGGACAACTATGTGAGCAAATTCTAGAGACAGAGATGGACAAGGTATTTTGGAAGACAGTAAATTAATGAAATACATAAATAAGAATTTGCATAGAGGCAGGAAATGCATTTGAGCCAGGGGACTAGGAAGTCTTAAATGCGAAGCAAAGGAATATTGTTTTGATGGAAATGTAATAATCCTTTAAGGCTCTTTTTAGTAAGAGAATAAAACAGAGATGCTAATTGGACGAAACTGGCCATGCTGTCTCAAACCTCCGTGTTTTTCAAATATTAGAATGTATGCCTCAAATCTCATTTTGTCACTTCTCCCAGCAGATTACTATGTTTTCTTCAGTAACTCACTCAGTGCTGTGAAAATTTTGCAAACTTACCTAGGGAAAGTTTGTTTCTCACCCTTTTGAGTCCTGCAATGCTTCAGACACATCTCGTAGAAGGTAAAGCTTGTGTGACTTCCTGCTTGCATACCCCATTTATAGTAGTGGGCTTGGCACATGGAGGGGTCATATCACCAGACTGTATGTGCCAATGTGAGCAAATTAAATAGCAGCACCTATCGTTTATGAAGTGTTTTCTCTGTATCAGGCATGGTACTAGATACTTAACATATATTATTAATAACATATCACCTCTAATCCTCTCAACCATTCAAACAGGTAGGTATTAACTCTCTGGCGGAGCTGAAGAAATTAAGGTTTGCCCAAAGTCTCATAGCTATTAAAGAGCAGTGATGTTGAGCTCCAAAGCCCATTTCTTTTGCCTCTACTGGTTATTTTAACATCTTTTAAAGGCCTAAAGCACCCATCATAGTGCATGATACATGGGAAATGCTGAGCACATGTTTTCAAATGAAAGAGAGTAAAAGCACTAGAGAATACTGTCAATGGGTGGAAGACATAAGACCCAAAGACCTTTAGTTGGATCTGCAGAGCCTTGCTTCTGCCAGTGCGCATTTGGGGGAAACTGCAGATGCCAGCCAGCCCTGAGTCCATTCTCCTGCAATGGGCAACAATAGGAGTCCTCACAAGTCCTCACCTTTTCTCCAGCCTTCTTTTCTGTACAGTGAGGAAACTAAACTAAATGATTTCTAAGGTTTCTTCTAACGTTTATATTCTATTCTAACATCTAAGAAAGTAGCATATTTAAATTAATTTACATGAAAAGACAAATTATTAGGAGTCCTTACTTTTACCCTTGCTCAGAGTTTTTACAACTTAAAAGGGACATTTGTCCCTTGATGTTGCAGAATAGTAGGCAATGTGAGTGAACTTGTGTACAGAGATGCTTCCTAGCAGGTTGGTCCCATGCCATGGTTCTCTCAAAGCTGACTTAGGTGCCCCTACCACCAGCATCCTGTGCATACCTCTCTCAACACACATCACACCACATAATAATCATTCATTATCAGGTGTACTTTGTCCATTAGACTAGGGTATCTTCAAGGGCAAGGATCTGTCTTTTATTTCTGAATGCCATACTTCTGGCACCTTCTTAGAGCTAAAAAAGTAAAAATACAGTCATCCCTCAGTATTTGCAGGGGGATTCCAGGACCCTTTCAGATACTAAAATTATCAGGTGCTCAAGCTTCTTCTATAAAATAGCACAGTATTTGTATACAACCTACACATATCTTCCTACATACTTTAAATCATCTCTAGATAACTGGTAATACCTAACACAATGTAATTGCTATTATTGTTTGTTGTTGTTGTTGTTGTTGTATTGCTATTTTAATTGTTTTTTCCCCAAATATTTTCGATCTGTAGTTGGTTGAATTCACAGATGCAGAACCCACAAATATGGAGGACCAACTATACTGTGGTTGAATGAATATCTCAATTTATGGTCTCAAACAAATCTTTTCAAAAGAAAGTCTCAGGATCAGCTTCTTTCACACATTAATTACCTTATATTCTCCAGAAATGATGAAAGAGTCCTGTGCACAACTTTCTGCGTCTCCCTTCCAGTCCCTTGACTTAGTCTCGCTGCCTGTTTTTCTGGGATCCATGGGACCCCAGTTCCAGACCTCTGCCTGCCCAGCCTCCTGCTGGCCCAGGAAGAAGCACTGATGCTCTTTAGTTCTCAGCCCTGAGAAAACCACACTGAAGGTGGGCCTCACCTTCACAGAAGGACCGACTGCCTCTTGGCAGTTTGGAGAGAGTTGCGGGATTTTTCAGCCTAGATGTAACCTCTTCTCTGAGTACCCCTGCTCTGTAAAATATTTTAATCATATTCTTCATCTCGTTAGTGGATGAAAGTCATCCCAAATGGTCTGAAGGCCTCTTCATTCCCCATGTAAAATGTAGCTGGTGTTTCAGGGTGAGAGGGGCAGTATTATAAGGGGAAAAGAAAACACACAGGAGCACCTTGAAAGCCATAAGAGAAAGGATTTAGATTGCACAGGTGAAGTTCTAAAGGAGAAAACCATGCCATTTGCCTAAGATTCCATCTGAAAGGCAAAAAGAAATGTTATGCCATGCAACTGATTAGAAGTTAAAATATATATTTGCCTCCAATTTTTTCCTCAAAGCTAAATTTCTCTGGATGTGTACCTGATTAGTGACAGTGTCAGAGCTTAGAACTTAACAGTGATCATGGGGCAGTAGTTTTGCTTCCATTCTGTTTTGAATCTTTTATTGTAAAATATATGCCTTATGCCTCATTTGCTGTAAAATCTATTTTATTGTGGTACTTAATTAATGATCACTTTGACCATTTGTGGCAAGCGGCCAAAAATTTATCTTCTCTGCCTCTTTTTTTTTTAACTGCCAGTGTTTGAGAAAAGCAGATTAGGTAAAGACCTATCAATCTGCCTTATCCATTAATAAACTGGAGAAATCGGCTGTAATTTCTTCTTAAATTATATATTAAGGGCTTCTAAAAATACCCTTTGTTTTGAATGCTGAAATAAAATGCTGTGAAATTCAAAGTTAAAGTATATTACATATTTATGACTTAGAACATATGCATGTAAAATTTTTAAATTGTTTTATGATTTGATAATGATTAGAAAGAGAAACAAAAGGGAAAAAGAAAGATGGAAAAGGTAAGGAGGGAAAAGAGAAAGAAAACCTTGATGCCTAAATATTTTAATCAGTTGCACTTCTTTTTTTTTGAGATGGAGTCTGGCCCTGTCGTCCAGGCTGGAGTGCAGTGGCGCGTTCTCGGCTCACTGCAAGATCCGCCGCCCGGGTTCACGCCATTCTCCTGCCTCAGCCTCCCAACTAGCTGGGACTACAGGTGCCCGCCACCACGCCTGGCTGATTTTTTGTATTTTTAGTAGAGACGGGGTTTCACCGTGTTAGCCAGGATGGTCTCGATCTCCTGACCTCGTGATCCGACCGCCTAGGCCTCCCAAAGTGCTAGATTTTAAGGGACTCCAACATTGAATCCTATATAGATAGCAATAAATGTTTGTCCCAAGTGTAAAAGATTCACTAACACTTTACGTCGGTACCAATGTAGAAGTCTAACATTTCTTTCCTTCCCAAAGAGCTTACTTTTGGTAAACAAGGAAGTGTACGTGAAATCAACTGTTTCAAGCCTTTCAGAATCTCTTTATGACTTGGCTTCTACTGTGAGACCCACCAAAGGCCTGCTGCTTGTGATATCAGAGTGTAGCTTGCAGCCCATAAATATTGAAAGTGCAGTTTGTCACTTGTATTTGTTTTACACTTACAAATTAGGAGACACATTTACTATAAATATAGTTAGCATCCAGAGGTTTCAAAGCTAAGAATATGTGCGTTCAAAATGTCTGTTTGCCTTATTTATGCTGTGGCTACCACATTTGTATAAACAGAAAATTACTCCATTCATGCTTTATTGCTTCTTCTTTTGTACCACAGCCTTGACCCCAGTCATCATAAATTGAGAAATAGTGGGGAACTAATGGAGACAGATGGGAATATGGCTTGCCGTTTACTCAAATTGGTAAAGTAATTAACCTCAAGGTGCTGGTTTGCAAGAAAAATTGTTGGAATATCTCAGGACATCGGTAAAGAGACTCCTGCTTTAACCAGTTCTGACAACTGCATCATAAACTAGACTTATTCTGTTCAATTGACCTGTCAACATCTTGAGTCCAAATAAAGATTTGTATTACAATGCACTTGCTGAGAAGTGGGAGAACACCACTGCTGTTTCTTTTCAAATGGGTTGCTGTTCTCTGCCTGCTAGATAGTAACTGGATTGTCATATATTCATTCTTCAGCCATTATATTCCTTAGAAATCTTCCATTACTGATTGTGTGACAGCTTCGTGACAGCAGATGGTAGTCATTTGGCTCCAGAAAATGAAATGAAGAAACATGGGCCAGGCTGGCTGGGCTCATTTAGAACAGCAGTGGACAGGGGCCAGATCTAGATTTTATTTATCCAGGGACATCCTGTGATGAAGCCAGAGTTGCGCTGGTAGTGTGTTGTTCCCTCCAGATTGCGGGGTGGGACTGGATTTCTGCAGATTTTTATATAAATCAAAGGCGGTCTTGTAAATAGGGCCATTCGATCAAACCAAACCAAAGTATATTCCTTTTGAAAGCTGACAGATTTCACTTATTCCAAACAGGTCTCTCTCCTTTTCTCTTTCTCTTCCCCTTCACTAGTTCCTAGGAGTAGCATGTAGATTTCTCTTTTGCACTTTATCAGCTGTGAGCTACTTTCACAGCCGTGAGCTCAATCTTTGGAGCACTGTAGCTTCCCCATATTCAGTCGTAACTGGGAGAGGTTTGACTCCTGTAAGCCAGTATGGCTGCTCATTTCACGTATTTCAGTTTGCAGTTGAAGCAGATATTTTTAAAAAAGAGGAAGAAAGCTCTTTGTGATATCACCATAAAATTTATCTGGAAGGCATATGTCATGGGAACATAAAGAGTAATTTTCGTCTAAAGTAAATATATCCATTCATAAGAGAAGAAAACTAAAAATGTCTCATGGCATCTCAATTTGAAGAAAAGTCAGTTGATTTAGAAACAGGTTTAGCTCCAGATTGCCATGTTGATTTTCTTCATACATATACCTGTGGAAACAATATTCACAAAATGAGCAAACCCTAGCACATTAATTCCATTCCCAGAGGGCAGCAGTTACTCGAGAGTGGGAAGGCTGTGTCTAGGCACAGGGTGGAAGTATTGTAGCCATGAGTTTCAGCTGAGCTGGCCGGCACTGGCCTGTCCACCTAGAGGTGATCAGCTGAGAAGACTCAAAAGTATCTGGTTTTTTAAAGGGTAAATTCATTACTGCCTTGAATTGGAATTTTTCATGTGGACCTGTTTAGAAGAGGGACTAAATAATTACCTATATACTGTCTTCAAGTTTTATTTTTTTAAAAAGCCTATCTGAAAATTCATAGAACTCTTCATTTTGAAAAGTATACCCATGCTTCCTCCAAAGTTGCTAAATTTCTCTTAATTCTGTTGCAGTCTCTGGGGATTAAAACAATACCCAATTTAAGACAAGCTAGAGGTCAGGTTCTTTCTAATGCTGTGATTTCATGAGTGGATAGGAAGTCCTTTCTCTTGAAAAATAAGTTACTGCTATTGAACTCAGTAGGAGGCACATTCTCCCTTCTCACCCAGGAGTCTTCCTATGAGGCTAACACACTCATCTTGATTGGAATCTCCTTTACCCAGACCCATTTCCTAATCCTAGTTGCCTTTTCCAAAGAAGAACTAATGCTGACATTCCAGTTTTTCCATCCTGCCCAGAGCTTTCCATCTCAGTCTTCCAACAATGCTCTTCAAAAATTGGAGTCTTCAGCCTACTAAGTATGTCTTTGTTTCTTTGACTTTGTACCTGATATTTTTGGTTTCACATAATGGTGATGATGTGTGTATATGTGAATAGTTTTAATAAGTCATCATTCTATTTTCATCTGATCAAGTGTCTAAAACCTAGTGCCTTACAATCAGAGTAAACTCTCTCAATCCGAGCAGTAGGCTTTGAAGAAAATGCTGTGAATTCAAGGGGGTCATATCCAAATTGATCTCTATAGAATGAATTCCAAAATTACAAACTTGCATATGTTAGGCTACTACTTATTTTTAAAACTATGCATTTTTGGTGCTGGGACTTTATTGTATGCTAACTTCAAATTGAAAGCTACATACGTTTGGGTTTGGGTTTTGTGGCCGATGGCTGCATTATCTTAAATGGGTGATGACTTCACAGATTACATCAAAAATGCTTTCAGGGTGTCTTTTGCCTGTGCCTATTTCCATCATTAAATTAACCATGAGTTAATGTGTGACTGTTAAAGAAAACACAAGGCAGCATTTTGCAGTGATAGCTAATGGATTAGAATGGCATTAAATATTTTCCTCCTGGCAGACATAACATTTTATAGTTTGGCTTTAAAATAAAGGCTATTTTATATACACTGCAATTTCATTCAGTTATTTCTCAGACTTTGGCACATCCACTGGCTAGTTCAAACTTTATGTCACCAACAGAAGAGAGTGCATTTAACTTATTGCAGTCTCTTATTAGGCACATGTTTTTTTTATCAGGCACTAGAAGCTATGGGAAGAATCAACCCACTCTCAAGTGGGCACATTTCCATATTTTTGCATGTCCGTGTATCTGTCTGTTATGTTTATGTGTCCGTATTTATTTGCTCCCCAACCTGTAAGAAGTTGAACCGTTTAAATCCATTTGTTACCTGAATTGTTTTCTCCTGTTTTGAAACATTTTAATTTATAATCAGACAAGAAGAACAGATGTAAGAGTTGTAATTTAATCATTTTATTGCTATCTTTGTATATTTTGAAGAATTAGGTATTGTACTCATGGGAAGTCGTATTTTATGCCTAGTTGGAAAAATGAATAATGTAATAATATGCAAAATGTAAAGTTTTAGAACTTCACTACTGAGTAAGGCATATAAACTAATGATCTGGTTAAGGTCCCCTGTGCACCATAATAAATATGGACTAAATTTGTCATTATAGCTTTAGACAGAGGTTTCAGGCAACAGATTTAATTAAATCCTTTTTTAATATTCATACTTCTAAACTGCATAATTCCCTTCTACTGTAAAACTGAGTGCTATATTAAAACAAACAAAAACGGCAGATTACTAAATGGATATTAGCGTGAAGTCAATAAGCATTTAATTCTGGAGAGAACTCTGTGAGGAGAGAGGAAGCTTCATGGAGCTCATTCAGGAGATCTTGACTTAGATTTGGGAAGCTCGTTCAGGAGGGCTTACTTCTGTTTTCATGCTGACTCTTGTAGGGGAGGTTAATTAGTTAATTTTGGAACTCATAAAGGACAGGAGCAACAAAAGAAGGCCCTTTGTTAGCCTTAAAACAAGTGATGGTTATTAAAAATCTAATTCAGGAGTCCATGAGAAATGTGTTGATGACACTGAAGAAGTGTAGAATATCTGGATACTGGTAACTTTTAGAAAGGTTAAATAATAAGATCCGTTACTTTGTAAGGTCTTGTGCCCCTGTGACATCCAGCCCAGGCACTAGAGTTCCTCCAAAAACTGTAATAACTCCTTCTGGATTTTGCACAGAACAAATCTAGATGTTTTGTTCCCTTTTGTGTGATTAAAAGCTCGATTCTGAATATTTCCATGTGAACATTTCTTCGATGAAGAGTCATATTATCCACAGAATAACTAAATATTAAGTCTTTGAAAAACTGTTTGACTAGTGCCATTAGCTGACTTTATGACCATCCTTGTTAAATAACCAAATCAAACTCCACTCCCCCAAGGTAATTACTTGGGTCAAATTGCCAATGGAGTCTGTAAGTCTGCTTAGAATCTGATTAAATATTCTCTTTATGCATTTTCTCCACCTGTGCTGGATTTTTGTAGATTCATATTTTTCTGCCCCTTAACCAGTTTTCTCCTGATAAATTAAGAGCTCTCTGTGCTTGGCATAGATTTGGGATCAACAAATGTAAACTGAATGAATAGAATTGTATATAGAATAAATAGTATTATGAATTGTATAATAAAGAACCATGTAGAGCAGGTGACCTGACCCCCTAATTGTACAGATTAAAAAAACTGGACTGAAAATAGTTTAATTGGCTTGCCCATAGTTATAAAATAATTACTGGCTAACGATGACACAGGAAGTGGTGACTACCTTATCAAACACAAGATATATAAAGAAAGATAATTCATACTCTTTGTCCTCAAAGTAACTCACAGGTCCATTAATAAGACAATATAAGCACAGAAACAATAATTCCAAACAGCATAAGTCTAAACACCAAAGATACACTTTAGAGTTAAACCATCTAAACTCTGAAACAGCATAGGAAAAGAGCAATGAAGGCTGACCTGTCTGGGAAAAGCTTCATGGGCAGTGGTTTGCTTTAAGTGGACCTTGAAGGATAGGAGAGGTGAGGCCATGAGCACTGCATTCTGGGGTAAGCAGACATTTTTTTTTCAAAAGGTTCTAACAGTGGAGCAGTGGGAGAACAGAAACATACGTGCTTCTGCCCCAGCCAGCACTTCTCCTGACCCCATTGGCTAGCACCCAGAGAGAAAAGTGAATGTCTCCTTTCCTTACTATGCAGATCTGGTTCCAAGAAACAGACAGACTATCCATTCAGAATTTATGTCGTGAAACAAGTTCACAGTTGATAATATGGTCCTGAAGTCAGGAGAAATGGATTCATTTTCATTTTCTGGGACTACCTTTGAAGTTGTTGAGGGAGGATAATTATTTTCCCGCTTCAAAGTATTTTCTCACATCATTTTCTTGGAAATGACAATTGGGCAGTGCCCCAGGTTGGCAAATCCAACCTTAGTTTGATGAATGCAATTCTGAACACAGCCCTTGATTCACTGTTCGTTTTCATGGCTCAAAATTTAGCTTTGCAAGGTGAATTGTCATGTATTTTTGGCAAACCATTTCTTCCCTCAACTTTAAAACCAAAAGAGGACATAGGTAGTCCTAGAATTATTTAAACTGGAAAACCAGCTTGGAGATAGGGATCTCATTTAATTTGATCTCACAAATTTGAGTGAGAAAATTAAGACATCCAGAGCTCTTAATGACAGTCATCACATTGGTTAAGTGACTTAAGGCAGATACAGGTATAATCTTGGGAACTAAACCAAAGGCATCTTCTCTGGGACTAGCTGAATGTGCGTGCTCAAATACTACAACTATTTCTGGAAAGTAACTTAGACTTAATACTTTATTTAAAAAATATTCATATTTTCATCATTATCAATGTCTTTTAGCGGTAAATATCCTCTTAAATGAAAGTTTGATCCGATCTGATTTGGAGTAAGCATGAGGACTTCTTCCTCTAACCAAGAGTAATAGGGTTTGGATTTGCCTTCCCACCTGAAAAATTAGAAAAGAGACAGAAGATATTATTTAAAAACTGATTTCCAAGCTACTAGAGATCTGGTAATGAAGGACAGTGATCCCAGAAAGACAGGAAACAAAAGTGAGTCCTACAACTTTTCCAGCTCACAGGGAGCAGGTTCCTGACAGAGCCTGGAGGACCCCCTGAGTTGAGAAAACAGAACCGAGAGTGTGGGGAGACCTCGATTAGCTAGAATTCAAGGGGCAGAGATGAGAGCTCCACAGAGTGAAAATTCTAGAAATTTGCAGAGGGTTGCCCCTAAGTATTCAGCCGAGCACTAATCAGTGCATGAGTGTGAAAAAAGCAGGCAAGGCTGGGGGAAGAGCCATCTGAAAGGATGAAAGGTATAGTGCCCAGCACTCAAATAGACCTGAAAACAGTGCCTGTTTCCATTAGCCAGACTGGAAACCATTAAGACTCGCAGGGCATTGGGTAGGGTATACAAAAGGGTCTTGTCGAGCAAGTGGCTTCTGTTGCCTGTTATCAGGAGTAGAAGTCTGAGTGCTTCTGTGCACTGCATCTTGCTATCAGAGTTGCCAAGGAAAACACAGCACATTCAAGCACTAGGAACGATACTTTACTCAGTCCCTCATGGTGGGTGGGTCTCTCCCAGCAGGCATCCTGCACGCACTCACCTCTTGCGCTGCAGCAGAAGGGCCCACACCCACTGTTGAAGCTGACCTTGCTCTGCCTCTTCTATATGTGAGTAAAGTTTTTTTTTCATCCAGTGCTTAATGGCATTATGGGTTTGTTGGTGGTGGTGGTGGTTTGTTTTTGTTTTGTTTCATTTGGTGACTCAGATAAATACTAAGTTACAGTGGACAAAAATATTCAGACTTATCCTGACAGTAGATAATAGATGCCACTTATTCAGCAGGCCTTGATTCAGTAGTGGGGAATAATTAGCCCTGGTCTGAGCGCTGTTTCAGTCCCACCTTACAAATCTGTAGGGTGGGACCCAAAAGGATCAAAATACCTCCAGGTAACTTGACTGCATCCCACAACAAATCTCAGTGATATTTCAGGAACAGAATACCCATGATCCAACAATGTAAAATTCACAATGTCACTTCCAATCATACGTACCAGATGTGGAAAGGAGCAGGAATATATAGGCTACAATGAAGAGATATGTTAATTACTCAAAACTTACTAAGAAGTGACATATTAGAATTAGGAGGTAGGGAAGTCAAACTTGTTATTATTACTACATTCCACATGTTCAAAAAGTTCAATGGAGACATGAAACATGTGGAAGAGACTCAAATCCTAACTTCTACAGATAAAAACTGCAATGTGCATGGGATTAACAGTGAATTAGACATTGCAGAAGAAGATATTAGTGACCTAAAAACATACCAGTAGAAACTATGCAAAATGAAATACAGAGGGAAAAGTGAACTTAAAAAATGAATAGCTCATCAGTGAGCTGGGGGACAACTTCAAGTAGCCTAATATCCGTGTAAGTCCCTAAAGGAGATGGGAGAATGCAAAAAATATTTGAGGAAATAAGGACTGAACATTTTTCCAAATTGGATTAGAACTACAAACCTATAAATTCAAGAAGCTCAGTGAGCCCCAAGCACAAAAACAGGAAGAAAACCACACATATTATAATTAAGTTGCTCACAATCAGTAATAAAGAGAAAGAGCAGCAAGAGGGAAAAAGGACACCTTAGATGCAGAACAATGAGAAGGATGATAGCAGATTTCTCATAGGAAGTTGGGAAATATATTGAAAACACTGAAAGAAAAACATTCTTAACCTAGAATTCTATGCCAAATGACATGATACTGGATGTAAATATTCACAAAAGAATGAAGACTGTCAGAAACAGCAACGGGAGTGAATATATTGAAATTTTTCTTACTGCTTAAATCTCTTTAAAAGATAATAGTCTGAACAAAATTAATGGGAACACAGTGTGGGATTTGCAGCTTATATAAAAGTAAAATGCATGATGAAACTAGCACCAAGTTCAGGAGGGGAAAAAAGAAGTATGCTCTTGTAGGGCTCTTTTATGAGAACCGGTATGCTATCACTTGAAGGCAGACTGTGATAAGTTAAAGATTTATAATATGAGCCCTAAAACAACTAAAAAAAAAACAAAGAGTTATAGCTAATAAAGCAACAAGGGAGATAAAATAGTGACATTGAGGAATGCTCAGTTAATCTGAAAGAAGGCAGAAAAAGAGAAGTAACCAATAGAAAACACATGGCAAGATGATAGATTTAAACCTGATCGTATAAATAATTATATTAATTGTAAGTAACCTAAATTGAAACTCAACTTAAAAAGCAGAGATTGTCAGATTATATAAGCAAGCAAGACCCAATATGTGGCCTACAAGACATATTTCAAGTATTAATATGAAGACAAAATAGGTTTAAAGTAAATATATGAAAAAAACTGTACTGTGTTAGCACTAATAGAAAGAGTAGCTATGTTAATAGGAAACAAAGTAGATTTCAGATCAAAGAATATAACTATGGATAAAGAAGTTCATTTCATAATAAAAAGGAACTATTTCATAAAAGGACACCCGAGTATAAAGCAGTACTGCTAAAATGCAAGGAGGAATAAAAAAAATTCACAATTATAGTTGGATATTCTGATACCCCTTTCTCATAGACAGAAAGTCAGTAAAGATATAGAATCTTTAAATAGCACTATCTACCAGCTTGACATTTATTAAAAACAAAAACAAAAAATCTCCACCTAACAGCAGAGTACACATTCTTCTCAAGTGCACATAAAACATTTACCAAAATACACCTTATTCTGAGCCATAAAGTACATCTTAATGAATTTTAAAAGGTTTAAGTCATACAAAATATGTTCTCTGACTACAGAGGAGTTAAACTAGAAATCATAACAGAAAATCATTCTAGAAAAGCTTCAAATATGTGGAAGCTAAATAACACAATCCAAAATTACTCATGGCTCAAACATATAAAAAGGGAAATTAAAATGTATTATGAATGAAATAAAAATGAATGTAAAACGTATCAGAATTTGCAGCATATCACTAAAGAAGTAGTTGGGGGAAATTTACAGCACTAAATGCCTATGTTTGAAAATAAGAAATTAGCATCTAAAGAAGCTAGAAAAAGAACAAGAAATTAAATCTAAAATGAGTAGAGGAATAGAAATAATTAAGATTAAAGTAGAAATCAATGAAATAGAAACCAATAGAGAAAAGCAATGAAATAAAAAAGAAACTTGTTCTTTGAGAAGTCCAATAAAAACTTTCAGCTAAGTAGGAATAAAATAGAACTTCCTCAAGTTGATAAAGGACATCTACAAAAAACCCTATAACTGACATCATACTCAGTGGTGAAAAACGGAATGCCCTTCCGCCATCAGTATTTTAAAAAAAGAAAGGGATGTTTGCTCTTGCCGCTTTAATGTGACATTGCCTAGAACTTCTAGCCAGTGCAATAAAGCAAGGAGAAGAGATAAAAGGCATTCAAATTAAAAAAAAAAAAAAAAACACAAACCTTTTATTTACTTAAAATATGATCATCTACCTAGAAAATCTGATTGAATCCATAAAAGACTACTAGATCTGGTTGAATCCACAAAAGACTACTAGAACTAATAAATGAATTTAGCAAAATTGCAGGATACAAGATCAATATACAAAAATCAAGTATATTTTTACATATGTAGCAATCACAAGTTGAAAAGAATAAGTCAGTAGCATTGACAACAGCATTCTTAAGTACTTCAACACTTAAGGACAAATCTGACAAAATATGTGAAAGACATGTACATTAAAAACTATAGAACATTGTTGAAGGCCTAAATAAATGGAGAGATAGATACCATTTTTGTAGGTCAGAAGACTCAGTAATATAAAGATGCTATGTCTCCCTAACATTGATCTATAGATTCAATACAATTCCAATCAAAATTCTAGTAGACTTTTTTATACAAAATGACAAACTGATTCTAAAATTCACAGGGGTATGCAAGTACCTAGCATAGCCAAAACAATTTAGAAAAGGAAAAACAAAGTTTGAGGACTGACACTATCTAATTTCAATAATTATTAAAAATCCACAGTAATCAAGACAGCGTGATATTGGCATAATATTTGACAAGTATATCAAAGGAGCAGACCCACACATTTATAGGCAGCTGACTTTCTTTTATTATTATTATTATTATTATTTAAGTTTTAGGGTACATGTGCCAATGTGCAGGTTTGTTACATACGTATACATGTGCCATGCTGGTGTGCTGCACCCATTAACTCGTCATTTAGCATTAGGTATATCTCCTAAAGCTATCCCTCCCCCCCTCCCCCCACCCCACAACATTCCCCAGAGTGTGATGTTCCCCTTCCTGTGTCCATGTGTTCTCATTGTTCAATTCCCACCTGTGAGTGAGAATATGCAGTGTTTGGTTTTTTGTTCTTGCGATAGTTTACTGAGAATGATGATTTCCAATTTCATCCATGTCCCTACAAAGGACATGAACTCATCATTTTTTATGGCTGCATAGTATTCCATGGTGTATATGAGGCAGCTGACTTTCAACAAAGATGCAAAGATAGTTCAGTGGAGAATAAAAATAGTCTTTTCAACAAGTTGTGCTGGAACAATGGGATATTCATTCATATGCAGAAAAAAACCCTTTGATCCATACCATTCACCATATAAAAAAATTAACTCAAAGAGGATCATAGACCTAACTGTAAAACCTAAAACTATAAAGCTTCTAGAAGAAAACGTGAGAAAACTTTTGTGACCTTCGGTTAGATAAAGATGTCCTAATTATGACGCTAAAAGCATTATACTTAAAAGAAAGAAGTGATGAATTGGACCACATTGAAGTTTAAAACTTCTACTGTTCAACAGTCTGTAAGTGAAAAGACAAGCCACAGACAGGAAGGAAACATTTGTAAATCATATATCTGACAAAAGACTTTATCCTCAATACACAAAGAACTCTCAAAACTCAGTAATAAAAAAAAATTTAATGGGCAAAATATTTGAATAACCATTTCACCAACAAAGATATACAGTAAGCAATAAAGCACATAAATGATATTCAACATCATTAGTCATTAGGGAAATGCAGATTAAAACTACAGTGATATTCCACTGTGTACCTATTAGAATGGCTCAGTGTTGCCCAGGATGTGGTAGAACTAGAATGCTCATACATTGTTGAGAAAAATAGTTTAGCAATTTTCTTAAAAGTTAAGCATATGCATACTATATGACCTAGCTGTTCCACTCCTAGGTATTTAAGAGAAATGAAAGCATATGTCTACACAAAAATTTGCCAATGAATGTTCACAGTAGCTTTGTTTGTAATAGTCAAAAACTGGAAACATTCCAGACGTCCATTACTAGGTGAATGTGGTATGTACACAAAATAGGATACTACTACTCAGCAATAGAAAGGAATAAACTTGTGATACACATTACAACATAAATGAATCTCAAAACAATTATTCTTGGTGAATTAAGCCAAACCAAAAAAAAAAAAAGAGTGATTCCATATATATAAAATTCTAGGAAATGCAAGTTAATATGTAGTGACAAAAAATAGATTCAGTAGTTGTCTGGGGATGGCAGTGGGTGATGGAGAGAGAGATGCGGTCTTAGAAAAAGGCATGAGGAAATGTTGAGGGAGACTTTTGTTCATTGTTTGTGATTGTATAGAGGCTTCACGGGTGCATTAATATGTCAAAACCTGTCAAGGTAGATACTTTAAATATATGCAGCTTATTCTTTGTCAGTTGTACCTCTAATAGGATTGTTAGGAACATGTATTAGTCCGTTCTCATGCTGCTAATAAAGACATACCTGAGACTGGTAATTTATAAAGGAAAGAGGTTCAAGTGACTCACAGTTCAGCATGGCTGGGGAGGCCCCAGGAAACTCAGAATCATGGCGGAAGGGGAAGCAAACACGTCCTTCACGTGGCAGCTGCAAGAAGAGTGAAAGCCCACCAAAGAAGGAAGCCCCTTATAAAACCATCAGACTGCTTGAGAACTCACTATCATGGGAATAGCGTGGGGGAAGCTGCCCCCATGATTCAGTTACCTCCCACTGGGTCCCTCCCACCACACGTGAGGATGATGAGGAACTACAATTCAAGATGAGATTTGGGTGGGGACACAGCCAAACCATATCAGAGCATTTAATGGTTAACTCTGTTGACTTAGAAAAATCTGAGGACATTTAGAAAAATTGAACATTTTAGATAACATTCCCAATGACATAGAATAAGCTATTTTGAACATTCTTTAGAAAACCTATTAGGTTCACTTTACATAACGGACATTTGACTGTAGCCTACTATCTAGTCTTATGTTGCTTTCCAGTCCCTTTCATTTAGGCAGATCTTTGCATTATTTTATGAAAGCAATATGTGTGTGCATACATTGATTTTAGTATTAGGCAATATCTACTTTTAAAGTATTGAAAAAGTGAGTTAGGATCACAGTTTTATAGAGTATGCAGATGTGAGGATGTTTCTGAAATGCAGACTAGATATGCTCAAACGTGGTTATTTATCTCTCTTGCTTTCAGTTCTTATTATAAATAATACAGTGAATAAAAGATGGATAGCTTCTAACTCTAGAATGAAGAGTTCAGGCTTAAGAGTGAGAGCTATCACTGGAAAATGTCCTTCTCAATTCAGAACTACAGCACAATTCATGTTGCAGACCAATGTAGTGGGACCCAGTTTCCACCTATGTTCACGGTAAGCTTTTTTTTTAAGTTTAGGGCTACACGTGCAGGTTTATTAAATAGGTAAATTCATGTCATGAGGGTTTGTTGGACAGATTATTTCATCACCCAGTTATTATGCCTAGTATCCGTTAGCTTTAGTGAGACCAGTCATTGAGAATTCAGCTTAGAAGCCTATTGAAAGGATGATGATTCTGCTACAAATGTTCCTTCCCCTTGGTGATTTCCAGTGCATGCTATATTCAAGTCATCCAGTCACAAATAACCTCAAATGGAATCACCCAGACATACGGTGCATATGAAACTAAAGAAAAAGTTCTCAAGGTCCACACCCACAGCATCCTACAGGGTCTACCCTGGATTAATCTAGTCTCTTCTGAGACTACAGTGGGAATATTTTTTAAATGTTGTTCATCTTTGCTGTATCCACTTGCTGCAAGATTACATCTGTTCAGTTTCATTTCGGCACTGAACTTTCCCTGCCTGCAAACTAATCCTCCTCATTCTCTCGTTAAATTATTGTGATTATTTAAAGAAAAAAAAAATGTGCTTTTTCTGTCCGAATTTTCCTCTTTATAAAAAATGCTAATGGTATTGACCACATTTACTAGACAAACAGTTGCTAACAGTTTTCAGGCATGAATGTTTTTGCGGAGGGGTGTTGCATGAATGGCACCAAATACAAAAATGTTGTTGGTGTTCTGAATTCATCGTATGAGAGACCATTGGATAGACTTGAAGGATGCTTGCTGCTGCTTTTCATGAGCTGCTGTCTCCTCTATGGACTTTGGAAAAGATTTTGTGGCTCATGGGTTATTCCCTTTTTCCTTTTCAACCCAAATGTATTTGTACATTATCATAGGTTCCTGTCTTAATTCATAAAGGTAACCAGATTTTTGTTCCCCACTCAAAAAAAAAAGGACGTGAACTGATGAAAGCAAACTAAGGGGGCTATATTCTCTTCTCGGTGGGCTTGGCAACATTAACATTAATGGGAGTTATAAGTGCATCAAGAAGCAAGTTCATCCCTAAGATGTAAGAGCTCCAGCCATTTGAAATTAGCCTTTGTGGGTCTCCTGTGTTCCGCAGCACCAGGGGCTAATTCTTATTCTTTTTCATCTTTCCCCTTTCTTCACTGGGCACTGATGCCTCATTACACACTGTTCCTCCCATTCTGCAGCGCCGAGTCTCTGACTCTGTCTGACTCCAATCAGGAGTTCGCAAGCATCATCCCCCAGATGTCCTAATGCCAGCTGTGGGGGACATTGTTCGAAGCTGGGGTTTTAAATTGTTCATTTGTTTATTTAAGTCTTTATCTTTTTAACCAAATGTAGTGTTACCTAAAGAGAAAGTTAACAGAGATCTCAGTTCAATAGGAGGGTTGTTGTCTAATCTTTTAAGTCATTTTCTGACTATCACTAACTTAGTGACAGCCACTTGCTTTACATTTCCAATTTTAGTGACAGGTCATAGTAGTTCCTCCCAAACCAGTGTTGGAAATAAGTCTGGGAACCCAAAAGAGGAAGAAATGAGTTTAAAGAATATAAATTCATTAATAAAAAGGAAAAATATATCCTTAATTACTTTTGTCTGCCAGTCCCAAGGTTTGTCTTCCCAGGATAGCATATGTCTGGGCAGAAAGTCAACTATGCCTCTCTTTTGAGTATAGAATCAGGAGATAATTTCATTTGCCTGGCCTGGAAGATGATTTTCATGATACGCCTCTCCATCATCTCCTCATTGTGCAAAGTTTCACTGGCAAACTACCCTGCACAAGCTTACAAAATAAAGTTTTTCCCTCTCCTTTTTTTTCACAATTTTGTGAAAAGTGTTGTTCTTTTTCACCAAGACCTACAGTTAGAAATGCTCTTGTATGACAAAAAAACAAAATCTCTTTATGATCTTGTTTTTCAGTAATTTACAATTCTCTCACCAGTATTTTTAAAAATTTTAAAAAATGAAACTCTTGGTTGTTCATGTTGATTACATGTGATCCATGAAATAAGGATCAAAATAGCAATGTAGCTTCAAAGAAATTTTATTTCCTATTTCAGTAGCTTTCCAAATCTTGGTTTGTTTCTATCCTAATCCCAGTATCAAACTTAACTTCATTTGATTACTGGGGTTAGTGACTCTGAAGCTGAATAACATTTTCTCCAAATATTGGGTCATAAATTAGCAAGGAGCTAGGAGAGGTTGAAAACAATACTGAATTTTAATGAACAGTTTGGATCAGGGTTGTTCTAAAAACTTTGCCCGAGAATTTAAGGCAACAGAACACAGGAGCAGCTTATAATTGTTTTCCAGTTGACTATCGCTGTTTTTCTCTTCATCCACTGTGCTCTTGAAACAGAGTGAGATGTATGCAAGAAACGTTTTACATGGAAAAAGCATGCATGTCTCCTAACGTTCAGTTCATAACTGCTGCATTGTGCCATCTTCATACACTGGACTCTTTCCTTCCTACATCGTTAATGTGTTTGAGTAAGTGGTATCCTAAGAGTCAAAAGAAGCCGATAGACCTCCCTAAGAATACAGAGCTATGGCTGCCACACAGCACCAGGATTATTGTAAAAAATTAAATCTTTATGAAATAGCACATGTTAATAGGTTTTGTAAACTACCAATGGCAGCATAGAGCAAGTACTATTAAAAGTAGGGTGGTTGTTATCTGGTATTAGGAACACTATGAGCCAAACAGACCATTCTGTGGTTGTGAGTTTTGCTTTTGTTTGTTGTCATTAAACACAAACATCTGAATCTTGGATGACAACATCTGAATCTTGGATGTTTCATGAGAAGAGAAAACGTAGAGGAAGAGGTGAGATGAGATGCCTACTTTTGAGGGGCAGTTAGGGGCAGTCTTAGACCGGGGGAGCTAAATATAAAATGAAAGGGGAGTCTTACCTCCAGAGCTTATAATGCCCTCGGGAATGCTAACTCTAACACTACTGCCTCAAGGAGATACCAGTTATTCACTCACAGCATGACTCATTTTCCTTGAATACATATTTTCCAGTTATTTGCGTGAACTAGAAGTAGTTGTGAAAATAAATTTCTCTGTTCAAAACAAAGAAGGCTAATTTTTTGCCTGTAAAAATTGCTTCATCATCAATGTTTTTTAGTGTTCAAGTAAAATTGGCCACATTGTATTGCTGTTTTAAAATGATAAATGAGATGATTATCTTACTTTTTTGTGAAAATGTATTTAACTCATCATTTTCCTTAATATAATCTATTTTAAAAAGCTTCAAGGGAGAGGAAATAGATTAAAAATAAATGAAATCATACTTTTAAAAAATTAAATTTGAACTAGTGAATACTTGAATAAATTCTATCACTCCAGCAGAGACGGGAAACTGGGCAGCCTGGCCCTGCAGATGCTGAGTGGCCAGAGGCCTCTGGGCAGGGCTACTGGGATCTGCCCCAGGTGACAGGTGGGGCCTTGGGGTACCTGCAGCCATAGCCACTGTCCACTAGTGTGCTGCTCCTCTCTTCTGAGGGGTCTGCTAGCTCTGGAAATCTAGGAGGCTGGCAGGGAGAAACAGTAGAAATTGGTCAGAAGGCCCCTGCCGGGGAGAATGAAAAGAGGGAAAAAACAGCTCTTGTTGAATCTGGAGAACAGTGATGCCCCACTGTTCAGCTGATCTCTCTCTTTCCATTCACATTTGCGCTCAAAGTGTTTCAACACATCCAGCTGAGCCCCTTCTTTATCATCGCCCACATTCTGCTTCCCCACGCCCTGAAACCTGTTGTCTTTTCTACCCTCCACAGGCACAGACACTGTGTTCACCTCTCCAGTCACATCGACGTCCAAGCAGATGTTCTGTGGCAAAGTTACAAAGCATTTATGTCACTTTTTAAAATTAATCAAATTCTCCCTTGGAAGGAGTTTAGTTCCTCTGGCTTTAAAAGATATTATTGCTGAAAAATAAACTCTGTATACTTGCTTTTAAAGATCTTTGTATGCCTTTTGTAGGTTCAGAGTGAGGGGTGCTGGAGGACTTTTAAAGTGTGGTATTTTAAAGATGTTCTTAATTGTAAAGAGCAAACTTTACATTTGTGAAAAAGCATCTCAAAGTTAGAACATATATCTCCTAAGACTAGCTGACCTCCCTCCCGTAAACTGGTGATTTGGAGACTTCAAAATTCTGTTTATCCCATAGAAACATGTGTATCCTAGGATGGGAAATCTGAGGCTTCTTTCTCTCATAATTTTTAATAAAGTGGAATCACTAGAGAAAGTACCGGGGTTTCTTAACTTTTTAAATTGTTTTTCGTTTTCACTTTAATTGCATAAAAGGGGTAGAAAAATTCCATCAACCAAAAAAAGAAAAAGAAAAAAGCAAGTTTCTTATAGCTTGCTGTTTTTATGTGTTTCATGTTTTATAATTCCTGATAGAGATCAGGTAGTAATGTAAGGTAACTGAAAATTTAATTCAACATGTATTTCAATGAGTGATTACTATGTTCAAATCAGTGGGGATTCAAATATGGATAATATAAAAGACAGAGAGATTGAGTAGCCCAAATTCACACAGCTCATCAAATGGGCCAACTGGAGGGCACCTGCTCCTGGCCCTACAAACCCTGCCTTTCAGAAGAGGAGTTACCCTGAGGCCATTTAGAATCTATGGAACTGGAACTGACTCCAGAGGAAACAGATCCTTTGAGGACTTGTGACCAAGAATGTGCTGAGATCAGAAGGTGAGCCTTCCCCTTCCTATATTGCTGAGAAGGTTGAGGTCCTAAGAAAGCAGTCTGTTCAGCTTCCCTTCCCCTCTCTGAATTGACCCTTCCAGCCTAATATTCCAGGATTTCCATCATGTGTTCTCTGTGCCCTTCTCACACTGGACAATTTGCAACCTCCTAACCACAGCTTGAGGCTTCCCCTCTCTTCTCTTCATTGGTGCTACATTCTGCTCCTATTTCAGCATGGTCTCCTGGTGCTCCAGCCCCATCCTTCGGTGTTCAGGGGAATGAATGTCCCTGCCTCAGTGGCTTCCACTGCACCAGCCTTCTCCCTTTTAGCCATCAGGCCACACTGCTCATCCTTCGCACCCTCCTCCCTGAAGCGTTTCCTAACCCCCTGAGGCAGAACTCTCAATTTACCTCTTTGTCAAAATCTATCCAATCTACAACTTCCAATTAAATGTATCTACTTTAAGATCCTTCTTTGACCTCAAGGCTCACAAGTCTCTCTTATGAAGCTCAGTACTGCTTTGTTTATATTTTCATGTTGGCATTTTCCTTCTCCCCCCTCTTATAGGGTAATTACCTGTGTGCTTCTCTTACTATCTCAACCTGTCAGATTCCAAATTCCTTTAGGCCGGAAACTCACCATGTCCCCCATAATAGTCATCACCTAGTAGGCTTTGTCTCCTGACTTGGGAAGTTTTCATGAGATCCATCACGAAACTGAATTATGCAAGCTCTTTCTTAAAAAGCTGGTAAAACCAAAGTTTATAAATAAGGACTTATCACTGAATACAGATCTGGGTAAAAAATATTTTACAGTCACTTCATGCATGTTACTGGGAGTTTCTTCAACCAGTGGAAGTTATTCTTGATTTGATTGAAGGGTAGTTGTTAAGCATCTCTGAGTTAGGGTGCTTATTAAGTTATCTTTCTTGATATCTCATAGAGGCCCCAAAATAGTTGTAGGAGTAATTAATTGCCAAACAGGCATGACAAAGCTACCCAGAGCTTTCTGCAAATAATTTTGAACATATTAATAATTTGAGAACTATATTTGTGTAGAATATTGGTGGAGAGAGATGAGCATCCTCAGTACTGCCCTAAATTTCTTCTTGCTACCTTAGTGGTGACATGGAGAGAAGAAAGAGCACAGCCCTGGAGAGGTGAGGGTGGCAGGATGAGGGGTCCAGTCCCTGTGGGCCTTGCAGCCACACTGGTGTTTTAAACAGGAAATCAGCCTCGTTCAAAAACCATATTCTTAGCTAGCATAAGCAGCTTAAACAGTCCTGGGGGTCATATACCACAGCAGTTTAGAGCAGTGTTATCAATTTGTTGACTATTTAAAGGTCAGAACAAACTAGAAATAAAGGACTTAAGCCATTATCTAGTTCTTCAGCCCCCAAACCCCAAATTTGAAGGAACAGAGGCTTTTCAAACCTAGATTATTTAAAGTAATTGAACCTTTTCCAAATTTAATTATTCAAAATATATTCTGAATACCTGTTTACTTAAAAGTTATACCCAAATTCCTGAAGAATTGACTGCTTAGCACTATACCAAAATTTATAGTGCAAAGCAGAATGTAAGAAGCAATGTAAGAATTGTAGGAAAAAAGGAGCCATGAAAGTTGAGAGAGATGGATGTGCAAAGATGAATTCATGGAAGAGGCTGCACTGTGACTGGGCCTTGAAAAACAGGTAGGAGTTCTGTAAGTAGAGCTGAAGCAAAGGCCATTCTAGGTGACAGGAGCATGAGGTGGCATCGGTACAAAGATGGCAAAGGGCAGCACTTAGGGCAATAAGTAATCCACCATGGCCCGCGGATTAGGTTTGAGTGGGGCAGTAGGCAGTGTATATCTGGAACTGACTTGAGAGAACTGTCAGTATAAGCTAAAGAGTTGAAACTTTACCTGGTAGGCAACAGGAAGTCACTGCATGTTTTTAAGGCAGGGAAAGGCATAAACTAAGTACCAAGTTCAATTTGGCTGCAGTGCAGAGGATGGATTATAGAAGTGAGACAAGAGGCAGAAAGATCAAGGAGCTGTGACAGCAGCGACTGCAGAGGTGGAAGGGCAGAACCGGAGCAAGGGCAGTGGGCTTGGAAAGGCATTAAGAAGGAGTAAGCGAGGACTTGGGTACTGATTCAATATTGAGAGAAAAGAGAAAGAGAAAAAGAGAACTAGAAGGTCACTTCAGTGTGTCAATCCTGGTGACTGTGACTCAGAAAATAGGAGTACCATGAACAGAAATATGAGCAGAAAGATTATTTCCACTGTAGTCCTGACTTATCAGTTTGTTACAGATCTTTCCATTTCATGTGCCCCTTTGCTATAATAATTTGAGTAATGCTAAAAAGTAGCATAAATCAACTTGTTTATTAAATGGGGACCTAGTACACGTTTAGATCTTGAACAAACTAAATGAGAACTAAGAGTGCATGCTGAGAATCCCCGTAGCCATATATTCCTTTCCAGAGAGTCAGTGTCTGCCCTACATATCAACCTAGTTTGATTTACTAGATTATGGTCTTTAAAAGAAAAAGAAAAATACCCGAGGCAAAAATGTTGCCCTATTTATGGCAGTACGTTCTTTGGCTTCTTGCACTTTTAATGAGAACATTGCTCTCAGGAGCACCAGTTCCTGATGAGCCCAATAGAAAGTCCATTTGCCCTTTACAAGGCAGCCATAGTGCAAGCATAGCTGGTGTCAATTTTTCCACTGCTCTTTTTGCCAGTGTTTCCCAGCCCTTGACTCAACCTCCTGGGATGAAGATATTAGCTATTTTCCATGGCTTATTTACTCCTTGACACTTTTCTTAAGCCTGCCAACTCTGGGGCTAGTGTGGTCCTGACTTCGTAAGCTGGACAACGGGTCTGTTGGGAGTTGAGCTAGAAAGAGTCGATGCATTCTGTCGAGGCCACCAAGCCCTCACAGACGAAGATGTGATGTGCTTCGTATGAACTTATGGAACAGAGTTACACTAGTTGCTCTGTTCTGAAAGATGTTCTTGACATTTTCTTTATTGGTGAATGAATTTGTGTTTACCTTTGGCCACTTGCTGAGGTCAGGAGCATGGGAACACCCTGTGTCGCTCTATGGAAATGCCAAGGCGGGAGGGGAAGAGGAGAAGGTGAGATCACACAAATCCAGACCAGTGCCCGTCTCGGCAGCTGTCAGACTCTGAAATCATACTTTCCCTGTTCTTCCTGACCTCACAGAAAGCAAGTGGTTGAGTTGCGGCTGGGATAGAACTGAACATTTTAAAATGCTTGCCTTAGTGAGGAGAGTGATCCTGTGCTTTTTGTTGGAATCTCACTCTCAGCGCAGAGGGGCTGAGGTTAGAGCAACTCTTTAAAACCGCAACATTTTTGTTCAGAAATGTGACATGATTTGCAGGTGGTGACAACTGATTTGACAATGACTGGTGATTTAGGTCTACCTCTAATAAGCGAATTAATCTGAGCTAAAACATAGTGATCTGTCATGTTTAGAGATACCTCAACATCTGGCTGACTTGTCCTCTGTCAGCCGAGTTTGTCCTGTGCAAATCTTCTGTCAAGTGAGGAAAAGAACTGTGGGTAGAAAATTACATGGCAGTTTTAGAGTTAGTGATGAATTTTTCTCCCAACATACCAGCTGTGCCAGCAACACTATTTTTCATGGCATTAATCAAATATCTTGCCTGCAGCACCTTCACTTTCCCAAAGGCTAAAAGATGAATCTGTCAAAAAATTTCACTGGGATTTGCCAACAGCTTTTCTAAGCTCAAATACTAGTCCAGGCACCTTAGAAGTTTGAGCAAGGCTTTTAGGAATAGCCTCGGGGAGTTAAAAGCTGTATAGGGTAATTTTCCTTTACACTAAACAAAAAATCGAAGCCTCCATTGCAGCCAGCATGATCAAGTTTTCAAGTCTGGAAAAGGGCCAAACACTCAAGCTTTATTAATGTATTCCATTTACTGACTCATAGCAAAGTACTTTTTTGTGGTCGGAATTTTGAAATTAGCAAGGTACAAGAGCAGTTGAAGGCCATGGGATGAACTCGTTGCTTGCTCCTTGGGAAAGAAAATCCCAGAAGAGAGGAAATTTAGGTGGGGGGAATGCCACACACCCACATTCCCACAAAGATGCTGCCCACAGCTAAGAGTATTTGCCAGGATTAAGATCTGTGAAGAGCTGATGGTTTTCATTCACCACCTGTAACCTTTGTTATATCTCTCTTGCTTCCAAAATAAACATGGCATATTTGCTTTATGCCCATCGGAAGTAATGTACACTCCTGTTCCTTCTCAAAATTAATATACATTTTAGAGTAATCACTGGTGACCCTGAGATTTGCTCTGAATGAATGGGCAAAAGCTGTTACGCTGATCTGAAGTGTAGTAAATCACAGCGATCAAGGGCTGTGCCACATTAGGCATCCTGCTAAGAGTGATTTTTATAGCATCTTCTCTTCACTGTTGACTATTTCTTAAAAGACAAAGACCATTCTTTCATGCCTTAAATGGTAAAGAGAGGTCTCTAAGAGTCTTTGCCATTTCACTTCTCTGGCAATATCCTCAAGATTACTGAGCAGTTAAAGAAAAAAAAAATGGCTGACACTTGCATCTCTCCACTAGTAACTGCGTAGGAACTCAGCAATAGCTTTTAGGCACAGTAACTCGGAAGTGCATGAGACACAGCGGGGACTCAACAAATTGTGAAGCAAATGAAATCCTTGGATCAATTATATATAAAGAAATTAAACAATGTATTTTTTCACATATCCACCCTGAACAGAGAGGTATCAAATCTTGTTCTGTACATGTTTCAGGACAGTGGTCCCCAACCTTTTTGGCACCAGGAACCAGTTTCATGGAAGACAGTTTTTTCATGGACTGGGGTGGAGGGATGGTTTTGGGATGATTCAAGCATATTTCATTTTATTGTGCACTTTATTTCTATTATTATTATATTGTAAAATATAATGTAATATATAATTAAATAACTATACAACTCACCATAATGTAGAATCAGTGGGAGCCCTCAGCTTGTTTTCTTGTAACTAGATGGTCCTATCTGGGAGTGACAGAATCATCAGGCACTAGATTCTCCTTAAGTAGTTGCAACCTAGATCCCTCCCATGCACAGTTCACAATAGGGTCCATGCTCCTATGAAGATCTAAAGCTGCTGCTGATCTGACAGGAGGTGGAGCTCAGGTGATAAGGCAAGTAATGGGGAGCAGCTGTAAATACAGATAAAGCTTCGCTGGCTCACCTGCTGCTCACTTCCTGCTGTGTGGTCCGATTCCTAACAGGCCACGGTTGGTACCGGTCTATGGCCTGGGAGTTGGGGATCCCTATTTCAGGTTATCTACTCTAACCTGATTCTAGATTCCCTTCTCACATATTTGATAGCAATGAAATGTTTTCCCACTATTTAAATGGGTTAATTTGCCACAGTTCATAGAAACTGGTAAGTTGCAAGGCCTGGAAATGCAAGCTTAGTTTTCTAGTAAGTGCAACTTGAATTAGCAATCAAACAAAGCAGACCTTCCGCAGTTGAAGAAGGCTCATGACCAGAAGGATTTGAGTAAGGCAGTAAAAATGTAGAAAGAGAAGCAGTGAGGTGCTGTCAGTTGTGGGAGTAGCACAGGGAATTGGTTCTCTAGTCTGCTGGATTTCTTGTTCTTTGAAAATTAAGTAGTATCTGAAACCTTTAAGAGTAGGCTTAATTTCTTTTTTACTGTTTCCAAATGTTCATATCTTTATATACTTTAACGTATAGATACCATTTCTTTGATTCAGGTTTCAGTCTTACTTTGAGATAGAAGTTCTTTAGCTTCTTTGAATCAGAAAAGTCAGCTTCATATCTCATACAAAATTTCTAACATTTCTGTGATTTTATCTGCCAACTCTTGAGAAAAATTAGTCATAATATATAATTTAAATTTCCTATGAAATTTACTGTGAAATCCAAGGCCTATTACCTTTGTCTATAGGTTTTGATCATATTTGCAAAAACTCATTAATAGAAGCATTTCTCTGTTCCTGAAGTAGACTGGACGAATAGGTTAGCCCATTATTGCTTGTCTCTGAATGTGCTCTTAAACTATATGAAATGAGACAAGACTGAGATGATTAAAAAAAAAAATCCAAAGGGTACCTTGATTAGATGCACTTTAGCACTATAAAGCAGTTTTCTTTTAATAATGGAAAGTGAAGAAGGTTTCATTAGTTCAGACAAGGATGTATATGAAAGTAAATTTGGAGCCTTCTCTGTGTGTATACGTGCACACACGTGCTCTTTTAGAAAGCTCACACACCAGCAGGGACATTATGTAGCTTGCAATGATAAAATAGAACTGAAGGGGATGTTATTTTAAATCCACTCTTGTCTACCCAAAAAAGGTGCATTATTGGGAAGGACTTTGATAGTGGTGTATTTTACAGTTTGACAACTTGGGACTTTGTAAACTGGCAATTGGGTATAGACGAAGATATCCATTTATCTCATATATGTCTTGTTGAGGCAAAGCTGTCAGAAGAAATCTTATCACATGGTGCCCCATTTGTTTTCTGTGGTGATTTATGATGGTTTTGAAAAGGTCTTGTGATCCCATAGGCTGCCACGATTCTCTGACTTTTCTCTGTCAATGGATCAGATTTTTGACATTTTCTGAGAGCATTCAGAAAATATTTGATAAATCAGCTTGTGGTGTTTATTTTAATTGATCTGAGGCTCATTCCTTCAAGAATTCATCAACTACAGTGACAGGGTCTGGATGTGCTGCAGTGAAATGAAAGAATTGGGCTGGCCATGCTCCTGTGGTGATGATATAGATATTTTGTTGAAAGTTTATGCGCACCGACGAGAAGATGTCATAACTAATTTAGTATGTTGTAAATCTTTTGACACAGATTCTAATTCATAAATCTCATCCATCACATGTGATTCATGAAACTATAGACAACCTTTGATGAGAAGGTACTTCTGTCTCTGTTCCAAGTTCCTTACATTTTTCCTTATTCAAAAATAAATCATTCCAGAACAACAGAATTCTATTATGAAAATGGAACTGTAGAGACCCTTCATTCCCTCACTTCTGTTCTTATACCCATAAAAAGAAAAACTCTTTATTTGAAAAGAAAGGTGTGTTTCTCTTAGGACAGGAAGATAGAAGTGTATGTGCTGTATATACGTGTGCATTCACAAAAATATGCAAATATAGAGAGAGACTGATCTCAAAGAAATGGCAAAGATGAATGTTAACTATTTTTCTAGAATAAATTGACTTCAGATAAAGTCTTCCTCATTTTAATTTTTAATTTGAAATTAATTTCAAAAATCAACATTAATAGACATAACATACAGTTATAATGCACCAAATATATGTTTTATGCCCATTCTTAGGTTTACTTGGCATATAAATCTATTTATTTATTTATTTGGGCTACAAGTTGGCCTTATTGATTTACTCTATTTCAGCTTGACTAATAAACAGGCAATCATTTTTCTCAGAGTGTCAAATATCTAACAAAGGATGGTCCAGAAAATGGTTGGTACATGAGATCTTGGTTAACAGATGCTTCTGAGAAACCTAAAGCTAACGTGTGGTTATATGTCATCTAACTTAAGTCTGGCCAGATATGAAAATGCTTTACCATTAGTAAAAAGTTTGTACATGTATGTCGTTACAAATGAGTCATTTAAATGACTAGGTAACGAGAAGTATACTAATGACCATGGCCTATGTTAAAGTTATTTAAGACTTAGTTGTTGCCCTGACAAACTTTCTAACTGCAATACGTGAAAAGGTGAGATTGAAGATGATAAAGACAAAATTGAGATGGATGTGGAACTCTTAAAAAGATAAAAAGAAGAAGCCATATTTACAGATACCTTGAAACATACTTTATGAGGAAGTATCATGAAAGAAATAAAACTTAAGTCTAGGCTTGAAGAAAGTGTTAAATGTGATATTAACTTCTAATTTTTGAACATCTAAACTGTCAAAAAATACTTTTTGCCAGCTAAAAGATAGGGATGCCAAAGTGTTCATGTAAAAATCATATTAGATGAGTTTGAAATCCAGGATTTCTTCTCCCCTCTAGTTCTAATAGTCCTCATACCTTGTATCATTGTGCGTATATTTAAAAATTATTTATAACAAGAGGCAAAACATAAGTGCATTTTAGTATTATAATGGAGGAATCTAATTTTATTAACTATCTCCATACCCCCACTATGGTTAAATTTTTATATAAATAGCTAGTAAGTTCCAAAATTGGCTAATATGGATTTTCATAATTATCTTTCCCTTCTGATGGATGTGGTAGCCATCTGTAGATTACGTCAAAGTGAGCAATGCACAGTAAAAGACCTGGATAACTCACAAATTAGAGAAATGTCTCTTTCCTTATCAAAACCTAAATAAGCAAACTACAAGGGGTAAAAAAATGAAAGAAGAAAAAAACATAAGTAAAGGCGAAATTCACACACATCCTCTCTTTGAAGCAGTCAAGTTTTAGAAATGAAGAAACTCTGACAGGGGAAAGGTCACTCAGAAAAAGACACAGTACAAAATGCCATTTCTGTAATGGAGAGTAATTTGAAATAAACTCCTGCTTGGAGCCCATAATGAGGAAGAAAAGAAACAAAGAGCCAGAAAGGTCCAGTGTCAGAATTTAAAATAGGTAAATTTTAATGACTCTGAAAGGCGCAATGAATGACCAGTATCCAGCAGCCTGAGCAGAAATGATGTGAAGTGGCAATCTGTCTGCTTCACCCATCTCTCTTACCAAGTTTTCTCTCCTAATGTTCAAAACCACTGTTCTCAGTCTCAGAACTCTCTGATTACCAGTCGGTTCTAAGAGCAAAGAAATAAACATTAGTTAGATACAACAGATGAGATAAAGTCTACTGGGTCCAAGATTGGGATGCGTCAATAAAGTGGAACCATAAGAAAGCGGATTTCCGTATAGCTAACAGGAAAAATAAACCCTAAAAAAAAAAAGCCATTTTACTGAAAGTGCTAGAAACATTTACTATAATCTTTAACAGCTTTCTACTGTGCCAACATGATGAAGTTACTAGTCCCTTGATAATTCAGGCAACCATATAGAATTTTGTTCTTTACTTGACTGCCTGCCAATAGAATCAATTGATAATGAACCTGATGTTTCCCTCATGAGAAAATTAAAAAGAAATAGTAAAAGGAACAAACACTAAAATTCTACAGATTTGACAGATCTTAAAGACATAAATGATATGAATGTTGTAGCATTAATCACAATTTTAGATCCTATTGAGTTTGCCCAAGTGTTGGCCTTAGTTATTCCCATCCAGATTGCAGCTCAGGAAATGTATTGAGACGCAAATATGGTGCATGTGGTTTATCTTTTCACCGATTATACAAACTTCATCAAATTGTAAAAAGCTTTGATGTCTCAAGCTGTTCCATTTTCATAGTTGAGAGTAAAAATGAAAGAAGGGAAGTTGCTATAAGGAAGAACTCTGCAGAGATTTTTTTTCCCAATCAGTCAAGAATGCATTAAGTAATTCTACTTGCCCGGCACCCAATACCATGCTAGGTATGTTTGGTGAGATACAAAGGAGGGCTTGGAAGTGGGATCGTATCCCAGTAAACCTTCAGATTCTTTTATTATCCTGACTACCACTTCACACTACTGCATTTTTGGACGTTAAGGTGTAGTTCAGGGGGTAAAATATCAAGACCTACAGTAACATGAAGGGAACAGTTTTATAAACAACGAGTCCATGGCCAAACTGGACTGTGAATCCAGAGGAGGCTAGTAGAGTCAAGGAAGGCTTCCTGGGAAGAGTCTGATCCATCCAACTATAAAGTGTAACAGTAAAAATATTAAGCTCAATATTTTGCTAAAAATACTGGTCATAAAGAAAAGTAGAGAAATTCAGATCAGCCCACAAAGTACAATGGACAGTGGATGACAGTATCCCAGTAAGCCTTCAAATTCTTGTATCATCCTTACTACCACTTCCCACCCTATTTCCCCTGCAGTCAAAGTGAATGACAACTCAGGCCAAAATAACACTGGAGGCATATTTGACCATACCCCATGTATAATACATCAGCATTTGGACGCAGCTTCACAATACATCCAGAGTCTCACTGCTTCTCAGCCCTTCACGGCTACCACTGCAGTTCAGGTCGTATCATCTGTGTTTGCGTGTCTACTGCAGCCACCTAATGGGTGCCTCTGCTTTCTCTCTTGCCTCCCGACCCAACAACCACGATGGTCCTGTGCAAACATAAGTCAGATCTTGTCACTTTGTTCCACTCTCTCCAAGGCCTTCCCATCTTAGAGAAAAAGCCAAAATTGCTATAAGCCCTCTGTGACCTGCCAAGGCCTCCTCCCCACACACCTTTTATTTCTCTGTTGTTATCTCCTATTATTTCGTTGTCTTTCACTTCCATCCAGCCATCCTGCCTCCTCACTGGGCACTGCCCTCTCTTAATAATTCAGGCAACCTCATATGATTTTGTTCTTTACTTGACTATCTGTCAATTGAATCAATTGATAATAAACCTCATGTTTCACTTGTAAGAAAATTAAAAAGAAATGCTAAAAGGACTCCTCAGGTACTCCTGTTTCCTCTGCCTAGAGCACTCTTCCCAGATATGGCATCGCTTGTTCTCCTTTTCGAAGTCTTTGTTTAAATGTAACATGCTCCGTGAAGTTTCTCAGACTACCACATTTAAAATTGCAAACTTCCTCCCCCAAGCTCCCTGACACCCCTAAACCACTTTCTGACTTTATTTTTTTCCATAATACTTGCCACCTACTGGCATACCATGTAATTCAGTTATTGCTTTTGTTGATTGTCTGTCTTACACTCTCCTGGGATGGGGAAACTTTGTTTTGTTCCCCGAGATATCCCATCACCTAGAACAGCATGTGACAGATACTAGGTGTTCAATAATATTTGTGGAGTAAATGGATTGTAGAGCTAGAATCAAGATCACCATATCAAAGGAGGATGCTCTCCCGAAGTTGTGTTGCATTTGGTTTAGGACACAGGTTCCTAACCGGGTCTCTTTGGATAGGATTTGGGGGATTTGTGAATCTCTGAAATTGACATAAAATGTTGTGTTCATCTATTTTTTATGATTGAGTAAAGTTTTATAACTTTTGTGAGATTCTCAGAGGTCCTTGGCATAAAGAATAAAGAGAACCACTGGTTTAGAATGCCCCCAAAGCACTTGGGAAGAACTATGTAGTTTTTTTTTTTTTTCATTCTATTAATTAAAGCAGAATATTAATCATCTTATTTTAAACATAGGAAAATTGATACATAGAAAAAAGTTTTAAATGAGTTTTCACAAATCCAAAACATCCTTATATTTTGGTAAATTATGTCAGCTTCAGTTTGAATGAAAGGACCAGATGTCAGTTAACTCAAAGCAGTCAGAGCAGCAAAGGCCTCATCAGATCATCATTTGTTTAATTCTCTAAGTAAGTTTTGCGCATCTAGTTTATACACATTCTTGTCAATGTGTTGCCTTGAAACTACTTCCTGCCTACTCCTTACATGTGTGTGTGCACAGTGGGTATTTGTTTATTAAATAAATTAATATTGAATGAATACAGCCAGAACTTGGATAACTACCTATGAGGTATTATATTAAATTAGTGGTAAAATCCATACTGTTTGATTTCCAATCCAGTATGTTTTCTGTTTGACTGTGTAGGGTCTGTCTTAGTGTAACATGACCTTTTATTTAATTAGAAACATAAATAATGTGCCAACAGTGTTTGTGTTATAATCTTGGTCTTACCATGGACCTAATTGGTGACCTTGGCACTTGCTCTGCCTTGATTACTTAAATTTTAAAATGGGAATAATATAATTACCTTGTTGTCTTGACTAATTAAAATATAAAATATAAATTGGCCTAAGCCATCCCAAACATCCACAGCTTATTTTAAATTCTGAGCATAAAACCATAGGCATAAACACGATAACAGAGACCACTTTTCCAGTTAGTCAACATACAGGAAATTCTGCTGCAAGTAGGGAAATATCTTTCCTTTGCTGTAACAACAGGAGAGCTGCTACCTTGGTTTGCTTGTGACAAATGGGGATGAATCCCTTTGAAGACGCTGCAGGAGAGTTCAGGCTGATTAAAGACACAGAGGTACTTTAATGAAATTCTCCACACTAGCTTGTTTTTGGTGAACAACTATATGCAGTAGAGGAGGTAACAAAGCAGGTGTTAGAACAAGCTTTGCCCAAAGATATCTGGATGTTTCTATCTGACATTATTCCAAAGGCAAGATGAAATAAGCGGTTAGATATGTTGTCAAAGAGATTGATGTTATAAACTATTTTGAAATTTCCTCTGATTAATTCTATAAGCAACATAGTTCTTCACCAAAGGTAATGCTGTGAGTTAGGGGACCAGATATTAACCCATATTGTCTCCAAATAATAATAATAACATTTGGGTATAAAGAATGGAAAATGATAAAGCAATAGGAGAATTCATGATTTTTCAATCCATCAAAAAGTGAAAGGCTATTGGAATCATTTATAAAAGTAAACTTTATTTTCTCCCTTTCATTTTGTCTGTCTGCCATTTGTGGTCTTATAGACTTGTTAGAGAATGAAAGGATCTTAAATGGTTAACCAATGATAAAATAGAATTGTCAAAGAGAAATTAACTGGCCAAGATCACTTGACTAGATAATGGCAAAACCAGAACTACAACCCAGAACTTCTGACTTCTACCCCTTCCCTCTTTGCGTGTATACGTTTATGTCAGGATCTTTCTGGCAGTGCTTTCTCCCACATCATGTCTGTGTCTATGCTGAGAGAGACAAAGGGAGAGGGAATGAAAATGAATACGAATCTACAAACATCTAAGTATATTAAAATTTCTTATTGTATTGAAGGTAATATTTGCATAAAATTTACCTTTAGAGGGGGACTGCATGCAGTTACAATATTGAGTTCCAGAAGAGGTCACTGATTTCCCAAAATTTGCCTTTCTCTTAACAGAGGATACGTAAATATCCCAAATGTTGAATATATATGAAATTCAGTGCTTCTTGTACAAGATGTTTTACAAGACTTTAAAAATTCTCCAGGGGTGTATACGTCCCACTGTGTTTGAGGCAATTAATACTTAACACCTTTAGCAATATTCCCCAGGGTGATTATGAAACGTAGACTATTGGGCCATCATTAACTTATTGGGAAAGATAGCATCATGGAAGCACAGAATGACAACATCATTCAATGTCTGCTAGCCTGCATTAAACTAACGATGCTACTCACTTGTTAACAAATATTTACTGAACACCCACCATGTGACAGGCACCATTTTTAGGTGCTGGGGCCACACCAGTGAAAAAAGCAAAGCTTCCTGCCTGTATGGAGTTTATATTCCAGTGGAGGGAGATAGATAGACAATAAGTAGAAAAGAAACCAAATACATCAGTTTTGTAGTATTTTAGGTTATCCATACAAAGGGATAAGAAAGATAAAAAGTAAATAGGAGAAAAGGAATTGGGAGTGCCATGAAGTGGGAGTGGAGCTTGCAGTATTAAATATTAGTATGTTTGTTAAGGGTACTATACTCAAAACTTCTTTCAACCATATTCTCTGTAATATTAACATTTATTCCAAGCCACACAAAGCATCAAAGAATTTGAGTATTATATATATTTATACGTATATATATATATGCATTATTGTCACATAAAAATTCAATGACCATGTGAATTTTTATTCAGAGGGGATGGAGAGAAATTAGTCTAAAATTATAAAGTTTCTGTCAAGTAGCAGTTTTAATAAGCATTTTCAATAAGATCCATGGGAATCCACACTGGGTCACAGCATTGTTGAGGAAACGGAACTAAGATAACAAATGTGAGATCATGAGGAGGATTCCTCATATAACGTACAAATAAAGTTGTTTTTCTTTCTTAGTCTATGGTACTGAATAAAGATACATTCTGATACCCTCTTCAGACACAGTTCAAGCTTTGACCTTTGTGAAGTTCCAAGAACCTTGGCAATTTTGGGTCCTAGCTAAAATACTCTTCACTATTTCTGTATCGGGATGCACCTAACTGAAAAAAAAATTAGACTTTAAGTTCTATCAGTGATCTTGAGTCACTACAGCATAGACCCCAACTGCAGATCCTCACGTAATAGTTGAAGACTTTTCAGCTTTTAGTTGAAGACTTTTCAGGTTTTCTTAGAGCAAAGGCAGCCTTATTCAAGGTAGTTCAAGGTAGGCAGCTGATTCTCTCCATCCTGAAGGTTTTTCACGCACATAACTTTGCACAGTTTCCTACAAGAACATCAATAACAAAAAGGAGAAAGATTAGGGTAAAAACATATTAGAAAGATATTTATTTATATAAGTTAGTGTTGATGAACACATCTGTGCCTATGTTCCAAAACAAATTCCTTTCACTATGCTTTAAAAGCAAAGCACATTTGGATGTGCTGTGTTCCACAGGATGTTCACAGAGATGCTGATGAATTGGCCACTTAAGAGTTTTCCTTGTCAACAAAGAGATGTCCAAATAGCCATGTAAATAAACCCTCAAGAAAATCTCTTATCAGCAGTGTATTTATTGGCCATCAGAGACTCGACCCAAAAATGCAAACATGGTGAACAAAATTCCTTGACCACACCAGTTATGAGTGGTTTTAAAGTTCACACTTTGGAAGTTGAATATGCCTCTTTGCCATAAAGCCTGCATCACAGAATTCTCTAATATGTTGCGTTGTGAAGCTAGTGGAAAAAATGGTTTGTTATCTCTTTGTCTTACAGTTTAACTCTCATCTTTAAATTCTCAATAAGATTTCTTATTAAAAGAGTAAGATTTCTTTTTAAAATCAATATGATTTGCTATGGAGATCTGCTTATAAGCATTCAAGGGGCATACAGCTCAGATTTTTAATAGAATATTTAGGATTCCTAGATCTATCACAATGGGCTTCTCCAAAGGATATTCAGTTTGTCAGATATTCAGTATGCCAGGACACAGGTTGGAGAACTGTGAAGAAAATGTAAAGTCAATGAAGAAGGTAGCATTTGGGGGCTTCAGGGAGTACAAAGATAATTGTGGATCAATTGTGCCAGACAATTTGAAGCAACTTAAGACTGCCGTCAGTACTTTAATTGTTTCTGCTGCAGAGTTTGAAAGAGCATTTAGTTCAATGAATGATGTGTTAACACCTAGTTGCGATGCTCCGTCCATTAGTTGCATATCATCTTTGTCTTTTTATTGAGCTGGTTGGTCCACTGTTTCACGTGTTTAAGCCCAAAGATTATGTCAAGAAGTGGCTTGTAAGTGGCGGCTTGAAAGCTGGAAATTGTAGAAATGTGACAAGAGAAGCTCTCTGGCTCTTCTGTCTTACTTTTATTTTATTTGAAGAGTTTGAACTGTTTCCCCTTCCTTAAGCCTGGGCTCCTGGGTATTGAGAGAGTAAGAAAACGATACAATTTTCTCACGTAATGAAATAGAAAGAAACAAGATCATGCCAGCATTAAGTTCAGTAACTTTTTCACTTTTGGGAAATCAATAATACCTTCCCCATGAACATCCAATGCATAGTTGATAGAAAACCAGGTGGAGCGGGCCGGGCGCAGTGGCTCACGCCTGTAATCCCAGCACTTTGGGAGGCTGAGGCGGGTGGATCACAAGGTCAGGAGATCGAGACCATCCTGGCTAACACGGTGAAACCCCGTCTCTACTAAAAAAAATACCAAAAAAATAGCCAGGCGTGGTGGTGGGTGCCTGTAGTCCCAGCCACTCTGGAGGCTGAGGCAGGAGAATGGCGTGAGCCCCGGAGGCGAAGTTTGCAGTGAGGGGAGATTGCGCCACTGCACTCCAGCCTGGGTGACAGAGCGAGACTCCATCTCAAAAAAAAAAAAAAAAGAAAACCAGGTGGATCTCTCTAAGGAATTCTTAAGGACCCCTTTGAGTCTATCAGTGATATGTCAAGAAGGAATATGCATTGCTATAGGAAGAAAGAGAAATAAGTGAGGATCATTATCAGAATTGCCCTTTCACATTAGAGTTTGTTCTGATGAGAATTCAGCCATCTACTACTTTGGTGCCTGCACTTGAAACAGAGTTTTGGTTTGCATCCTGGATATCCTTTTCTATAGTGTGTGTATGAACTTGAAAAACTGATGGACTGAAGAAACTAATGATAGCAGTGAGGCTTGTACTCCTCAATGGTTTTTTTTGTTGTTTTTGTTTTTTTTTTTAACACATTCCCTCTAGACTCTCATATATTCTCATTTTCTCCAGAGGAAAGAGTCTGAGAAACTCACCATTGTATGATCCTTACTTCTCCTTGTCCCAAATTTAAGGGACAGCATTTCAGACACACTGTCTTCTGTCGAGTCCACAGCCATTTGTTTTTCTATTTTTTTTTTTCCATTTTCATACCTTTTTTATTCTAGCACTAGACCTGAAAACCTACATCACAGGACTTGGTAGCTTGTGACTTCAAACAACAGGCATTCAAATTCAAGTGATGATAGATAGCTCATGATTAAAATATCTCTTTTCTTTGTGCAATGAGCCAGCAAGATTCTTTGAGAGCATTTAAACTCTAATGCTATCATACTTCAGCATTCTTCTTTAGAATTCTTCACATCCACAATTTCTCAAGAGAGGGTATTTAGCTGTCCAAATTCTCATCAGTGCTGCTGTGTTCAGCCATAACCTTGAACTATGCCTGGCCTTTCTTTATTCTCTTCCAGGACATATTCCTGGAGTTCCTATTTACTTTGTCTCCCCACATGTATATCCACTGAGAGAAAGCACCATTTAGACCATTACCAAGTCAATTTTGAGTTTAAATACCTTTCACTTGAAAGTCTACGGGATTTTGATCTGTTTGGAGTGGATAATTTGAGGGGGGTCTCTTTTGCACAACTTGTGGAAAAGCTCTGTCTCCTTGATGATGAGTAAAGGAAGAAAAAAGAGAATTTGAGTTACTGAATATTTAATTCTGGACAGCAGTTTAATCAGGACTGGGATTTGGGCAATGGCTCCAGCCCCCTCCTAACTTAGTACAGTTTCAGTTCTTAGTATTCCTTAATTATCCCACTGAGATGTTTGAGAAGCAACTAGTAGTAAATGAACTTGGCAAATCAGCTATTACCCAAGTAATGAAATACAAATACATATGTTTGACAATTCTGCAGGGAAATTTTTTAAGCCAGGATTCTCAATGGATTGTATTGGCCAAGAGAGGAAAAAACAGGTGTTGTTATCAAACCATATCTACAAACAATTTGACAGGAGTTTTAAAATAATGCACAGATTTTCTTGCCATGAATTCCAAACATGTCAATTAACCTATGGAGAATCCTGATTGTCAAATAATGAATCAATATATGCCCCCCCAGGATGGAGAAGGGAGGGCTTGCTGTGACGTCGGGTTAAATATTCAAGGCTTTCTCCCAAACAGTATATCTAAGGATGCATATCAACTTCACATCTAACCTCAAACAAAGCAGAGATCAGCTCTACTGAGAAAATTGATTTTATTCAACAGTAAGGCAAGGGAAATTAGTAAATTCAATATTTGTAGAAAGAAGATAAGCGAAGCCAGCTATTCCTGGTGGTCTGAGACTATTCTTTGTTTTGGTAATTATGCCTTTATGTTTTAGGGCTCTTATTTACATTTTCAGAAGGGCTTGAAATAGTTCATGCACCAAGCATCCCCCTGAGCATCCAGCTTCTTCCACTGTGCAACAATAAAGTTGTCCCTGGACCAATACAAATTGAAAATGAATCCTAACTTTATAGAAAGTGCTGCTTTGCTTCTCTCATTGTTTGGAGCTTCTTTAGAGCTGAATCACAAACTAATGATCTCCACTGCAGCCAAGTCCTTGGTGTGATAGTATCTCATTGTAGTGGAGCCCACATTTACGTAATGTGTAGTCTAAAATACCTTTGAGTTCAAGAATAGAACTATGGAAAATAATTTTATCCTAGTTTGTGTGCACCTGGATTGTAAGACACAGGCAGAAATACAGCAATGGGATGAATTTACTAATGTTTGCTATTGGATGGTAAGCCATTCTAAAGCTATGAAAGCCTTCAAAACCCCATAGGTCTCCATTTTGCCATTAGCCGTACCAGTTTAAACAGTCTGCTGCAAGAAATATTGACAGGTCAAGTACAGCTGGGAAGAGCACGTGTCCCAGTGGCCTTTACACTGACAGTTTCTCCCACATTAAAGAGTTAACTAGCAGCCAACCAGCTCGAAGTGGGAGCTAATGAATGAAATGGAGATTGATATAGACTCTCTTTGGCGGTGCATCGATCTGTATCTTGTGAACTCAGCTTAGGAATTCTGCAGGCAGCATTGCCTGAATAACCCTGGCATGGTGCCCATTAGCAAATAACTCTTTTAATGTTGGTCTTCCACTGATATATTTATTGTATTGCATATTACAGTGACCCTTCCCTACACTGTGTTTGTATTTGATGGTCGTGGCAACAAGCTAAGGGAAGGCTCAGCAGCAGGATACATTTGCGTTTGGGCAGTGTCAAAGAAATATTTAATTAATTGCATCCTTCATTTGCATGTGTTGCATGAAAAAGGTCTCTTTGGGGCACTGAATCCTCTTCCTTGCTGCCCAGCTAGTAGTAGTGAATCTGTCGAATATGATCTGAGACCTTGGCATAGACATTATCTCTTATGACGATTTCACGTTGAAAATAGATTGTGAAAGACCGGTTAGTCTTGCAAGCTGTAATTGACGATATTATCTGTGTAACTGATAACTAGCAGAAGAAGGCAAAGGTAATCCCTTCTTAAAGAACTAGTTGGTGACCTTCTAGGTGTTGACCAAGTCCATGTGAGTTTAAGCGTGTCAACTTTAGCCATACCTGAGTGGGTTCTTTTCATTTAACAGTTGTTCTCGAAGCTCGGTATTCATAAGAATCACCTGGGGAGCTTGTGATTCAGGATGTCTGGGTTGGGGCCTGGAAATAAGCATTTTAAAACTAATAGTTTTGATGCAGGTGGTCTTCAGACTATAATTTTTAAAATGTTGACTTAAGACATTAGAAACAAGGGAATTAATTAACAGACACTCAGAGCACACTGTGTCCAAAAATGCGAATTGCTAAAAAGTTAACTGCTGTATTTATAACATTCATTTCACTTCAGTGATCTCTTTTCTCTATGGGTAACTGAAGTATCCCACCCCCGGAGCTGGAGCTGGGTTCCACTTGCCATCCTTGCCACAGAGTCTATGGTTTGGGCCTTTTCACCTCTCCACAGATCTACAGATCCAAGTCCAGTTCGTAATGCACAAGAGGTGCTGCTTTACCTGTACAGCTCTCTACGCTCCTCCATTGCCTCTTAACTACTCATGCATTCATGCAGAGGAAACGCTCTTTTTTACCAACTCATACTGGAGAGTATGTCATCATGCCAAACTAATGTGCTGAAAACTGCCCTCAAGAGATGACCTAAGTAAGCCAAATACCTTCTTTTATAGGAAAAGATCTTAAGTCCATAGAGTTTGGGTGGCTTGTAGCTAAGCCAGAAATATAGCCCAAATCATCATTCCATCCCTATAGGACAAGCTTGCTGAAGAACACAGTCAGCCTTCTGTATCAGCAGGTTCTGCATCCATGGATTCAATCAACCATGGATTGAGAATAATAAAAAAATCCCGTAACAATAAAAAATAACACAAGTTTAAAAACAATACAGTATAACAACTATTTACATCGCATTTACATGGTATTGAGTATTAAAAGTAACCTAGAGGTGATTTAATGTATAGGGAGGATATGCTTAGGTTATATGCATATACCATGCAATTTATATAAGGGACTTGAGCATCTGATGATTTTGGTAATCTGCAGCAGGTCCTGGAACCAATCCCCCAAAGATACTGAGGGATGGCTGTATGTAATTGATGCCCTCGAATGCAAACTTATTTGAAAAAAAACTAATACCACCTGTATCTATCATTGAAATAAAAGCACCTAGGATTATGTGTTAGTAGGATAACCAGGATCATCCATAGAGAAAGTACAGTCATGTGTTGCTTAATGATGGGAATATGTTCTGAGAAATGCATCATTAGGCAATTCTGTCATTATGGGAACATCATAGAGTGTAGTTACACAAACCTAGATGGCATAGCCTACTACACACCTAGCCTAATGCTCCTAGGCTACAAACCTGTACAGCATGTTACTGTACTGCATACTGTAGGTAACTTTAACACAATGGTAAGTATTTGTGTATCTAAACATAGAAAAGGCATAGTAAAAATACAGTATTATAATCTCTTGGGACTACTGTCCTACAAGTGGTCCATTGTTGATTGAAACATTATTGCCAGCAGTAGTGGCTCAAACTATAATCCCAGCACCTTGGGAGGCCAAGGCAGGAGGATCACTTGAGCCCGGGAGAGTGAGACCAGCCTGGGCAACATAGTGAGACTCCATCTCTACAAAAAATAAAAAATTAGCCAGTTGTGGTGGCGTGCTCCTGTAGTCCCAGCTCCTCTAAAGGCTGAGGTAGGAGGATCATTTGATCCCAGGACATCGAGGCTGCATTGAGCTGTGTTTGCACCACTGCACTCAGCCTGAGCAACAGAGTGAGACCATGTCTCAAAAAAAAAGAGAAAAGAAACATTGTTTTGTGGCACATGACTGCTGTATATAATCTGCTTTCTCCCTTCAGAGCCAATTTAGTTTCCAGAGAACTTTAAGGGGATGTAACAATGCCTGAGATTTCAGAAATAGCTTATTTCTTCCCTGGAAACTCGAATTGGGTCAAAACCACAAAATATGTTGGTTCTTACAGGGTGCCTTGCACTTTGCCAGGCACTAGTGCTAGTAAAATTAAATACATGGTGTTTCTAAAACGTCAGCATTACCCCTAATACGTGCACTGTCTATTGGCATTAGGGGAGCCACTAACTCTAACAGGTTGTTCAGGGCCAAAGGAACAGATTTGCTGTGGGTAAATCAGTAGCCTGCATTTTAGGGGTTCTGTGAGGATGCGACAGAAAATAAGGTTACACACAGTGAACTGCTCCAAGTGACATTTAAGGAAGATTATTTCTGAGAGCGATGTGGAGGATAGATTTTTGAAAGATGATGCTGGAACCAGTGAGATCATTTAGGGGCTGAGGCCATAGTCCACGTATAAAAAAGAAGGCGGGCAGGGGGTGCCCAGATGTGGACAGTAACAGAGAGCACCAGGAGTAGTATATAAATCAGAGAATTATGAAGGCAGCAATTCCTAGGAGTTTGCGATGTGAGGTGGGAGGTACTTTTCTCCAAGGTAGTGAATTTAGTTGGGGGAATAGGTTTGGGGATACGGGGAGGAAAGACCAAAGGAGATTCAGTTAGGCTGAATTGGGTTAAGTTTTCAATGCCTGTGGAACATTGTGGTAGAGACTTGGGAATGTCCACGGCTGTGAATCATCAGTCTTGCTATTAGCCAAAGCCACAGGCATAGACAAGATTGTTTAAGGTGGTGGTTCTCAAAGTGTGGTTCCCCAGGCCAGCAGCATCACCTGAAACTTGTTTTTCTGAATGCAAATTCTGAGCCCCACCCAATATCTACTGAATCATAATTTCCGAAGGAGGGATCCTGTCATCAGATTCCAGCCCTCTAAGAGATTCTGATATATGCTCAAGTTTGAGAAGCACTGGTTTGAGGAAAGTATCACACAAGAACAGTTACACAGCTGGTGGAGAAAAGCGGGGCCCAGGTAAGATTTTTATGAAAATATGGACAGAGAAGAAAGGAAACAGAAGGGCGTACATTGTGCCATTTAAAGACAGGTGAGTGTTTTGAGAAGAAAAGAATGGTCAGTAATTTTGAATACTGTGGAGCCAGGTAGGAAGAGGCCTGGGATATGCCCATCACATCTGAGAATTAGCAGATTGGTGGAGATTCTGGCTAGCAGTTTCAGAGAAATAGGACATATGGAAGTCAGATTACAGAGAGTTGTCGATGGAATTGGATGTGAGGAAGTAGAGATAAGAGGCTTAGATTGCTTTTTCCAAAAGCTTAGCTGGAAAGGAAGAAGAGTTAGAAGAAGAAAAGCAAGGGGAATTTTAGACTAGAAGAGAGGTATCATTTCGAGATGTAAAAGCCTTGGGTTTGTTTATGGATTGAAAGGAAGGAGTAGAGGCTGCAGACCCAGAGGCTCGAGCAGGGAGGGTCTTGCTTTGGACAATTGCAGTGATCTCCCAACAAGTTTCCCTGAGCCTCCATTTTGAAGTTTAATCAATCATATCCTTCCTCTAACTGTTCACCAGCACCGCCATCACCCATTATCAGACATAGTCCAGATGTAATGTTCTGTATGAGCAATCTAACTACTGATGTACCCTCCAGAAGCCCACCTTCCCTGGACTTGTCGGGGTCTTTGGCTTCTTTGTCCTCTGCCCCACTCCCTGCCAACTTGGAGAATTTCTTCTAATCCTTGAGATCCTCTTCTCTGTGAAATGTTCCCTTCCCATTTATGCAGCATTAGATCATTTTTCTGGCTTCCAGCACCTGTACATACATCCCTCTGTGGCATGTCCACATGTAAGTGTCATGGACTGTAAACACGACTAGACCTAACTTTTTTTTTTAAGACGGAGTTTTGCTCTTGTTGCCCAGGCTGGAGTGCAATGGCACGATCTCCGCCTCCCAGCGATTCTCCTGCTTAGCCTCCCGAGTAGCTGGGATTACAGGCATGCACCACCACGCCTGGCTAATTTTGTATTTTTAGTAAAGACAGGGTTTCTCCACGTTAGTCAGGCTGGTCTCAAACTCCCAACCTCAGGTGATCCATCCGCCTCGGCCTCCCAAAGTGCTGGGATTACAGGCGTGAGCCACCGTGCCTGGCCCTAACTTACTTTTTATTCCACTACCCTGCACAGTGTCTGCCTGTAATAGGTGTTCACTGGCAGCTTATGGAACGGATGAATGAATCCATTTATGAAAAAGTGTTTGCCCAGTGTCAGCATTAAAGGCTCACGCTAGCATCTGCATTATTTGCCTGCCTCCAGTCTATGTATCAATAACTGCTATGCACAGCTATAGCGGTTTTCTTTAGAATTGAAGGGTTTCTTAGTGTATGGGCTTTTCTACCTGAGCTGATATTCCTGCTCCTGAAGTTACACTCCAAGGGCATGTCAGGACTTTCCTAACGCCACAGTGACCCTGCCATGTAGTCACTCACTTACGTGGTATGTGGCAGCATGGGAGAGTTTCTAAGAAAGTCTAGGTTAAATCTTGAGAATCAGGCAGCCGCTGCCAGAAATCATAAAGCATGGAGGTTTTGACCATGCACCAAGATTTGATGCAAGGCCCCCAAACGCACACCAGTCAGACTGCCCTTCTCAGAGTCACACGGCTGTGAAATTCCAGAAACCCACTGCCTGGCACACCGGGGCCCTAAATTGCCAATTTCAAAATGAGACACAACTATTAAACACTAAAAATGAAAATCTTGTTGTCAGGAAATTTTTGGCATCTTCATTTCCCTCCTGCTACCAAGCTGTCAGCAGGAGGAGGACACTCGGAGTGTGCACACACACACACACACACACACAGAGTAATTGCAGGTTTAAAGATTAACAGAATTGGTCTATCTGCTCTTCTATTAGAAATGTTACATCTATCTTTGTTTTCTTCCGGCATCAGGGTAGGCAGAGACATTTTTTTCATGGTAAAAAATAATCTTTTTATTACAGGCTTGAGAAAAGCATTTCTCTAGATTGTGGAGAAACAAACTATTTTTTAAATGTTTTCTTTGGAGTGACTTTTAGTACTGGCGGTGAAAAATGAGTTCCCCATAATGCTCTAAAGATATTGAGAAGTCAATCTTTTTCATTGAAAATTAGTCACAAATCTATAATTAACTTTTTGTTTTCTTCTTCGATACTGAAATCACAAATGAAAAATGCAAAGCACTCACTCTGGCATATGATTTCTAATTTCATAATAAAGATGACCTAATAATCATCTCCACTTTGCTGGATTCAGCTTGTATATTTAGAAAGTATATATGAATTTTGACCTATCACATCATTAGAGTCCATTATAACTAATTTTTCTCCCTATGATGTTGAACAGGTGATCAGAAGAAACTTTTTCTAAGCTTATAAAGCACTACTTTTTCATCAAGGAAAAAATAGATTATACATCGTTCAGGAAGGGGAAAAAAGTTATAAGGAGATTTTACCTATTGAATGTAATGGATTGTCAGGAACCCTTGACATTATTCTACAGGCGAGGCCACATAAAATCAATACATCTTAGGCAAGGTTTAATTTATTTGTAGGTTCTTACAACAAATGACTTACCTTTTTTGTTTGCTGTTTTTTTCTTACTTTTGTACTCATGAACAGCTACAGTTTTTATCCGTCTCATTATTAAGCACAAAACAAGGTATCATTATTACCATGTATTTTTTATAAAGAACGATTGCAAAGCATGAAGAAAACTTCCACAAATCTAGAAGTTGCACTAAATATGATGGTTGTAAAACACTGCCTCCTACCCTGTTGTCTAAGATGCAGAATCTACTCCACAAAGGAGCTGGGCTTTACCCCAAATCAGAGGCTGTGTTCCCTCATGCCATGTGTCTCCTATGAAGTGATCTTTCCGTGCTGTGAGTTCCGGTAGGGTTAGCGGATTATTTGAAAGGAGCATGCATTTTATGAAAGGAAGTACCAGAAACTGAGCAGACTTATTTTTGATAGCTGATTCTATGTTGGTGACATGGTCTATCAAAGAAATTATAGCAAAAAGTATTGGACATTTCAGCATACCAAGCACTAGTGACTGTTTGAATTCGGTCTAATCAAATTTTTCCTTTTTATATTACTTATTTTAGGTTTTTGGTGTTAAATTAATATTAAAGATCATTTAACCAGAATTATTTTATACTCATAATCTTATGGATATAATGGGCTGCTGGTCCTCCATCTGCTTCTATCAAACCATGGCTGGCTGTGAGCACAGCTATGCAGGCAGCATGAAAGCAGGAAGGATACTCTGGAGTCAGCAACTAGTGGGTTTGAACCCAGTTCTTCTACTTACTATCTACGTGATGTTGGATAAACTTTTTAACCTCTCTCTTCTTAGTTTCCTAATCTGTGAAATGGAGAAAATAATAACACCAGCTGTGTAGTTCTGTTCTGTAGATTAAATGATAAATCATATACATTTTGACTGTCTAGTACATGTCGTACACATATGAACACACTAAGTGCTCAATAGACATTGGCCATTAGTAGTTTTAATTGCAAGTGAGAACTTTGCAGTTGGTAGGGGCAACATCATTGCTGGGCTCCTTGGGGAAAGACTTTCAGTCCAGAACTAGAAATGTCCAGCCTCAAATGAGGAAGTTGAAGCCACGTAACTGTTAGAGCAAGCATTTCAAAGCAATTATTTACAGTGGTAATGGATGTGGCAAATGTGTGGATTTTGTTGGGATTTCTTCTGACAGCCATGAACACAGATATATTTTAAAGTAATGTAACTGTCCTAAATCTCGAGCAGGGAATACAATGACTTCTAGTATTATTTTTCACTTCTCCAATGACACTCTAGAAGTTATATTTGATAAATTCCTTAGAAGTTATTTGACTTAGAAAGGCACCGCACCATTTAACCTTGGTTTTGTTCTACTCAGACTTGTGTCCAAGGCCCATCTAATGTAATACATCACAAAGGTTAATACACCAAAGCCTTGGCGTAGCATGATTCCCTAGGACCACATTTTAAGGAAAACCACCTTAGAGTCAGGCTTTTTGAAATGTTGGTAACTATTAACTATTACCACTCTAGGTTTAAGATAGACCGTTTAAGCCCCTCTGTAGCTAATAGTATAAGAGCAAAAGCCCAATGGCTCAATAAATCAGCAAAGGTGGATATATATGTAGACACACTCCTGTCTGGATTGGCCAATCTCAAGAAATAGGAGCTAGAGACAAATTTAAAATAAGAAGAATTGTGCTACCCCTAAAAACCAAACCACATGTGAAACAATCTAAAAAAAAATTGTCTAGATAATTTTCTAAAAAGACAAAGTTATAATTTATTTTATAAAGTTATAATGTATTTGGCTTTTCTGTGTAAGGTCTCGCTGGTAGGCTACATAATATGGCTCCTAGGATGGAGTTCACACTAGAGATCGTGATGGCAGATTGAAGAGTCAAAAATTATACATTCTCCTCTTAGCTCTTGTTCAGGAGTGTGACCCTTTCTTTCTGAGTTCAGGTACATAAGAGCCAATGTTCAGCTGTTCCCAAACTAAATTGCCCTGCCACTACATCTTCTCCATCAGCAACCAGATTAGTGTTGGAGCAAGATTATAAAGCTTTTCATGTTCATATTTATTCTTTATGAATCTGCTTTCTTACATGATTAACCAAAAACAACTAGAAAGTAGGCATTTAAAAGAGAAAAGTAAAAGTGTTATCTGACTTGACCAAGTTTCCTCAGGAATTTAGTGGTAAAATGTGAACTGAGGCACAAGTCCTTCCATCCATAGTTTTGTGTTCTTTCAGCTATATTGTCTTACTGCTTATAATATTCTCAAATTACCTCTATGGGCTGGTCACAGTGACTCACACCTGTAGTCCCAGCACTTTGGGAGGCCGAAGTGGGTGGATCACCTGAGGCCAGGAGTTTGAGATCAGCCTGGCCAACATGATAAAACCCCATCTCTACTAACATACAAAAATTAGCCAGGCATGGTGGTGTACGTCCGTAATCCCAGCTACTCAGGAGGCTGAGGCAGAAGAATCACTTGAACCCAGGAGTCGAAGGTTGCAGTGAGCCGAGATCGCGACAGCGAGACCCCCTGTTGAAAAAAAAAAAAATTATCTGTATAATATTTACAAACGTGACTCTTGTTTGATGCCCTCTTCTTGCTCCCTAGAGAAAAGAGTGTCAGTTGAACCCATCTCTCAGGCAAATCAGATTTAGTAAAACACATTGTACCCATCAGGCAAGTGGCCTGTAATATTTTCCTGGAAGATCTACCTGAAGTCTATGCAGTGATCATCTTCACAATATGTTCTGACATTTCTGAGACTCTTTTATTCATCTATGGCTATAGTTTGAAGAGTATCTCAAAAAAAAGTTTAAAATGCACATCTTTTTCAATAATTAAAATTCACAATTCTTAGTTTCCAGAAGAAAAAAAACTTATAAAAATATTTAAACTCCATTTGATTTCAACCATGATATCTATATATAAATTGATCATGAAAATTTAAACTTCTAATCAAGGGCAGACTAACATTCATTCATTTGTCCAATGAGCAATTGCAGCGGTCTACCAAGTACCAACAAATACTCCCAGAAACTTTGGGGAAATGGGGGAGAACAAGTATATTGACAGGGAAATAATCTGGAAACCAGTGCTCCTGCTGTCTGGGAGTTGAAAATCTCGTTGTACAAATACTCAAACATGAAACACATTTACAAAGCATGATAGAAGTATATAGATGTAGATGTAAAATAGTATTTGTTTACATTTTTCCTTAAATATATTTTGACACACATATCAGATTATAGGTACTGCATGATCCAAATTTTGTTAATAAATATGTATGTGCAGAGAAAATTCCTGCAAGGAAAGGTACCCAAGTGTTACTGGCAGTTCTCTCTGTGTGATAGGATAACGGGTGATTTTTTAGTATCTTCTGTATACTTTATTGTAGTTTGTACATTTCCTAAAACAAACATGTATTTCTCTAATGAAAAGGAAAATTTTTAAATGACCATCTCATAATTGTGAGTTTGATAGCTTTTCTTGCAAAATGTTTTCACTCACTTTTTCTTCCGTTTTGACTTGTTTATCTAACTTCTTTCCACGGAGCATGGAAGATTTCAGCCTTAACAGATCTTTCTTAGCCCTCTCTGTAGTAGTCAAGAAGGCTCATGATTTCTAAGAATGCAGATTTCTTTGCTGTAATGTGCATGTTTTCATTGCTTTACTTCTAGTTGAATATGAAAAAAATAACACAGTCCCTAATTTAATCAAGCTGCAAATGTTTAAATATGAATTAATCTCCTCATACCAGCTAAAGGGCTTTTGTAGATTAGCCTACCTAACAAACTTCAAAATTTAACTCTTAAGTTTGTCATGTAACACCACTGGTCCCACAACTATAATTGTGTGTACCACTAGGGGCTAGGGGGTGATTCTTTTGACTGTGTCTGAGGTTATTAACTTCACAAGGAGAGTCTATGTCTAACTCATTTTTAACCCTGGTTCTGATACCTCTCTCCTGATGGAGAGCATCTAACCTCCTACTCCACATTTGTTTAAGCTTCTGGTAATGTAAACCCAGCATAGTGATGCTCCTAATTTTCTCGGTGTTTATTTCTGTCTATGGTCTCCTGACACTTCCTTTCATGAAAAATATATTACTATTGTGCCAAGGTTTGATGCCTATATTTCTGTTATAATTCTTTGTGCTAATGGTACAGCGGCATCGTGTCTTTATTTTTCAAATTGAATTGGTGGAGGAAAAGAAAATGCAGGTATGGTGAGAGTTTGCTGACCATATTGTCTTGCAGAAAGTTTTTTACCCCAAGTAAATTTCTCATTTGTTTTTTAGAGTTTGTGTTCAATAATTCATCGATTCCCAACAGCAGGGAAGAGTGAGAGATTTATGGTGTATGATTGTGTCATGTCTTGTTTTATCATGTCGATAGATAGAAAATTGACCACAACTACAAAAGCCTATTTATAATTCTATTTGATCACCATGGGAACTCATCAAAACAGAGGGCAGCGCTGAAGTTTCATTAACAGATCATCTCGGATCTCCTGCTGTGTCCTGTCTTCATTTTCTTTTCACATCATCCTTTTGCTTAGAGCTCTAGCTTTAGAGAGGAGGTCAGAGCCGCTGTAATGGCACATTTACCATTCCCCACCATCCCCCAGATTAATATTAAACTGTTAAAAGAAAATGAGAGTTTATTGATTGTTTTAAGCCAGGCATGTTCTAGCAGCGAGCCGCTATTCAGATTCAGCAAGCGGCAATAGATAACTGATTTCAATAAGAAGACAGAGAGGAATGTGGGCTGGGGATCAGAAGGGAGAGAGAACAATGGCCCAGGAATGTTTAATCTTTCTTATGGCACTAATCGTTACTTTTGCAATTTGTGATTGTTTATAGATCATTTCTTTTAAGTCTGGGTACAAGATTGAAAAATCTCAATCTAGACACTTAGATTTCTGCAGGAACAGTGTAGGGTCCTATTTAATGCTGCTGGGGGAAAATAAATGCAATTTTAGACTTGCTCTGTCTTTTTAAAGAAAAACTGCATTGTGCCTGCTTGCCAGTGGGGATACCAGTGTGCACCTATTTTTTTAATTAGCAGGAAAACTTTACAAGGTCACAACAGAGCATATTGTTTGTGGTGTCAGAGAAGCCTGGCTGAACCTCTCTTCCGGTGGTTTTGGTCTTCTCTCCAAATGGCCGGGATGGATGGAGAAAATGAATTCACAGATGGCTGTCTCACTGATCTCTTCTTTGTTTGCCAATATTGTGGCTGCCAAATTTACTGTGATGCAGAGGTATCTTGAGTAACTTTACAAGAGGCTCTTAAACCAAAAAAGTGTCCATGGATCAGAGAAATGGCTTTTATCTATAAGCCTTGTCATCTCCTCTCGCAATAATCTTCATATAAGTAATCATCTCATCATATATAGATCAATCAGCCTTGTTAATGCTCTGATCTCAGCTCTCACTTTTCAATGCAGCCCTCGTGACTAGGAACTATTTTCTTTGTAATTTGAGGTTTTGATTTAGTGGTCACATTAGTCTTGTCAGTTTGTAGCAGCATACCATGATGTTATTCATAACCAGTGATAGTATTATCTGCTATAAAGTTGCACTGTAAATCAGGAATAGTTGTCAACTTAAATATTTATGCATGTCTAGGGAAAGTAATTGTTAGGCAGACACCCTTTGCTGTAAAACACCAACACCCCAGTTCTGATGTGTTCGGAAAAAGAAAGAAATAAAAATTAAAAAAAAAAAAAAAAAAAAAAACGAGAGAGATGGAGCAAGAGGGCAAGAGACTGTGTAAAGTTAGCAGCACTGCTAAAATATTAGGATTAGAAGTTATTCGGATGTGTCAAAAAGCATCTTTGTTCTGTGGGTTAAGCAGTAAGCTCTCGGAGTTTGCCATTTGAGAGCTCCTTTGTGAGTTGGCTTTTTGGTCTTTGCTGTCACTGGTTCTGAAGGTTGAAGAGAAGAGCAGTGTCAGAAAGCTGATTGGTAGCACAGAATTTTCTGAGACAATCTGAATCACATATTCAGCTACTTTGCCACAGTGGATTAAGATGATCTAAAGGGGCTTTGTGAGCTCGATAAAAATCAGGCAGGAGAGTGTATGCTGGGAGAAATTCTACCCTTTTTGTCCTTCCAAGTTAATTGTTAAAGTTTTCTCTCTGCTGTCTGTAGAATTTTTCAAGCTCAAGTCCATTGTTTTTAAATAATGTATGTAAATTTTTGAAAACATGCAAATTGGGGAGAAGATTTTTTTTTTAACCTAAAGACTGCTTGTCTTGTCATTTCTCTTGTATATGATTGGTTCTGTCAAGTCTGACAAAGCTTTATTTAATTTCCACTCGAGATACTTGATCTTTATGATGTATTTTCTGCTTCATGCAAATTTATCACAAGACTAAAAGGTGAAAGAAAAAGTAGTGGCTTTCTTGTGTGGCTTTCTTGTGTCACTCGCTCTTCTTTAGTGGCATTGAAGACTTTCTTGTACCAATTCTATTAAAAATTATACATGAGTTCATAATATTTGCATAATTTATTAACACACTGATCAAAATGTGCCTTTTGCCATTGAAAATGTGAACATACTCCTTGAATATTGACTAAAATCTCATAACTTTTGGCAAACGAGCCATGAAACATATGTTCAGAAGTATGGCATGCAAAAGTAAATGGCATGAAATACCTTTATTTATATATTTATATTTTTGGCAGGGGCACTACACACATTTTGAACCCAAACTTGAAGCGTTAGAGTTATGCCTGTGTAGTGAGCAACACAGCACATTGCCTTTCTCATTTGGCCAGCCATTGGGTATGATGACACAAGTCAGAACCATGCCTTGGGATTTTCCTAGTGTCCTTCCCTTATCCTCAGCATAAGTCACATATCTGTTTTCATTTTCTTCACAGCATCACTTTGAGGTAGGTTTAGGAGAGGTAGTGTCATCTTTATTTCATACATGAGGACACTGAGGAATGAGCATTAGGTATCTTGCCAGAGGTCACAGAGCTAGGTACACAGATACAAGCGGAACCCGGGGCTTCTCCATCCCAGCCTAGGGTTCTGTTAGATACTGCCGTTTTTGCATCATGGATTTAAGTAACCAGATTTAGTTCCATGTTTTCTTTAAAAAAAGAAAATGCTAATCAAGAATAAAGATGAGGCCGGATGTGGTGGCTCATGCCTGTAATCCCAGCACTTTGAGAGGCAGAGGCGGGCGGATCACAAGGTCAGGGGTTTGAGACCAGCCTCACCAACATGGTGAAACCTCGTCTTTACTAAAAATACAAAATTTATCCAGGTGTGGTGGCGGGCACCTGTAATCCCAGCTACTTGGGAGGCTGAGGCAGGAGAATCGCTTGAAACCGGAAGGTGGAGGTTGCAATGAGCTGAGATTGCACCACCACACTCCAGCCTGGGCAACAAGAGTGAAACTCCATCTCAAAAAAAAAAAAAAAGAAAGAAAGAAAAAAGATGAGCGAATAGGACAAAACCACAATGACTAAGAACTGAGAAATGTCGAGAGTTGGTAAGTGCCTGAAATGGAAAGGGTGGATTTCTAAGGGCAGTTGTTCAGGGTACCTGATACTTAGTTCCTCAAAATCACCAAAAACTCTGTGAAGCTGCAGGTTCCTGGTTCCACTCTTGACTACTAAATGATATCCTCTGGGGGTGGGATTCCAGAATTGCATATTAACAAGCACAACAGATTTTCCTTGAGTACATTAAAGTCCACAGGCTCTGTGTAGTAATACCTAATTCATCAAAATAAAGGAAAATCTGTAATCAATGAAATATGGTCTAATAGCATTTTAGAGCATAATAAGAATGATAGAGTTACTGTCTCTGGTTTGCATTGGATTATTTAAAGCAATAGCTAAATTATCTCTAAATAGACAGATTAAGTATCTGCATAAAAGCAGCTCTAGGAAAACGATTCACTGAAGCCCTGTACCCTCCAAGAGCATGTGTTCCTAAGGCTTTACAGCAGAGAGGAGCTGCCTCTGGTGGGTTGCCTTCCAGCCTGGCAAAATGGAGCTGCCACTTGACCGAGTAATTCAAGGACTCTCTCTGTCACAGTGCTTCTGAGCTTGCTGCCATGGTCTTGTCATCCTGTGTGCCTAATGATAATCACACATTTGAGTGTCAATTTTGACAATTCAAAAATGAGAAGAGCTAGAGCACCTCTGTGGTTTCATCTAGGCCCAAGCCATGAAGCACTACATGAGTGCATGCGTCTCACATGTTCCTTCAACAGACCTTCATTGAGGGCCGTCACACCATGGGAGCTGGAAGCACAGCAGTAATGAAGAAAGAGAAGTTAATGCCTCTTGAAATGTATGTCTTTGCAAGGGGAGCTAGGTCAAAAGATAATTATATATGTGCTTAGTGCCGTGGATGAAAGGTGCAAGTGCTGTTAGAGCATCTAACAGGAAAAGTTAATCTAGTCTTGGGGTTCTCTGAGAAAACGAGGGGTCTGCTGAGGCCTGAAGGACAGGCAGAATTTAGCCAGGCAAAATTGGGACTGGAAGGCCATCCTGATTTTCCATTTATTAAAAAGGAAGGAGGGAAGGGATGTGACAAAAATACCTAGGCTATGTTCATTGTTTTACTCATCATATATGGAACATGATATCATATGTACAAAGGAGTAGGGGAAATGCCATCTATAAGAATAATCCATTACACTTAGCTTAACCTTTTCTTACATTTTCTTAAATTTATTTAAGACCCATTTTCTCTCCAGCCTTAGAATGTGTGTATATTTGCCATTATTTTATCTAGTAAATGGATGTCTGCGTAGATGACTGGTCAATCAATTGATCAAAATAATGTAGTCATAGTTCTGCCTCCTAGTATCTATATAATTCATAACATATATGAGTAACGATGAAATTATAGAAATAAGATTCATGCACTCATGTGATCTCATAGTCCTTCATGGCTTGGGCCTGGATAAAACATAGGTATCTTACCACAGCAGTGCTCTAGCTCTTTTTGTTTTCAAATTGTCCAAGTTGAATAGTCCATCAAAACTGTGTTCCCTTCTTACCAGATGTCTCCTGGAACAACTTTGAAAATGCCTTTGTTTGTGGTCTTTGGTGCCTGTGAGCTAGCAGGGCAGTACTCATTGCCACTTAACCATTTGCTCACACGTTAGCAATTCTTCAGCACTCACGAAGAGATTTGAGTGGGTCCTTATTTATAACATTTTTTTTTTACCTCTGTGGATCCAGAAACTCCCCCAGAGGTATAGAGTAATCAGCAGCAATGACTCAGGCAGCAAAGATTATTGTTCATGTGCCTACATTGTGGTAGCAACAAGGAGATAGTGTTTCACAGTAGGAGCTGTCTTGTAGTATCAGCTGTCCTTGAAGTAATGGGTTTCAATACTTTTGAAACAAAAGTGCTGTTGATCAAAATGATGTGAAAGTCAGGTATATTATTTTCTCATGGAAGCAATGTTTATGTCCTTAGGCTCAACTGTGTGATATGAATGACCACACACTAACTTGCTTAATGAACTAGATAGTCTAAGTATCCTCAGAGCATAAATCCTTCCAGAATGCACCAAATGGCATAGCACAGTAAGCAATTTCATACACTTACTCAGTTTATTACATCTTCTTACTCTCTCTCTCTCTCTCTCTCTATATATATATATATATAGCCACATGATGAAGAAACACCTGTATCATCATGAAAAGAAGGCTTCTTTAGTAATATTTTTGACCAGCATCTTCGAAGTGTATTAGGATCACTTGATCACTCTTTGATATACTTATGCTGCCTTCTGTTTCTTACTGTATTGTCCCCATAGCAAACAAAAGCGGTTATGATCTAGTTGTTAGTCATTCTGTTGTATTTAGAAATGGCAGGTCTTTATTCTTTCCTGAACTATCATCTCATTAACACCAATTGTTTCACCTTGAACCAATTTGATTTTAAATGCATGAAACAACTGCTATTTACACTGAAATTTTTACCCTCTGACTCGGCATCACTTTGTTATTTCACAATGTCAAGGATGCCTCCCAGTTGTGGCTTAAGTAGTAGCCAGATTTGAAGCATTCAGGGGTGACTCAGTCCTGAATCACAAAATCTCCCACCATTCCATCCCAGGTCACATCTTGCATGTTCCCGTATATAGTTGGTTTCAGCTGCTTTTTCCTTCCATTGATAATATTTTTAATTCTAGAGCTCATATACTCAGATAAACATGTAAACCTATAGATACATAGTCACTCAAATGGCAGGCCCATTGTATAGAACATCTTACTAACTCTTGAAATTACCTCGAAAAATAATTGCCCATCTTCATAACAAAGATGGATTTGTTAATTTATAGTCACTGAACACCCTTCCTTGGTGATAACCTATTTAACCTCCCCTGCTACCCTTTCTTCTCTCTCACCCCTCTCCGTTTGATTTTGCCCCCAGGTTACAAGAAAGGCTTAGAACTCTGTAAAGCAGAGAAGGGAACAGATCGAGACTAGCAGCCTGTGGGACCCTTTTGCTGAACCCACCAGGAAGCAAAGTTACTGAGATGAATTTATCTATAAGGGGCTGTCTGCCCACTACAGGAACAGAAGCTGCTATCATGGGTGTGACCAGCTTTGTGTTGTGAATGTAAATCATTCCATTTCAAATTGCTACAAGCTGACTTTAGGTCCATTGAAAACTTAGGTCCAAATAATAGTCCTGCATATACACAAAAGTATAGTCTTCCAATTGTGTCACTTTTTGAAAATAACTTGGGCATGTACCATTTACATCCCTAACCTATTTAATGTTTTAAAACATTTTTCACAGAAAACTTGTTTAACATTAAACTCCTAGAAAGGAAGGCTTTATGGAAATCTAAGAAAAAGTGTCTAAAAATAATCTTTGAAGGCCCAATTTATAGAATTCCAAGTCAATATAAACATACATTTTCTGCTTGCTAATGAACTGCCATAGTTTGGCTTACAGGGACAGCACAAAAAGTATTTCTATCCTCTGGACTGGCATAGAGTTGAACACATCCCAGTGCGTGTGTGAAGCCAGGCTCAGAGGGCAGTGATGTCCTCACATCTCTCCCCTGGGTATGGGAAGACAGCCTGCTCTCCTTTTTAGTGGTCGTTTGGCTAAACCACTGTCATTTAGCCTCATAGTCCATCATCACCAGTGAAGCCCTCCAGAATCTCACTTGCCATTGTCTCTATTCTAAATTTACTCTAGTTTGTCAATGTCCCATTGGTGCTGAGGAGCACAGTGTGGCCTTGTGCTGCCCCCCAGAATTCTAGATGAACAGCAGCGAATTGTGAGGGTCCTTGCCTTGCAGTTTTCCTCTGTTGAGGAACTCATCCTGTGAAAGTACCCGTTTCCCAAGAACTTACCATTGGGAGGTAGAGGGAAGCACCCTATACAGGCAATAACTCAAATTTGAGTTCATTCTAACCAAAACTGGCCTTTGTTTCCATTCTTTAAAGGAACCCACAATGCCCTATAGGTTATGTATTCATTCAAATGACAATCCCAGTATACAAAACTTGATTGTCTCTCTGTCCATGCACCTCCTGTCCTAAATGAAGTGGACAGTTAACACCTGTTCTCAAATACTCACATGGGGCTGTTTAACTGAAATAAGGCACTTACAGCAGCTGGCCAGATGTCTTCACCTCAAAAAGACGGTTTCACCCTGCCCGTTGACAAAACTGGCTCAAGAGACATGACGCTGGAAACCAGCATAGTTACACCATCGAGGGTTGCACAGGGCTGAAAGCCCTTCAAAATCTGACTTAGTATGTCTGGGATGCCAACAGTACGGTACTGTAACAAATGTATAAAAGATGCTATTCCCATCTCATGTCACAAAATGGACACTTACTTTTATTGTAGAACTCGGCTATTAATATTTTATCATAGATTGTTTTATATACTCCATTGTAAGTTGGTTATTGTGTCGGATGCATACTTTGAAACTTAACTTTTTTAGTTCCTACATAAGGAAGGCTTCATGAGGTGGAAGAAGTGAGCTGAATTTTACTAATTTGGTAAGCAATAAGAAGGAAGAAAGGCCAAAAAGGAGAATAGGCAGGGAAGGGGAATAGGGTATGAAGAAGACAAGCTAAATCAGAAAACTCTAAGAAACAGACTGCATATAATAAAGGAAATGATGAATACAGCACTGGGGATGACAACAGAAATAATGAAGTCATCACAGTGGGTTGGCTGCAGAGAGAGAAACCAAGTTTGACCAGAGTGGTTGTAGTGTGGAAGGCAGGAAGGGCCAGGGAAGAGGTCTTTAAAGAATATATTTTCTGGCAAAGGTCAAGCCACCCAACCAATAGCTTTCAGACTTTAACAGGAGAGGAATATCCTGGGATTCCTGTTTAGAATACAGATTCCCTGGCCCCGTCCCAGGACAGTCTGATTTAGTGCCTTAAATGGGACCAGGAGGATGTGTTTTTAAGAAGGTCGACTGATTCTGCATTTTGTACAGACACAGGCAATACTCAGACCTCACTTCGAGAAAACTCTATAAGGAAAGCAAAGAAAATCTTGCGCATTGTAACAGCAGCAACTTATTAGAAGAGAACAGAGGTTGCTTGTAGGTAAGGAATATGCTACCTTAACGCAAGCAGGAAACAAGGCAGATTGACATAGAATTATTGCTGCACAGACAGACAGGATGTTTGAGATGCTGCAGGGATAGTGGGGCAAGAGAAAAGATTTCTTAAGTTTATTTCCCAGATGTAAATCAGCCTTTGCCCTTTGTAGCTAGAGACATCCCTCACCCCAATTGAAGAAAAAAAAACCCTCAAAGAAACCTATGAAAATAATTAAGCATGATAATTCTGGATTATCCTTAATTAGAGGGAAGCTCTAGTGAGCTCCGAGCTTTGGAGGGTCATCATACATTTGTTGCAAGTGATCTGTCACTGTTCCACGTGCACATTATTCATCCCTTCACCTCTGATCTTCCCCTCCTCTGAGCACAGCCCTCTGCAAGGACCCTGCACTTAGGCTGCAGAATAAAAGACATCCCCTCACACAGCTCCTGCTGCCACTGTAGATGACATGTCTCTTCTGGGGGCTCTAAGATGGAGAAAATCTTTTCCTCTCTCTCTCTCTCTCTCTCTCATTCTGTGCTGACTCCTTGGTGCCAGGCCCATGCCTCTGCCAGGAGCAGCAGCCTATCTCTCGTGGTGAGCCCCTCAAAGGACTTGGGTCCTTGTTGCAGGAGCAGGAGCAGGACCCAGGCCAGAACCGACAGACTTGAAGCAGTTCTGATGCCCATTGTAGGTCTGAGGATTCCAGCCACATGGAACAAGAAGAGGGAAAGCAAGGGAGGAAGGAAGGGAGGCTTGGCAAGAGAAAAGGAAAAAGCCAGATCAAACACAAAGGGAAGAAAGGAGCCAGACAAAGACTGCGGTCATCCCCTCTTCTTCTAAGAAAGACAGGTCAACAACCATCTCTCTGCCTCTTTGAGACTTTGTTCACAAGGCCCGTGCAGAAATCATCACACCTCCTACAACTTAGGCTGTGAAGCCTTTTTCGCGCCATGCAGTGCCATCTTCCTTTCTCCCGCCAAAGTGCTGCACTCTGCCTTTGTACGGGGACGTGCCACTCTGCATCAGTTAGTTGGTTGTATGTCCACTTTTCAGTTAGCACAGATCTGTCTTCTTCCTGGTACCCCGATCATACATAGGACATCACTGTTCATAGGCTAGGTGGGTAATAAGTACTTACTGAGTTTTCAAAGTTAAATCATTCTTTTCTCCCTGGATCCAGTTCCTTAAGTTGTTTAGCTTTATATTAAGGAAGTCCCTGAAGACTCTCTTTTAGGTTAGGGAAATTGAAATGCATTTTAAATAAGCACCATCTCAACTGATATAAGATAATTAGAATACAAATTATATATTAAAAAAACCCACAAGTATATAGCTTTGAGGTCAGAGCTGGGTCTGTAGTCCAGCTCTGTCACTAATTCCTTGGTGAAAGTCAGGAGACTTGTACCTTTTCTCTATACCTCTGTTTCCTCTATTTGTACATTAAGGATAATAATACCCCCTTTCTATAAGGTCATTATGAAGAGGAAAAAAACTGATATAAAAGTACCTGATAGACGTAAATGCTCAATACATGTTAGTTTGGTTTGTTTCCTTCCCTTTTAATTTTGGAGTAGGCCACTTTTGGTGGCTTATTTTTCTTTTCCTAGAAATAACATTTCTAGTGGGCAAAAATATTAAGTAGCACCCAGCGTTTCCATTAATAACATTAACAACATGTTAAAGTTTAAAAATGATAAGGCTTAGCATGGCAGCCTGCTACCCATACAACCAGTCATGAGGTGTTCCACATCCCAGCCCTGCCTTTTATTTCATTTTGATTTGTTTATTAATCATCAGCTGAGATTTTTGACAAATACGGTTAAAAATCAAAAGCTGTGCTTTGGAGACATTCATGCTACTTTTACTTGTATTAAATTTGCAAGGAAAATTTATGTGTAAGTAAATATGAAAACTGTGAGTCACTGTGAATATTTGTATGTATTCTCATAAAATTATCTTGGCATCCTTATATTTTGTTGTAATGGGTGTCAAGGACTTCTCTTTGCTCTAAATGGGAATATTTACTGATTAAGAGCTTGCTGTTGCATTCTCCTCTGCTATAACCTGAGGAAACAGCACCTTTTCACCTTTGAAACCAGCGTTTCCATATTACTCATGCCAGTCTTTTCTCACTAATTTTATGATTATAATGAGGCAGTGGTGCACTAGTTAGCACAGATGACCTTCTAATTGAAAGACTGTAAATTCAATCTCCATCTCTGGGCACCGACAGAAATTTAAATAAATATAGCTCCTAAAACCCTTGTGATGGGCTGGCCTAGTGACCAGGGGCTCGCAGAGCCCAAGTCATATGTCACAGGGGACCGCCGGCAACTTCTGGGTGTTAACTACAGGAGTCGTTAAAAGTAGGTTGCCCTCACGAAGCAAAACGAGATGAGGGACTTTTCCTTGGCTCTGATTCAGGCGCCATGCCTTGGTTCTCTGTAACATATGCTGAGTTGCTTTTTTGTCAAACTGCTTCCTAAAACTGGAGTCCGAACACGAGGGGAAGCTCCATTCTCAAATTGGACTTAAGCAGACCAGAAAAGTCTTATCTACCAGGCCACCTTTTGTCCACTGCCATTTATAGATTTAGATGCAATAAGCTGTCCAGGGCTATGTTGACATCATCCCCTTGCTTGCTGTATTCACCCCCATTTCTCACCCCCGTGACCTTGGACAGCAATCCAATTTAGGTTTCCAAAGTGAACTGCCCTGAGGATCAAGATGGGTGTGAAAAGCTGTTTTAATGGTCAGTCCGAGGAAGGAATCCATGGAGCTGTAATGCTGGCAACATTTGTACCAAATAATGGAGCACTTGCCCTTGGCATATTTTTGACCTTCCATTTTGCCTTTAACACTGTTACTTGTGTGTACATGTCTCTTATCGTGAGCCACCTTGAATCTCTTTGGGAAGCAAGTTGCATATAATTTTTTAACTAACTAGCTGCTTTAAAGTAGGTCCCTGGACCTTGCCAACAGCTACCTAAAAATGGCCCCGTATTGCTGACAATGCCTTAAAGCTGACTCTTGGGTTGTCAGCATGGTGCGTCTTTATCCTGTGTATATCACAGAAACACAATGGAAATTTCCCATTGCCTTTAAAGTTCTGCATTCTGTATATTTGGTTGTTAGACAAATAGAGCAAGCTTTGCCGACTTCATTTTCATTCTTGGCAGCATGTTTTTATCATAAGGCAGATAGTCATTAATTTACAGAATCAACGCTGGGAACAGCTTTTGTGATCTCATATTAAATTTTCCCCTGAATCCGCCCCTTGGCAAAAATTACTCACATCGTTAAAAAATATTTAATTAGGCTGTAGTTTATACCCAGCTCACTGGGGAAATGTTGGAATTAATATGATTTGCATGAATTCTGTTTCTCTCTTTCTGTCAGAGATTAGTTTTGAATTCAGTTCAGAGGGTCGTTGACACTGCCAAGGACTCACAATCGTGAAGGTCAAACAGGTAGCAAATACTTCCCTTGGGTAGGTTCCCTGAAAAGACAGCTCAAAATTGCTTTTAATTATGGGTTACCTGAAAGGCCACTTGCTGTTTTTATTTTTCTACAGATCCCTGAAACACTGCATGATTGGAAGTTTTAGGTAAACCATTTTATTCCTAACTAAAACAGGCCCGTTATTGTGTAGAAATAGATGTGCCTAAAGGTGTGGTCCCCAAATGATTTTCCTCGTAACTCACTGATTTCTGTGGTTTGTTCACAAAAGAGAAAGTCTCCCCACCTTGAACTGGGATGTAGAGATGCTGGATAAAGGCAGTCTTATAAGACAGCCAGCAGTGAGTAAATTTTCTACATAGTAATGCATCTGCTTGCTTAATTATCTTTCAAAAGATAAGATACAATGTTTAGTTATGCATTTCCTTGTTTATTCTTCCATGGGTTAGGAACAAAACCTTAGGGAATCCACAATCCTGTGCCATTTTTTTTTTTCAAAAGAAAATTTAATGGAATATTTAATTAATAATCTAATCAATCAATTAATCTCAGTTACATAAGTGTTGAAATCTAATTCTTTTTCACAGCTATATCAATAAAAGAAGTGAAATGGCTGCCCACTTATCAGGATAATAGGAAGCCATTGCAGACACAAAGAAGAATTGAAATTGTATTAATTCTGCTGCACTGGTTCTGATTTGCCAGTGTTAACAAAGTCTTTCCATTTTAGACAAGTTTCGGTTCACCTGCTGGGACCACCAGGTAGATATTTTATGTCCTAACCTTTTCCAGTGGTGAAAAAAAGTGACGATTAGATTTTTTTAAAGAAAAATTCCCAAAAATTTAGGCTCTGCAGCTCTAAGTAAAGACGCATTCCAAATAATAAAAGGGCATTTAACCTCTTTAGACATTACCTTTGTCTTTATTGTTAAGTTTAAAAATTATAAACCATCTGCCTTCAAAGCATGTATAGACCACACCATGCTGCTGACTAGCCAACTGTTGGTGCATAAATATTTATATCCCAAGTGATTTCTATGGGGCTTCTTTCAACACTGGAAAGGTGAGCTGCAGTTTGACCCTCACTTCAAAAAATCCCGAGTCAAGTCACTCACAGGGAGTGGATGCCAGGTGTATCTATTGCAATCATAGTTTTATTTGATGACACTGCTCATGAAGATCACCACGTGTTCCTGATTACAAAGTGTTCTAAATTGGAGGAAACTTAAAATGGGAGAAAGGAGGAAGGCTAGAACTTTCTGAATACATATACCCTGCTGGACACTGCTATAGGTGATTTACACACACGATCTCATTCAATCTTCAGAACACCCTGCAAGGTGGATGTAACTGCCTCCACTGTACGGATGAGGAAGATAAAGTTCAAAGAAGCAGAGTAGATAGATCTTTTCAGTTCAGCCCCTTCCTTTTATACATGAACCTGGAGGGAATAATACCCACCTAATCAACACAGGGAGGTAATCTCAAAGCTGAGACTAGAACCCAGTTCTCCTAACTACCTGCATAGCCCTCAGGCATGTGTCTGCATTTTCCCAAATACACCCTGTGACCAGCTCAAGCTGACAAAAGTATTAAATAAAAACTAGCCCAACTTTTTCTCTATATACCTTTGGCTCTTTTTTTTTTTTTTTTTTTTTTTTAACAGCAAGTGAACTCTTTTGCTTTTCCCAGATAAATCCAAGCATGCATGTGGCTTTGTGAAATCTTTTAACACAACAGGGCAATGTACATCCAGCTAACTGGCAGAAGGCAATTCATATAAAAACTTAACAGCACTTTTCTACTATTCTTGCCTGAATATATGAAAAACAAAATATATGACTGTAAGAGAATGGGTGAGAGAGAACAGTGTTTACATTACCGGAAATTTTACAAATGCACGTAGCACTAGGGATATTAACTCAGCTTGGAAAAAGGAAGTGGATGACTCAGGAAGCCCAAAGAATCCTTTTCCATTTAGTTTTCTTCATTGTTGTTTGCTTTCGCCTTGTTGTTGTTTTGGGTTTTTTGTTTTGTTTCGTTTCTCCTGTAGTGGCCTTTTTGAAGAGTACAAGACTGCAAGAACTTGTACCCCCTCATATCTCTTCAAGGTAGTAAATCTCAATATTTCATCCCATAGTCTCAAAAAACCACAAAGTTGGGTAAAAGTCATACCGTTTGCATCAAGTTTTCTATCTATTTGCAAACAAACATCCTCTTTTCCTTCACTCTGAGCAGAAATAAATTATGGGAATAACTCTTGAGGCCATAGTCTAAATAGGGACATTCTGAGGCCACCAGTTTTCTCACTTGGTGGTTGTGCCCCACCGCATTACCAGATGCCTCTCTTGTCTCTATTCCTACTGCTGTGCTACTGAAGCAAAAAATAAGTTTAGTATCGAATTTCTGTTCAGTCAGACTTTCCACAACTAGACCTACTTGAAAAGCATTGTGTTTGAGGTACACTGCAAACAGAAGACTAGTAGTTTGGGGACTTTCTTAATGATTGGCACAATTAAGTACTGTGCTAACTGTGTGGCATGTATTGGTTTCTCTTATCAATTGTAATTCAGGGCAAGGAGTCCACGTGGGTAATGATTGTTGTTGTTCTTATTATTACAGCTGCCAGTTATTAGCTGCCTAACATATGCCAGTCACATTATTCATCTTATTTAATTCTCTCAACAACCCAAGAGTAAGTTGTAAAAGTCTCATTTTACAGATGAGAAGATGGAGGCTTACAGTTAGAAAGTAGGAGAGCTGAGATTCCAACTCTGGCCTTTTCAACTCCAAGGTCAAAATGCACCCTTCCTTCAACCAAAGCAATGTCTGAAACAAAGATCACTGGAATGTGACACAGACTGATTTCTTCTTTTTAAAATTTTTTAATTGAAATTGTGTGTATTTGAGGTGTATAGCATGATGTTTTGATATACATATTCATAATGAACTTAGTGAACTGAGGTTACTCTAGTCCAGCTAGAGTTTACATCTCTTTTCACAGTTACCTTTCTTTGGTGGTGAGAGCACTTAAGATCTACTCTTTGCAAATTTTAAATATACAATACAGTATTATTAACTGTAGTCTCCATGCTGTACATTAGATCTCTAGAACTTATTCTGTGTATCTAAAACTTTGTACACCCTAACCAAAATCTCCCATTTCCTTCACTTCCTCACCCATTATCCAAAGAAAATGAAATTAGTATGTCAAAGAGATATCTGCCCTTTCGTGTTCATTGCAGCCTTATTCACAGTAGCCAAGATACGGAATCAACCTAAGGGTTCATCAGTAGATGAATGGATAATGAAACACACACACAGAGGAATATTATTTGCCCTTAAAAAGGTAGATCCTGCCATTTGTAATGCCAATGAACATGGAGGACATCGCGCTAAGTGAAATAACAGCAGACACAGAAAGACAAATACTTCTATGTGAAAGCTACAAAAGTCAAATTCATAGAAACAGACTGATTTATAGCCTTGATTGTGCATCTGATGCAGCTGTGAGACTGTAACAAGCCCCTAAAGTTCTGAATCTCAGGTCTTTAGTCTGACATACAAATGATAACAACACAGGGTCCCAGAGAGGAGAGAGGCCACATACAGAAAAGCCTTCTAAGGTCATCAGTTTAATCAAACCAACAAGCATTTATTGAGCACAGTGCTAGGTGTCTTGGGAACTATAATGATGAATAGGATATCATCCCAGACATAAAGAAGCCTGAATTCTAGAAAAGACTTTAATATGAGTATACAGTTAACTAAGTAGAAAGTGTAGTTTCTTAAGTTCCTGGAAGAAGTCATTTCCATTTCCTCTCCAACTATGACATTTTTGATACTGAAGGAAAAAGGACAGATGAAAATTGATTAGAGAAAGTTTTCCTACAGCATGTGTGAGATTGCTTTAATAAAGAGGGGAAGAGGAAGCGGGAGTCAGGCTCTCTTTCCACTTTACTATTAATACTTCCCTAGACCCGGTTGCTGGTGACTCAACACTATGCTGGCTGCCCTTGGCAGGAGTAGTCCTCATGGATTTATTTTTCACATAAAATTGTTCAAATACACAGGCATTAATTATGCAGATTATGTAAAAAAAAAAAAGATAATTGTGTTACTCTTGCAGTGGGAGTGGGGTGCGTTGCAGTCAGTGGATAACATCTAGTTCTAGGTGAGGGATGTCAAATTGACTGCAGGAAGCGATAGAAATGCCAACTCTTCCAAGTAAATATCGCCACTTACTCCAAGCGCACGCTCCTCGAAGCTCCTACAAATCTTAGGTGTCGATTTTCTGGGATGCCAGCCACACTCCTTTCCCGCCTCTCAGCCCGAAAGGGCAGCAAGCCTTGCCCAAGCTCTTTCTGCTATGGTTTCTTTCACCTTTGTGGCTGCCACTCTTATAATAAGTAGACACTGTAGAAATTGAGGGGAACTGTTTATGTGCTTAGAAGACTTTATAGATGTTTCCTAATTCATTCTCCTCATCAGAGGAAGCAAAGATTGCCTCTTCAAGACAACAAGTTAAAAACTGGAGAGACAGAAAAGGTACAGTGACTTATCCAGCCTCATTTCAAGAATCAGTGGTGAAGACAGATAGAGGAGAAACAAGAACAGACTTTTGTTTCCCAGGCTAACATTTAAGCCAGTAGTTTATATTATGACTTTTTATATTAATAGTGTCACCTTAACTTAGTTGGTCTGTTTCTATCTTTTTCTTCTGTTTTGAAAACTGATTTCACATATCCCCCGAGGTAATGCAGTATACCAGCAAGTCTAACACAGTGGTTCTCCCTCTACTTCCATCAATAAAACACGTTCTTTAAGCTAAACCTTTGGGAATGACCAAAACCAAATAAAACACACCAGTATAGAGCTGCTCTAGTTGGAAAGTGAGAGAGAGAGGCCTCAGAGGTATCCCAGGGACTCCTTAACCTGGAGCCCATAGGTAGGCTCATGTCATCTATAATTTCCTCAAATGACTTGCAATGTCAGGGGGAGGATGGGGAAGGAAACCACACTGTTCATTAGAGATGCAAAGACTCTGTGATCCCTGTGGATCAAAGGCAGCTGTCTTTTGGTTCAGCATGAGACCCATCTTCATCCCCCACTAATAGTGTATTAATAATGCTCCTGAATCAAGTTGAAGTGGTTTTGAGTTTCTAATGGCTATGCCGTACGTTTGATTCTAAATCTCAAAAGATCAGATTCAACAGCCCAACTATGGGCTCCTGTTAATATAATGAATAGGTAGGCATAATAGATAAGCTGCCATATTACTCTGGGACCCCAAATAATTAGCAAACCCTTCTGAATCACCTCATTTCTCAATACAATTTCAATGCCGTTTTTTCACTTACTTGCTCATTCGTTCAATTAACACATAGAACATTTTCTATGCACCAAGGTTTGTAGAAATGAATTAGATATGGCTGCTGCCCTGAAGAAGCTTACAGTCAAGTGAATGAATATACACTTACACTTAATATACGCCAGGTTTCCTTTGTTTTACACATTGTATGCATTACCTCATTTAATTTTGACCACAGGAAGGTAGATGCCATTATTATCTTTACTTTATAACAGAGGAAACGCCAGAGTAACTTGCCCAAAGTGGGTAATGGTTTCATTCCCAAGCCATTTGCCTCTAGAGTCTACGTTAATGACCAGTGCCTTCTATTAGGAACATGTAAGAGCGTTAGAAAATCTCCCAGGACATAGCTCATTGTGTCTATACAATTAGCCATGAAACTGGACCTGACTGTCCCAGAACCCAACCAAATATTCTAGTCCAACAAATGTACCTTGTTTGTCTGGCTATCCTGGGAAGTCCCTTTTAGCAAACAGAGCAAGAACTTATTAGCCTCAAAGACAGAACTTCATTTCTAAATGACACAATTAAAACTAGAACAAGAGACTTAATAATAATTGTATACAGTCAGCCAAAGCCATTAGATTGTAAGGAAGGGCTGACTGTCAATTCTACTAATAGTTTACTAGAAACCATACCTTTAATAATCTCTATTTCATCTAAGGAAGCAAAAAAAAAAGTAGCATTAGAGTGATAATGACTCATTAGTGACTTGAAATTGGGATTCTGTTGCTTTGTTTTGTGTTGTGCTTAGGTAGTGCTGTTCAGACAATAGAATACATCTCAGAAAAATCAAAGGATGGTCAATGGTAGAAACAAAAAGAATCCCCAGGTATAAAGGAACCAAATGGACTTCGCTAAATGAAAACCCCTGAGCATTTTGCATGAAGAATATGTAATCACCCCAGCGCCCCCCAGGACCACTCTCCTGAGGCTCACAAAGGGTTGGTTGTTCCACATGGAAGAAATGCATGAGAACAGTAAAGTGTATGCATATCACAAGAGGGACAGACTTTCTAGCCTGAGGTCTAGAATGAAAAAATGTTAAGGTAAAAAGGCAGAAATGAATACCTGGGTGCTAATAAAAATGGACAGTTTGCCCATTGCTTCGGTGATGCCAAATGGATGAGCTAAGAAAACCTGCTGTGTTCTCTCATGAAGTCCCCGATCCCCATTAAGGAAAATGGGTATGAGCTAATCATCTCTAACAACTAAGTCTGCCATGTCCAAGCCATCTCCATCAGTTCCTTCTCCAGCTTTTATTTCTCATAACTCATTTCTAAACTGAAACTGTTATTCCTGAGGCTTCCTTGTTCTTTTATGGATAAAGAAAGAGCTGCAGTTGAGTCTTCACAAAAGTTGCCCGTAAATCCCTGAGTCATCCTTGTTTTGATTTTGTTTTGTGTTTTTCTATCCCTCTTGGTATGGATTGCATGAAATTTTCCATTTGCAAAAGGGTTTAATCAACAGTAAATGTTTTGAATCAGATTAAAAACACAAATACTTTAAGAGCTATGTATTTATTCTGTCCCGCTAGATGCAGTCATTTTATCTTGTTGTTCTGGAGGGCAACGCAAAGCCATAGATGCTCTAATGAATTCCTTGCAACAGGCAGGTACACTGATGGTTAATAGTAATTAACGTTTATCTTAAAATATCCCGGGTTCTTCTGCAGAATTCTTCCCCTGCTCCTTGACACATCAAAAATGGGAAATCATCTATGAGACTGTTTTATTCGTCTCTGTTTTCGGACAGCACATTTACATACTCTCGAAGGCAATCAATACCAGCAAGCCCAGGACTTCCAAGAGTCCTTAATTATACACCTAAGAATGCATATGTATTCACATGTAATACTTGTGTTTCTTCAGTGTTTCCCCCACCTTTTTAGCTGATATGTGTTAAGAGTCTTTCTTTGAAAGCGAAGAGTAAAATAAAGAGAATAACAAGAAAATACACAATGTGTTGTTAAATGTGATGGCAAAATAATTTTTTTTAAAAAGAAGCTTCAGTCAGTATGATCAGTAAAAGGAAAAAAAAAAAAAAAAAGACAGCCGGCAAACTGTCTATCATGTGATGAAATTTGACAGTAGGGATTATGGCTTTGATGGACCAGAACAGCTAATAGAAGAAGCTGACATTTTTGAAACCCTGCTAATTAAGGGTTCCTTCCTTAATATTAAAATAAAGTCTTTGTCTGGGTTTTATGGTTGGAGAATCAGGTGTTTTCATTAATATATGCCAGTCAGTCTTAATAAGCTTGGAGGGCAGAGGAAGTTATTATTGAGTGACCTTCTACAAAATAAGCATGTTGCTAAGGGCTCTAACCCTGCCCCGTTCAGACTGATGAATCTCATTTCCAATGCAAAAGCTTCACAAGAAATCCAAGTATTCTCTGCGCAATCACAGAAAATAATCCTTGTGTCTCCTGTAATGTCCAGAATTGCCACTTACTACACTACTACTGTACAATGAATATTACAATACATATTATTTTTCTACCACAATTGTCTACATTTCTGAATTGCCCAGAATAGGAAAACTTATTGTGAAGACACTTGTATTGAAAAGTCAGCTCATTTTAATACTTTTCAAATAGTCACCTACTCTGTTCATGAATTATAGTGCTCACAATACATCTGACAATACTGGCTTTGAAAAGGAGATATGTCTATATTATTACATATTCATTTTCAAATAGATTTCAAACAGATTTTAAACCATTCATTGAAATTCATTGAAATGATAAATTCACAGTTGGATTTTGATTGACTCTTAATCCAATTTTACTTTTGATAAGTTTTCACCCCTCTCTTCCCACCCACTCCCAACCTTTCTCAACCAATGCATTTTTGCTCTTCTGTTGGCTTTTAAGGCAAAACTGAAGGGGTTTGGTAAAACTGGAAGGTTTTGATAACCACATGTAAAGCTTGTCAAAATGAATTGGTAAATTTAATCAAATTCAGAAGGCACAACACTATAGGTGATTTTTCTGGCTAATTTCCAATGTATCAGTGCTCTCTTATGGAAGCAAGGTTTATGGTAGCTGTTCACAACCTAAAGCAAAACTTTGAAAGAGTCTTTCAGTTACTCAGCCATGCCACCATATCTAGACGGCATGGAAATGCGCAGCTAGACAAGGTACTTGGTGTTGGGTTAGTAGATCACACAGGTTGAGGTTTTGTGGTTGCCCAGTTAAAAGGGCATTATTGAAATACTCTTCATCTTGAGCTCTTTCTGCCTGCCCTAGGAAGAAAAGTTGGTTAGCACCACTGGTAGCACCACTGTTGCTGGACTTGTGGTCAAGTAAAAAGACAACAACCCTACTGAGTTCTCTTGGGAGAAGGAAGAAGCTAGATTTAAAATTCCAAAATGTGGTTCCACATGAAATTTAAAGTAGTTTTTTCTAATTCTGTGAAGAAAGTCAATGGTAGCTTGATGGGGATAGCATTGAATCTATAAATTACCTTGGGCAGTATGGCCATTTTCACGATATTGATTCTTCCTATCCATGAGCATGGAATGTTCTTCCATTTGCTTGTGTCCTCTCTTATTTCCTTAAGCAGTGGTTTGTAGTTCTCCTTGAAGAGGTCTTTCGCGTCCCTTGTACATTGTATTCCTAGGTATTTTATTCTCTTTGTAGTAATTGTGAATGGGAGTTCACTCATGATTTAGGTCTCTGTTTGTCTATTATTGGTGTATAGGAATGCTTGTAGTTTTTGCACACTGATTTTGTATCCTGAGACTTTGCTGAAGTTGCTTATCAGCTTGAGGAGATTTGGGGCTGAGACAATGGGGTTTTCCTTTTTTTTTTTTTTTTTTTTTTTTTCTGTTGCCCAGACTGGAGTGCGGTGGCACGATCTCAGCTCACTGCAACCTCCGCCTCCTGGGTTCACGCCATTCTCCTGCCTCAGCCTCCTGAGTGGGTTTTCTAAATAGACAATCATGTCATCTGCAAACAGACAATATGACTTCCTCTCTTCCTATTTGAATACCCTTTATTTTTTTTCTCTTGCCTGATTGCGCTGGCCAGAACTTCCAATACTATGTTGAATAGGAGAGAGGGCATCCTTGTCTTGTGCCAGTTTTCAAAGGGAATGCTTCCAGCTTTTGCCCATTCAGTGTGATATTGGCTGTGGGTTTGTCATAAATAGCTCTTATTATTTTGAGATACATTCCATCAATACCTAGTTCACTGAGCGTTTTTAGCATGAAGGGGTGTTGAATTTTATCGAAGGCCTTTATCTGTTGAGATAATCATGAGGTTTTTGTCATTGGTTCTGTTTATGTGATGGATTATGTTTATTGATTTGCGTATGTTGAACCAGCCTTGCATCCCAGGGATGAAGCCAACTTGATCTTGGTGGATAAGCTTTTTGATGTGCTGCTGGATTCGGTTTGCCAGTATTTTATTGAGGATTTTCAAATCGATGTTCATCAGGGATATTGGCCTGAAATTTTCTTTTTTTGTTGTGTCTCTGCCAGGTTTTGGTATCAAGATGAGTTAGGGAGGAGTCTCTCTTTCTATTGTTTGGAACAGTTTCAGAAGGATGGTACGGGCTCCTCTTTGTACCTCTGGTAGAATTCAGCTATGAATCCGTCTGGTCCTGGGGTTTTTTTGGTTGGTAGGCTATTAATTACTGCCTCAATTTCAGAACTTGTTATTGGTCTATTCAGGGATTCTACTTCTTCCTGGTTTAGTCTTGGGAGGGTGTATGTGTCCAGGAATGTATCCATTTCTTCTAGATTTTCTATTTTATTTGCATAGAGGTGTTTATTGTCTGATGGTAGTTTGTATTTCTGTGGGATCAGTGGTGATATCCCATTTACCATTTTTTATTGTGTCTATTTGATTCTTCTCTCTTTTCCTCTTTATCAGTCTGGCTAGTGGTCTATTTCGTTAATCTTTTCAAAAAAAAAAACAGCTCCTGGATTCATTGATTTTTTTGAAGGGGTTTTCGTGTCTCTATCCCAAAAAAGAGCCTTCATAGCCAAGACAATCCTAAGCAAAAAGAACAAAGCTGGAGACATCATGCCACCTGACTTCGAACTATACTACAATGCTACAGTAATCAAAACAGTGTGGTACTGGTACCAAAACAGATATACAGACCACTGGAACAGAACAGTGGCCTCAGAAATAACGCTGCATATCTACAACCATCTGATCTTTGACAAACCTGACAAAAGCAAGCAATGGGGAAAGGATTCCCTATTTAACAAACGGTGTTGAGAAAACCGGCTAGCCATATGCAGAAAACTGAAACTGGACCCTTTCCTTACACCTTATACAAAAATTAACTCGAGATGGATTAAAGACTTAAACATAAGACCTAAAACCATAAAAACCCTAGAAGAAAACCAAGGCAATACCATTCAGGACATAGGCATGGGCAAAGGCTTCATGACTAAAACACCAAAAGCAATGGCAACAAGAGCCAAAATGGACAAATGGGATCCAATTAAACTAAAGAGCTTCTGCACAGCAAAAGAAACTATCAGAGTGAACAGGCAATCTACAGAATGGGAGAAAATTTTTGCAATCTGTCCATCTGACAAAGGGCTAATATCCAGAATCTACAAGGAACTCAAACAAATTTATAAGAAAAAACCCCATCAAAAAGTAGGCAAAGGATATAAACAGACAGTTCTCAAAAGAAGACATTTATGTGGCCAACAAACATATGAAAAAAGGCTCAACATCACTGGCCATCAGAGAAATGCAAATCAAAACCACAGTGAGATACCATCTCACACCAGTTAGAATGGCGATTATTAAAAAGTCAGGAAACAACAGATCCTAGAGAGGATGTGGAGATAGGAACGCTTTTACACCGTTGGTGGGAGTGTAAACTCGTTCAACCATTGTGGAAGACAGTGTGGCGATTCCTCAAGGATCTAGAACCAGAAATACCATTTGACCCAGCCATCCCATTACTGGGTATATACCCAGAGGATTATAAATCATTCTGCTATAAAGACACATGCGCACACATGTTTACTGCAGCACTGTTCACAATAGCAAAGACTTGGAACCATCCCAGATGCCCATCGATGATAGGCTGGATAAAGAAAATATGGCACATATGCACCATGGAATACTATGCAGCCATAAAAAGGATGAGTTCATGTCCTTTGCAGGGACTGCATGTTCTCACTCATAAGTGGGAATTGAACAATGAGAACACATGGACACAGGGAGGGGAACATCACACACCCGGGACTGCCAGGGGGTCGGGGGCTAGGGGAGGGATAGCATTAGGAGAAATACTTAATGTAGATGACGTGTTGATGGGTGCAGCAAACCACCATGGCGCGTGTATACCTATACAACAAACCTGCATGTTCTGCACATGTATCCCAGAACTTAAAGTGTGATTAAAAAAACAAAACAAAACAAAACAGGATGACTTTGAACAGACCTTTTCCGTAAAAGGTGACATTCAGTAATTGCATTGTTTGTAACTCAAAGGATAAATGCTTGAGGGAATTGAAACCCCATTCTCTGTGATATGCTCATTCCACATTGCATGCCTGTATCAAAACATCTCATGTACCCCATGAATATATGCATTTACTATGTAGCCACAAAAAATTTTTAAAATAATTTCAGAAGTTTTTTAAAAAGTTGACATTCAAACCCACTGCTTAAAAAGATTTACAAATAAATTCTTCCGAATTAAACCTCAGAAAAAATAATTCCAGAGTGTGGTTAACAGAGCAAATCCTGTCTCTAATTAATTAATTAATTAAAATTCCAAAATGCACCGTGGGTTTTGTGTTCACCTACTGGGAAAAAAAAAATCGTCCACCATAAACTGAGATCATTCCAGTGTAGCATATACAGGAACAAATGAGATAAAAATCATGGGTCCAGAGCTTAAATGTGTAGGATAAGAAGTTAGCTCAAAGTGTGCCAATTATCTAGGCCTATGTCTACAGTGAGACAATTGTCCTTGTGGTACCAACTTGAGAAGAAAAATGAGATAGGACATTTCCTATAAATGATTACTTGAACCTGTTCTTTAGTATTTTAAAAGGAAGGGGAAAACGGTTAATGAACGCTGGCATGGATCTATCTATCTCTTTAGGGCCTAAATCAATCAATCACTTAGTGTTAGTGAGCCTCTGCCTAATGCTTCCCCAACATCCTAGGCTTAGTCCAAGAAGAGTGTAATACACCACCCCTGCTCTTATAAGCTCCAGTGCAGTTAAAACCCTCTTGTGTCCTGGATTGCTCCTATCTTTTCATCCAAGCCACCTGTCCTTACTCATTCTTTTCTCTGTGAGGAGTCAGAATGGGAGTTACTGTCCCAGATGCTTTTGGTTCACAACCACCTCTGGGTGCAGACATACTAGTGCTACTCAAAGTGTGAATCGTGAACTAGCAGGTTCAGCATCACCCAGGAGCTTCCCAAAAATGCAGAATGTTGGCCCCTACCCCAGATCTCTGGAGCCAGAATCTCTGGGAGCCCATGCTGCATTTTAAGGAAATCCTAAAGGATCTGGAGAAATTTGAGAGGCAGTGACCTACAGTAGTCTTGTCAAAAATTATTCATCTACTACATTGTGTTGTCATATTTTTTTTCATATTATTTGACTTTGTATGTGTTTTTCTTCTCTCTCCAAAGTGGACTGTAAGCTACATGGGGGCATGTGCTGAGTTTCTATGTTTCTTTTAATTAATTCCTAAAATCCCAAATGCAATGTGTTACAGGGAATAAATGATAGATAAATACATGATTGACTAATTAAATGTACTAGTTCGGTTCTTTTATTCCATAGACATTTCTTTATTTCTGTTATCTTTTACTATCTTATACCTCTTCCCTTTCATGTCATTTTCATGTTCTACTCCAAGGATTCTTGCTTCTAGAGCATCACTGTTCAACAGAAACACATTGCAAACCCACATGAGTAATTTTAAATTTTTCTAGTAGCCGCATTTTAAAAAGTAAAAACAAGTGAGAAGAATTTCAATGATTAGCTATTTTTATTCAATTTCACATATCTAAAATATTATTTTAACATGCAATCAGTATAAAACATGACAGTTTGCATTCTTTTCTTTATATTTTTGTACAAAGTATTTAAAACCTGGTGGTAATGTATACTTATAGCATATTACGAATCAGAGCGGCCACATTCCAAGCACTCAGTAGCAACACCTGACTCGTGCCTTCCATATGGGGCAGCATAGCTCTAGAGACTATTCCTGGATAAACAGCAAAGGTGCCTGAAACTCCTGAAATAAAATGCCAGATTACATGTGTGTGATTACAGCATTGTTCTGGTGAGACAAGACATAGAACCTATCAGGTTCTCAAAAGGGTTTGCTCCCTCACCACCACCACAGTCCTCTCAAAATACCCTAAGATATACAGGATTTTAGCCTCTGGAATGAGCCATTTCTTTTGACCCATTTTTTTCTACTTGCCAGTTCTATTTACATTCTCTATCCAAGACTAACTCAGTCTGTTATTAAACAGTTGTGAATTTAACTTATTCCTTTAAAATAGCACCTAGAGAGTGTTTAGGGTATTGACTTGCTTTCATAGAAGATAACCTCAAACCCTACCACAGTTAGTAGTTACAATAACCAAAATAAAATAGCAGTATATTAGGCCTTTTTCTTATGGTAATTCACAAGAAATAAATTATACACCATGGCCATGGTGCACACATGGTATTCGGGAGGGTCAGTGGTTAATCATGGCGTGAAGAATTTTGTTCCTTCTTGTTCTCCTAGTGGATTAACTCCCCAAATAATTTCTTAACATGGGCTAACCACCTATATTCTACAGTGGCTAAAATATTTTAGTATACTTTGTGGTTTTCCAAGATTTTTTTTTTAATTTTAAGTTCTGGGGTACATGTACAGGATGTGCAGGTTACGTAGGTAAACGTGTGCCATGGTGGTTTACTGTACCTATCAACCCATTAGATAAGATTTTTAAAGACCCCCTCATGGTGACACGGAGAAGGAGAGCCAGTTGTTTCAAACACAGCTGCAATAGCATTGACATGATGCTCCAATCCGAACAAGATCCTCCTTTGGTTTTGCTTTCTCTTAAAGATTTCTTGAGGTCTACAAACAAATTATCTTTGTTAAATCTTTCTGGTTTTGCTATTGTTTTTTCGCGCAACAGTATCACTCTTAAACATTGTGACTCAACTCCTGGTGAGAACCACTGTTGCTGATCTTCCACCATACAGTAGCCCCTTTGAAAACACTGAGGAACGACTAATTGTATGATTTGTGCATTTTATTGTTTATTATTATTTGGATGTGTAATTGTTATATGGGTGCATTAAGCATATCTAAGGTTTTAGTCATATAAACCACATTATTTTACTGTGACCAGAATAAAATTACTTTGTAGCTTTCATAACACAAATGGAAAAAATCATCCCCAGAATTATTATGGTTTTCCTAATCCAGTTACCTTTCTTTAAAATATAAGAGCTGGGCTGGCGAGGTGGCGCATGCCTGTAATCCCAGCACTTTGGGACGTTGAGGCAGGCCGATCACTTGAGGCCAGCAGTTTGAGACCAGCCTGGCCAACACGACAAAACCCCGTCTCTACTAAAAATACAAAAAAATTAGCCAGGCACAGTGGCTCAATACCTATAATCCCAACTACTCCAGAGGCTGAGACCGGAGGATCGCTTGAGCCCAGGAGGCGGAGGTTGCAGAGAGCTGAGATCATGCCACTGCACTCCAACCTGGGTGACAGGGCGAGACCCTGTCTCAAAATAAAATAAAATGGCTGTTTAGAATCAGGGAAATATTTAAATTTCAATCTTACAAGCATTTTCCACTCTTTCTTATTCATGCAATCAAAGGAGGAGGACAAAATTCGCTATGAAAACAATAACAAAAATTGAGACGTATTGATACTGAAGTCCGGCTATGCATAACACTCATCTCAACATGTATCCAGCTTTAAATGACAAATACGGAAACATGTAAAATTTGAGGATAATGGATTAACTATGCCAATATCAAGGATTTTATGTTGATTGGTCTCCTTACCACCAAGGTAATGAAGAAGCTTTGAAAGTGACATCTTTCTTACTATTCATTTGATCTCCAGAAAAAAAGAAACCGACTTCAGTTACTTTTAAGACTGTTAATGTTTCTTTCTTGGCATCGTTTCACTTTTTACTATGATGTAACCTCTAACAGCATCCTTTTGCCTTCTCAGCACTGTGATAAATACTAAAAAGTTGGCCTTTTCTCCCCTATAGGCACTTGAAAAATTCAAAACTATGGGAACCTTGTAAAACAAGGTTTTAAAATTTCTTGGTTTAGTCACTTTCACAAATCCCTGGGCTCATTCCTGTGATGTAATATCCCCTCAGTATTAAGGCATTCTCTAGGTTCTTCTTTTAACTGATGTCTCTTAAGGAAAAGAAAAGGATATTGACACATGAATACTGTTCTAAAACCACTGCTTGCATAGTATGGTGTGATGGAGGTATACCTGATCTAAGATTACAAGAAAAAATGAAATGCAGCGTATAATTTACCCTTAAACAACAAAAATGGGGGAGATCTTCAAAGAGTTTGTGGACCTGTTTTATACACACGCTATTTCTAGAAGTATTTAAACATGCTCACTTCCAAATAACTGGGCCCAATGAGTCTCAATTAGTAGCTGCATTTTCTTCTTTATTTCCTCTTTGACTCTATTTCCCCGACAGTCTGCTTTGTTCTTTTTCTTCTCTGAGAACTAGGAGACCCACTGATCCCCTGGAATTATCTTCTGGCACATCTTAACGTTCAGAACTGGTTATGCAGTATCTCTTGTTTTTGTTGTTGTTTGTTTTTTTGGGGGTTTTTTGTTTGCTTTTGTTTGTTTTTGAGACAGAGTCTCACTCTTGTCACCCAGGCTGGAGTGCAATGTCGTGATCTCAGCTCACTGCAACCTCGGCCTCCCAGGCTCCAGCGATTCTCCTGCCTCAGCCTCCCATATGCAGTGTCTCTTTGGGTGCTGCGGTTGCAATTTTCAAGTCAGGCACTCCCGGAGTGATAGAAAAATGTACGTACAACAAAAAACGTACTTAATGGATTCCCATGGGAGCCAAAATGTTTATTTTTGAAGATAAAATAAACACATGATGTGGTATCTTCTAGCTAAAATTCTTCTAAGGGAAGCCTCTGTTAACATATCTGTAAAAAGAGAGCGGATTCGTGTTCTTATTTGATGACACAGGAAGGATTTTTCATTCTATCTCATCATTCTGATATAGAACCTTTCTTCTTGTTCTACTAATTTATACACGTATTTCTGTAACAGACCGAATGCTTTTATGTGCTTTTCTTCAGATAAGTCAGCAAATACATAGAATGAGACAGAGCAGTAAAGAACATCAAGTTTCTGTCAAAACAGTTCATAAATATTCAGTGGAGTTCTGCAATATGTAGGAAGTTATGAAGATGGCATTAAGATACCGGTAAATCCAAAGAAAACCTATGCTAATCAAGCTATCATATCTTATTATATTTTATTCTCACTTTATTATCCTTCAATAATATAAATGTGACCCCCCCTCAAAAAAAAAAAAAACTACAAATCCTGACCTGCTGTGGTGAGATAGAACTTCCACCTGATCCTGGCTCAGGATTTTCTAACCAGGATGTCAGGGTCTCTTGCTAGATCTGAAGGCCTCACCTGGGAATTTAGTTTCCAAGCCACTTACCACAAACAGAGTCCTCCCTCAGGAATGACCTTTGAATGACCTTTTATTCAGATATTGCTAGCACTCACTAAGGGAGTGGGGCCTGGATGCAGAAGGACTCCTGAGAAAGAGATTAACTAAGAGCCCTTGTGGTAACCTCAATGCCCTCAAAGTATTTTTTAATATCAGCCTTACAAAAGCTTTATGACATTCTACCTTAAACAGTAGGTTTTAAATGACCCTTTCTATTGATAAAAATCAACTTTATATTGTTCCTAAGACTGAAATATTCTAAAAGAAAGAAATATCTTGAAAATAGATGTATGGCCTTTCTTTATCTAAGCATTCTCTTAAGTTGTTCCAATATGGAGATAACTTACAAGATCACTGCCTACTCCTCATCTGCACCAAACCCCTTCAATCAAAGAAGCACTGAATTCAATGAGTTGCACTGTTAGTACATCACTGTAGTTAAAAAGTATTGCTCACTCCAGGGGAGCAAGCAAAGGCTATTGACATGCTTGCTTGATGTATGAAAAGACAAATTAGCCCCCCCATCCTATCTACCAGCAGGGTACAATGACCTGACATGGAAAAGTCAGCTCAAACCACTGTACAATATATTTACATTTTTTTCCAGGAAACTTCAGAGTTACCAAATCAGCTGTGTCTAGTGTGCAAATTACATGCAAGCTAACAGAATGTGAAATAAATTTGAGAAAGGCTGTGTGGTTTAGCTTGACTATAGGATATTCTGGATGGCACTAGTGACTATGGCTTGTCCTGGAGGAATCTATGGTAACATTGGGCAGGGAAAGGCAGGAAAAAAAGAGTTTAAACAAAATGCTGTTTCTGGATGTGATTATTTATTACTTGTTGCCTATCTATCTGCTGCCCCTGATGCATTCTCAGCTGTTTTGTAATACACTAAGCAACGTGAGAGAGTAAGTAAGTTCTCTTCCAGAGTCATTCAGCTGGAGTAAAGTTAGACCAAGTGGGTGAAGTTGGAAACAGTCATGCTTCCTCCTTCTTCTGCTACTAGAGAAACAGTTCAAAGATCAATGGGTCTGTTATCTTGAGTTTCATAAACAGAACATGGATTTTTGAAGTTCTCACAGTTGCCTTAGAATGCAATTTGCACTAATCAGAAGAACACATTATTGGAGGGGGGAAAGCTCTACTTTTCCATTAGATCATAATTAAGGATTGAAGACAGGACCAATAATTAATATAAAATGAAATTTCTCTAAATTTCTACTATTGGTGATATCAAGGGATAGTTAAGAAATATTAATTTTTATGGAACTATGTTACAGTTCAAATAATGAAGACAAAAGCGTGTTAACACCTGAAACTAACCAGTTAAACAGAGTTTTGCCGTAGATTGGAAACAAGTGGGTTATGAAAGACAGACACTATTCTCTTAAAGAGTTTCTTAAAACCTGTCCCTTCCCGGCATTTATACAATCCCATCCTCAGCTAAACTCAAGGCCTTACTGCAAATAGATAGATTATGATGCTATATTATAATACATTTTAAGGAATAAATAATGTTATTATTACAATGCCATTATACTAACATAAAAGAACCACCTTAAACTTTTCCAAATCAAGTACAAGTAAAAGAAATTTTTTTTTCAGGCGCAAATATCCGTTCTTTATTCATTCAACAAAATGTTTGTAATATACCTACTAAACATAATAGACTAGTCCTAGCTCTCAGCAGGCACATGTTTTGGAAGAGGTGGTAACAGAAGATTTAAAGGTACCTAATTAGCATTGGATTGGAGCTCTATTTATTTTTCCAACCTGAAGCTAACATGAAGTAATGTCTGTTCATCAAGCAAAAAATTCTCCGTCTTGCTGTCTGTAGTCTATTTTGAGGCACAGAATTTAGTAGCAGGAAACATGAGTTCTAGTCTGTCTCACCTGGTGAGTACCCATAAGAGAGAAAAAAAAAAAAAAATCAGACAAGGGTTTAGTGGGAAAAGTGGTGGACTGAGAATTAGACAGTTGGGCTTACAGCCCTGTTTCTACCACTAAACAGCTGGGTAAACTTGAACATGCATTTTAACTTCTCGGGACTGTAGGGCTTTTTCCCATTAAATCAGGAGGTATTAATAGATGGTTTTTAAGGTGTCTTCTGGCTCTAAAATTTAAATGAAATGAAGTCAAAGCAGTATGAGAAATGTTGAAAGTGTTAGATACATGTAAGATGTGATGATAATGATGACAATGACTCAGGTGCATATATAAGTTGACCTTTGTCTAATCCTACCTCTGTTTTGGTTTAGTACACCTCCTTTAGTGCCTTCTTTTGGCCAAAGAGTTCAATGGCAAAGCATCTCCAGCTCCAGGGGATTGGCAGGCTGCCTGCCCTCAGCCTCCTCCCTTCATGGTGTTCAGTGTTCTTTCCTGAATAAAGCAAGGCTGAAGCACAGGGGAACTCAGAGGTCTCTGCTTAGCCTCTATGGCTGCCAGTGCTACTACCTGAGAGGTAATAGGTCAAGTGGGCTCTGAACCAAATTCTGTTTCCACCCTTGGCCTTTTCCAGTATTCAGGTTCTTTTGTAAACTGGACATGATCATACCAGTTCAAAAGATTGTTATGAGGATTAATCAAAGCAAAGCACAAAAATTAGTACTTTTTGCACATAGTGGATAACTGCCAGTATTGTTATTGTTAAGGCTGAAAGCATGTATCACCCCCTGCTGACTAAAATGATGTGCCAAAGTGGGACACAAAATTACACAATAATATACATTTCTTCATGTCATTCATCCTGATCCACCAAACAGCAACAACAACAAGACATGTTTGCGGTGATTACTTCTCACAAAGTGATTTCTTCTGCATAGTTTCACTAGATTTTCAAAATTAGGCTGAGAGGCAGGAAGACCAAGTCTTGTCTTCTTCCCAGCTCTCCGGGCCACAGCCTGGCACCATTCCCAAGGAACACAACTCCAGGGGAGCATCCATGTGGAATACAATGTGAATGGTTCTCCTAGGGCCCTGCAGAGCAGCAATGCTGCCACTTTTAGAAGAGGAAACTGAAGCCCAGGGAGGTTAAATTAATTGTCCAAGGTCACACAACTGAGGAGGAAGATTCTGGTCTTGAAGTCAGGTTATGAGTCCAAGTAGTGGGGCATTCCTCCACACTGTGCAGCCTTAACTACAGTATACATATAAACACTATGATAGTGTCAAACTCCCAGTGCCCACCTCGCCCTCATCATTAAGCTTTGAGGTATGTTGGTGGGAAATCCCATGAGGCCACAGGGAGAAAAAGTCCTCACCGTGCCCTAGTGCTCTGTGGCACATCAAGACTCAGTCTTGCCCTAGATGTGCCATACTCCGGACATTATTGTATAGGAAGGAAGTATCTGCACATCCGAGCAAATCAGGATGTGGAGAGAGTGGCCTATTTCTGCTCTCTATAAGACTGGCTTACATGAACATTCAATAACCAGCTCCCCTAAAAAAATCTATTTTATCTGCCATTTGTGTTGTCATCCTATCACAATCTATGGTCCGTGCCAAAATGCACATTGAAGTATTAAAGGAAAAAATTAGTTTGAGAAAAGTGACAGAAATATTTACGAAAGTGCTACAATTGGACTCCATGCAAAACGAGAGTGACTTCCTCATATTCACTAATCTCCAAACAAAATAACCATCATCAAGAAATATTAAAACACACATTTTATTAGTTCCATTTAATTTCTTAATTGCTCAAAGTCAGTTTACCCATTTATTACTGTGTGAAGTGCTTAGAGGCAAGGCGCACATTAAAGGGATTATTTCCATGTAATCCCCCCCTCCCAGAGGGTAAGAGCTGATCACTGTGAATCCCGATTTACGCTCTGTAGCAATAACAAATGGAGGAAATGGGGATTGTAAAATGATATAGTCAGTGGTTGGGTGATACAGGAGGAGAGTGCAATTTAATAGCAAGAGAAAAATGCCTAATTTTCCGTAAAAGTTACGCGAGCCTTTTTCAGGAATAGCTATTAACCAAACTGAATTTAGCCTCCTGTTTTTCTGACTATACCTATGTTAACTGATAGATGTGGAAGATCTGCAGCCTGTTAAGATGTTAATCAAATGGAGTCTGGGAGTAGATGTGATCATATTACCGGGACTTGGAGTTCTGGGGACAAGAATTGCTCTGAGTATTACAGTCTCTGTGACAGTTTTTCCACCGCCAGTCTTCCCTCTTGACATGAAAGGGTGCAGGCACGCAGGTGGAATCTGGAGGGATGCTGGAAATTATCCTGGAAAGGGAAGTGAGGTAGGCAGGGGTTCTAGGTAAATATCCACCAAGAAACTTGTGACAGTCTGAAGCTCTGGCAGCTTCCATGGTACGTCATAGCTGGCCTGAAACCATTGCACTCCGGAGGACCGGGAAACCCATTAGTGACCTGGGAAAGAGCTTTTGCTTGTCCTATTGCTGACATATCTCTCCCTGTTGTATGTGCATGTAATGTAGAGCATTACCACTATTCTTAGGAGATAAAATTTAGAGCATTAGAGGAGTACAGAGGTAAGGCCAGTCCTTACCAGCAACTTCTGCCCCTTCAGACGGCGCACAACTCAGACGCAGGGGTCATGCCTGACAGCATTAAAATAGTCAGTGCCTCTATTTCAGGCTGAAACAGTTCTGATATTTGATATTCATTCTCTGCCTTTAGAGTTAGTTAGAGAGTTAGCCTGATTCAAAGAGTATACAAAATAAAACATTTTTTAAAAAGCCTTCAAGGAGATTTGTACTATGTATCCTATTAGATTGAAGGCAAAACAAGCTGATTGCAGCAGAAAAAAAATATGGCTGCTTCAGACCCCAGCTGACCTCTTTTGTATGGAAAATCCCTCATACGATTACAGAGCTAATGAGTAATTTTTAATGAAAACATTATGCCTTTGCATATATTTGTAAGCAGCCCTTCTTACATTTAAATTTACATGGAAATCAGATGATATGTATAAAAACACATCTTGGAAATCTGTGTATTTTAAGGAAAACACTCGACTGCTATCTCTGGCTGTTTCTATAGCTGTTCCTATCCAAAACCCAAACTTCTCAATAAGAAAACTGTAGAATTCAGTCAATCATGTGGTTGACACCAAACACGCAAGTATTTGATGATGCGTGGATAAAACAGCTGAATACAAGGCAGACTCGTCCACATTTCACAGAATGTTTGGCTTTATGCAAACAACAGTGTGTGAGGAAAAAAAAAAAAACTGAGCTTAACAATTGCTAAATAAATACATGTGAAAAAATCTTTCTCTTTCACCTCAAGAATTCTTAAGTATTTGAAGATGAAGACAGAACCAGGATTGTTTCTGGGACCTGAATGTATTTTCTTTTCTACTCAGAATCTGAATCACTGTGTTGAATTTGAAAATGGAGAAGCCTATATAATGTCTTTCCTTCCCACCCTTTCTCTCGCCCTCTAGGTGGAGCTGACAGGCAGCAGTGTCTTTGACTATGTCCACCCCGGAGATCACGTGGAGATGGCTGAGCAGCTGGGCATGAAGCTCCCCCCTGGGCGGGGTCTCCTGTCACAGGGCACTGCTGAGGACGGAGCCAGCTCAGCATCTTCCTCCTCTCAGTCGGAGACCCCCGAGCCAGGTGGGAATTGCAAACCCAGTGTGTGGGTTGGTGGGCAGGACCTTTGCCAAATGAGTGTGCTCAAGTTACCCATGTGAAGAGACTATAAATAGGTCTAAGGGTATTTAACAATTCCATGCAGCTTCCAGTCCCATGCAGTAATTAAATAAGGAAGAGATCTGAAAATAAGGAGACATTTTAATAAGTATAATCCAGAGATCTAATTTCAGTTGAACAATACATGTAGAAGGTACTAGTTCTTTTAGTTTCTCTTTCAAATTACTAGAGGGAACAGCTTCCGATTTGGAATACCCTCTTCATTTTATTGTTACCATGGCTAAATGTAATGCGTTTATTTATTATTCAGCAAAATCTATGGCAGAGGCATTCCAAATAGTAGCTCGTGGAGAATTAAAAGTATCAGGGACTTGTAGAAATCTTGGTTTCTTTATTTTTTTAAAGCATCAGAAGGTACTTGAAAGATGTGAACAGATAAATTAAGGCTAAAAAGAAAACAGAAATGGCTACATTTTAAACTGCCTTTCTACCCTCAGTATTTAATTAGATCAATTGTATAGAGGAATGAACAGAGGTGACATTCCTCATTGGGATTCCTTCCAGGACTCTTATAGACTTTGCATTCAGAATGTTCCCATTTTCATTGTGTTGTACTGATGATAATTTAAGTATTAGGGGAAAATCCATTTATAAATTAAACAAAATGACTTGATATCCATCAGTCCCCTAGTTCATCAAGCTGTTCAAACACGGGGAAGATTGGCTGGTCGGCCTGGGTCTTCCGAGAGCGCTGGTAATTAGATCTGCGAAGGATTTATTCTTTGCTGATTGGGGCTTTAAATTAATTGAAGTTCCACATTTGTGGTTTTGTCCTTTTTGTACTTTTTTAGAGGAGATATTTCATATTCTTGTGTGGTGGAGTGCTTGGCCAAGCAGCAGTGGTTTAAATGTTAATTTTTCTCATGAGAAGTTTAAGATTTTTTGATGAATCAAGGCCTGATTTGAAGTGCAAAGTTGTATTTGCTTACTTGGAAAATTATTTTTTCACTCTTCAAAGATGCTTGTACTTTACTTGATCTGTTGTTTTAAAATAGATTCGTAATACAAAAGCATTTTATTAACAAGAAAAATAGAAAAACCTATGTTAAGATTAACATTAAAATAACTCAACATACTTCGAAGACAATAATTTGGCCTGCCTAGAAGTAATCACGATATGTTTTCTCACACAGAAGGAAAAAAAAAAAACAACACACATTTGACTCTTGGAAGTATTTTAAGAACCAATCCATTTTCCTCACTGAAGTTAACTGTAGTTTCTAGGGCATTCATTATTCTTAGCATTGGTGATCATCCTTCTTCAGTGAGCCCCACACATGAGAAAAGAGAATATTTAAGATTATTCTTTACCTTTTAAAAATGAAAATACTTTTGTTCAGGTGGGCAAGTGATATATTCTTATACCATAGCTCACTGACTTTACTGAGCAGCTATGTCAGCGAGATAACTGGAACTGTTTTTTAGTCAATAGAATGTTCATATCTGGGCATATTTGAGAAACAGCACATGCAAACGGTTTTCTACTCTTTCATCCTGATGTTGGAGAACCTCTTCCTCATGACTCAAACACGCAGCATGAAAGAATTTAAGTTTCTAAGCCTTTGTATGAGGGAAGGTCTTAGAAAAGTTTGTTTCCTTGAATCACAAATGCTCAAGTTTGAAAGGATCTTCATGATCCTTTTATCCAACCTCCAACATACGCAGCCAAATCTCTACAGCAAAACCAGCAGGCAGCCTTTCCAGTCTCTGCTAGATTCTGCCCTGATAGGAAGCTCATGAACTTGCGAGGCTGCCCACTCCCTTGTTGAGTAGTTCTCGTAGATAGTTATGCCTGATATGGAGCCCAAATCTGCTTCGCTGCAACTTCCCACTGATCCAAGGTCTGCCCTCTGGGACATTTCTGATTTACTCCTTCTTCCCTATCCTAGCTTCTCACACATGTGAAGTCAATTACATCAGATCCTCCTTTCCTCCTGTCATCCTTCTCCTTTCCAGGTCAAACAGTGCTAATTCACAACCCTTATTCAATGGCGTGTTCCTAAAAGCCTCACCATCCTAGTCATCCTGCCCTGGCTGTGCTTCAGTTTGCAGAGAACCCTCTAAAAATACAGTGAAGAGAATAGCACAGCCCTCTAGATATATTCTGATTAGTGCAAAGCAGAGGAACTGTCACCTTTCTCAGGGTAGGCTACTATACTTCTCTTAATGCAGCCTGAGGTTAAATTTGGTCTTCTTGGAAGCTAGATCATCCTGTCAATTCATACTGAGTTTGATGTCTCCCCAAATACATGTTGACAGTGAGACTTTGGGAGAAAAAAAAAAAAATCCACAGCCTGTAAACCAGTTCTGCTAGAGTATCCTAGGCTAGAGTCTAAATACGACAGCAAGCCCAAATAAATATGTCAATATAAGAACTCTCATAAATCCCATGCCTTCTATGAAGCCCTAGCATGCATAAAATAACCCTAGGTACACTAGTAGAACACAGTTCTTACAGATTATTACTTCTAGACTGTAGGAGAATATATATCTCCTTCAACTGTTAACTCTCTCCTTTAAAGGTACTCTATCAATCATTTAACATTGAAGTGTGATTGAAAGATACTACAAATTTACTTAGGTTTCCTTCCCCTGCCTTCACCAGCCTTCCTTTAGCCATCCTTGCTAGTGAGATTGAAAACTCTGCCTTCCACATCACTTGACTTGGGCTCATCAGCTACACTCGCATAAGAAGAGGCCCTCTTCCTTGATGGTGAATGTGACTCTCACCAGTAGAGAACGTTAAGCTACCTTAACCTTCAAAGTCTGCAGTGTTGGTTATTTTCTATCTGGGGCTTAAAAGAGCAATGAGATTGACTGACTGCTCAAATACTGAAAAGCAGTGTAGGGTGCTACCTTAAATGAAATATCTTCACTAATGCAGATGATGGCTCCAAGGGAATTACTTAAAAAGTTCATGTCAGGCACTACATCACAAAGCTGCTTATGTTTCTTAAAAGCTGAAAGAATTTTAACAAGATTTCCTAATTCTTAATAACTAACATGAAGGAACATTTTTGAAGACTGTTGTTCATTGCATCATAATCTCTTGAACTCTGATAAAACACAGATTCTTTTTTAAACGGTGTAATTTAGTTGGGAAAGGGATATTGATATATGGTTATTATGAAAATGAAAGGACTAGTAGGTATGGAATTTTTCAGAAGCCCTGATGTGTTCAGTGTAGCATTACTAAATGACTGGAATCTAAATAACATTTGGCATTATAATAGAAGGAAATAAGTGACTAAGCCAGCCTAAGAGGCAGTGATACTATGCCACAATAGGAATTCTGTCTCTTTGAACTGTCAGCCCTGAGATTGTCTTGTCCTGACTCAGCCTCAGGATAATGGAGGAGAAAAAAAAGATCCATTGATTGTACAGCAAACCCAAATAAATATTTTATATGTATGCACATTTTTTAACAGTTTAGTCAATGTATTATCTCAGAGAAATCTTAAGTCAGGCAAAAGATAAATGAGTGGCCTTGTTTAAAATGTTATAAAGTCCGAGAGTGCCTATTTAGGGGTTGACTGGAACATTTTGGAAGAGACTGCCCTTTGCTGTCCTGCAGGCTCCCGCAGTATGAGGAGCACAGAACCTCTGACCAATGGCATTTGGAGGGTTTTCTTTTTGCAGATCTACTTGTGCCTTTTCATTATTACTCTTAATGATTCTGCCATCTTGGGATTATGAGTACTATCCTCATCTTTTTCTTAAATTTCAGTGCCATGCCTTTTAAATGCTTAGTAAACAGAAAAGCAGCTCTCAAGAAATCCTGGAGGAACTTTAAAACTCTTCCTATGTTGAAGGCAAATAGTAATATTCTCTATATTAGGCTGTAAAAGTGTTGTGTTTTACTCCTTCTTCCTGAATTCAGGGAAAAAGGAGTAAAGACCACCACCATCCCAACTATCTAGAAATAACCATTATTCATATATATGCACTACGTACCCTCCTAGATTTAGTTTCTGTTCCTGTTCCTGTGTATGTAGGTATGTATGTGTTTGGTGGGGTTTTTTGTATTTCTTTCTAAAATAAGATTGTAATGCATATACTTCTGGTAACTAGCTTTTTCATTTTCATGTTTCTCTAAGATAAAATTCCCTTTCTGTCTCCAGTGGTTTGCTTCCCACCAGCGAGTGATCAGTTTCTTCTGTAGGACCCCTGTCAGGAAGAACATGCCTGGATCCTACTTCAGAGAGAACTCAGCCAGGGCAAGGGGCTCTTGTGGCTTTTTGGGTGGGTGTGAGTTCATAGAGGGGAAAATCAATACTGTACCAGGATTTAGACAATTTAGCAAAATGCATGAGGCAGTACTTTGGATGATGAATAACTACAGCTGCATGGCTAACCCATTGGTTGTGTAAAGTATGGGTTATCATGTTTTGTCTAAATTTTCAGGCAAAATCTAGCCTGTTTTGTGGCATTAGGATCATCATTATAGTAGTATGATTTTTATGCTATTATACTTACGCTATGTCCCGAATGTTTTTAAGGCCAGCAAAATGGAAACAGTAGAGTACTTGCCTGAATGCAAATAAACTTCAGTTTCAACTTATGCCTCTGTGCTATGGTAAATTGCTGACTACTCCTAATTCTACAGAAACAGGAGCTCAATTCCTCTGACATCATTAGATGATTTTCACAGTAAGCGGTATAATTAGACTAACAAATGTCTAGGAATAACCATAAAGAACGTAAAAATTTATCTGAGGATCGGATCAATATTTTGTATAAAAAAACGGCTTGGATATGACATATACTTGTACTTCTATGGGTGAATTATTTACCATCTGGTATATTGTTGTGAAGGGATATTTTTTGTATTGGGTCAAGATTTCTATCAATGAACTGAATTTAGAAGTTAGGCAAGGGAAACCATCTTACTAACCCCACATCCAACCCCAGTCCCCAGACAATGTGACTGTATCTACAGCACTTTCTGCTGTACTGCAAATGTCAAACAGAAGGTGTAATGGATTTAATATTAGCGCTGGCCAAGGTGTTGAGGGAGCTGTTAATAATGTCACTCCAGTTATTGATCTGAAGCCTTTAAAAATCAGGGAAAAGTGAGAGATCCCCTACTGGGGAAAGGCATACAGTGACTGATTTTTATTGCCAATATATCTACATATAGAGTAGCAACTTTCTGGAATTATGTTATCACCATTAATCCCATTAATAACTGAGATTTTTGGAGTCATTTTATGGTGAGATAATATCATGGAGACTGCTCAGCATGCTAATACTAAAAGATTGGACCAAGTTCTTTTATACATAAATAGGGCTCAAAATTCACATGGTGAGTACAGCATTCATACAAAGTGTCAAATGATAGAAAGTTCATTCACACTAGATTTATACTTAATGACAGAGTTAGAGCTATTGGAAGGGTAAGTGACAAACAGTGTAGTCGAGTGGTATGCTACTTTTGCCTTTCCAAAATTCTGAATACAAACAAACAGTGTAGTGACTAACTTAACATAGAAATGGAATTTGTTTGGACAATTACTGCACCTTTTCAGGAAACTGCTAATCCTTCAATCTGAATGGCAGTTTGTATGCAATGAAATTCCTGCTTTCCATAGTCCCCAACTAATAAATGAAATTAAAATGTATAATTTATGATGAATGTTTATCAAACTGTAAACACACATTTAATTGCTTTCCATATTCATATACTATAGGCAAAGATAAATCCATCAGATAAACTACCATAGTGATCTCTGATGGATTGATTTAAAATGCATTCCTACTGGGGCTGTAGCAATGATCGGGACAAGTTCACGAGTCCCCCAAATCGGTCTGACTTCTGTTAATACCCAGCTGTGCCTGTATGCGGCAAATCTAGCAGTCAGAAAGCAGCCTCACTACTAATCCTTTTGTGTAACCCAAAGAGATCATCATTTAGGCATAAACACAGCTTTTATCCAAAATTATCTGTGTTTCTTAACTATGTCATCATTAAGAACTTACCTTCTTGCCAATCCTGAAATGAAGATGATGGGTGCACTCCAAAAGCAAGCCAGTGCTCTTACAAGGACTACCTTGCCAAACCTAGAATGATTCTTTTGCCTCAAAAAAGCTACCTTGATGCAGTACCATTTTTTCATGAGCGAAGTAGGCTATTTTTAACTGTCACCTTTATCCCCAGCTAAGCTAAACAAGATCCCCTGGAACTGCCACAGAAGGGAAAAATGTTCTCCATTGCTTTTTTCTGGTATGCAAGGCCTAGGCATACTTATCACCTTAATTTGTGTGTGTTCACACTTTGGTGTGCTTGTGTGTAAAATGAGAACATTTGCAAAGCAAACTGTACTTTTAGAATCTTGCCTGAGGGAGCTAAAGTAAAATCTCTCCTTCCCACTAGGCTCTCCTGGCCCGATAGCTGAGCTCCACCCTTCTAGGCCAGCTCCCAGAAGGCACAGCTGCAACCCCAGGAATCCTTTGGGACCTAATTCCTTGACCCACACGTTGATGACGCAACTAGCTACAGAAGGGCGGCCTCCCTTTTGTTCCCAGAGAAGATGTTGGATCTTGGCACAGTTCTGCATGCCATTCTGAAACTAACTTTCTCTTCTCTTTCAAAATTTAAATCACAGTGGTTACAACTCAGAAAAAAAATACAGCTTTTATATAAATTAATACAGTGATATTTGCAGGGTAGCAAATGTTTTGTTGAATAATAGAAGCACAGGCCTCTTATCAAAATATACAGTAGGTTCTCTCAGTTTATATGCAGCATTCTTTTTCCAAATCTTCTATTGAAGGTTTAGGAAGTCAATTTTTTAAACCCATTATTTTTAACAGTTTTTTCATACAGCTTTCTAGGTCATAATTTTGACTTCTCTTTGCCAATAGTGATTGATAGGGATGTATTTTGCAAGTTTCTACAATGAAACCCAAGACAAGCTGTTAATTATGACCTGTTTTTCCTCATTTCAAAAAAAAAAAAAAAAAAAAAAAAGGTGGCCGTCTCTGTCATTGGATAATTAAAAATTATAAATTCTATTTCTATAGCTCTTGCCTTGAACAAAGTACAAGTTATTTGCTTTTAATACATTCCACTGCACAGAAGTTTCCTCCCTGTCCAAATTATACCACTCTGAATTCTTCATCTGCACTAAACAGCAGACTTACTTATGAAGGATCAGTTACCTAGCATTGACTGAGCTTTGCAGGGTGCACAGATCAGAAGAGGCAGAACTGGCTGGAAACCATCTCCACCCCTAGTGAGCAATTTACTCATGATTGCTTGGGGAAAATACTGGAAATATTGCTTCTGTGTAAAGTTTGCAACTTCCAGTTGTCAGCTCTTTGCCAACAGTTATTCCCAAGTATAGCTTTAGCAACAACGCTTACCCAGGCCACTGTGATAATGGTTGGCATTCATATCCTCTTGGTGTATGCAGAGCACAGAAACCACTAATTACAGGAGTTAATTCACACCACATCCCTCTGAGGCAGGTCAGTGTGTTATCCTTGTCTTACAGCTGGAGGAAAAAGTGATGGAAATTCTAAGTGGCTCACCCCAAGCTTCACAGGTTAGTTTTGTGGCCAAGATTAGAGGAAAGGGTACAATATTAGGGTTGCAGCAGGTGGGAAGCCTAGGAACTAGATGGAAAAAGAAGATAGATAGGTCCCTGGTAGGAATTGAACCAGAGGAATTTTCTCCAAGGGGATTCTGAAGTTAAGAGAGAAACGTAACTATCCTCTTATGCACGTATTTCATTGTGCTGTGGGTTTTTTTTTTTTAACATAGTCTCTTACTTAGAACTAAAATAATCTAATCTATCTAATCCTTTTCTTTGCTCTCATTATTTCTTTTCTTTTTATTTTTTTGAGATGATGGAGTCTCGCTCTGTCGCCCAGGCTGGAGTGCAGTGGCACAATCTCGGCTCACTACAACCTCCATCTCTCGGGCTCAAGTGATTCTCCTGCCTCAGCCTTCCAAGTAGCTGGGACTCTAGGTGCACACCACCACACCTAGATAATTAGAGATGGGGTTTCACCGTGTTGGCCAGGCTGGTCTTGAACTCCTGACCTCAGGTGATCTGCCCGCCTCGGCCTCCCAAAGTGCTAGGATTATAGGCATAAGCCGCCACACCCAGCCTCTTTGCTCTCATTCTTGCATTTAAACTCATACCACAGTGATCAGTAAGTAAGTGGCATCTGAATACATTATAGGCACAGTTCAACCCTAAGTCACTTGGTCTGCATCAGCCATAGGCCTCCCCAGCCAGGATCACAGCCAACATCACCCGTGTACACTTGGACTCTGCTCTGTGTCGGCCAACACTGGGCCAGATTCCGTGCAGTTTCTCCAGGCTCCTTCCTTTCAGAGCCAGTCTTCCAAGGCAGGTGTGAGATGAAAAGAGCAGGCAGAGCAGAGCAATGGTGTTCATCAGGAGGTGGACGTGTCCCACTGGAGGGATCTGCTCATGAAACACAATCATGGTTTCTTGGGACCCATGGGAAACACTGCCCATCTTCTATTAGTAGAAGAATTAGCTTGAGGGAAGAACTTGTATCTTTTCTCTAGTTGTTATTAACTAGAATGAATTTTCATTCACGATTCAGACCCACTTGCTAACGGGGATTGTGTAGATTATTCAACAACCATTGATTGAATGTCCACGACGTGTCAGACATACAAAACACCAAGGAAATAATGACGAGGCTCCCCACCTCCCAGGAGCTGACCATCACATGAGGGGGACAGATGAGTAACACAATGCGGAAGCGTGGTAATGAGGATCAGGACACTATGGTGCGTAAGTAGGATAGCATCATAGCACACACTGCCGCTGCTAGCAGTCTTGGCAGAGCTATCTCAGGCTTAAAACTTCAACCCTAAAATTATTAGTAGCCCAGAAATATTGCTTATTTAGGAACACATTGCTTTGACATGCCCAAACATATCAAGACCATGATTATCAGGGACTGATGGACGTTATCAAGGGTAGGTTTTTGTTCATTTGTTTAATTAGCCTAAAAATTGCCTAACACTGCTCCTGCTGCATGATAGGTTCACAGAAATACTAGTCCCTCTGCCTGTTGCTTTTTCTGGCTCTGTAGGAGTGTCCTGAGTGAGAGGTACCCCAAACAGCCTCCCTTCCATTTATACAGAGCAGATTTCACTAACTAACTGAAATTCAGGAAATTCTAACTTTGGAAAATGGTACTGATGCTTTTAGCTTTGTCTACTCCAAGTATAACTTGTTGCAAATATTCTGATAACATTAATGATATATTAATAGCTTTCATTATCTTATCTTTTCCTCTATGTTCCAGCTACAGGAGTGGGCATTTATGAGTAATTTATTTTTCAAAATGACCCTACACCAAGGTTAGAGATGGTGAAGAACTTGCCCCCACACCAGAGCAGACACTGGACCCAGGGTTTGAACTCAGGCCATGTTTTTATTGTAAGCACTTTGCTATGTGCTTATAGAGAACAGGAGAGGTAGATGTGACATCTTCCATTAGGAAACAAACAGATTATTATCATAGACTATTTATACATAGTCGACAACTAGAGAAGGAAGGAGGAGATAGTGCTGCTATCCTCAATTGTGGCATAAATAAATATGGTAAAGAAATCAGTGAGCAGCTCAATGATTGCAGGCTGGCCTTGATGAGGAGGGATGACCTACATGGCCTGCATGAAAACCAACCTAAGAGCCAAAAGGTAGAGGTGATCTCCCAGGAGACTCATCCCAGCAGCACAGTGGGAGTGAGCATGCTGCATTTGGGAGGCAGGAAGGAGCCCTGTCTTCCTCACTGAGGCAAAGGTGCGTGCTTGTCCAGAATGGGCCCAGATCAGGGAGGAGCTGGGGTGCCAGGGTAAAGAATCTAAGATCCGTGTGCTAAGTTCTGAGTATGACTCATTGAAGAGAGCAGTGACCTAATGAAAACATTATTTTATTACTTATAAATACAAAAAAGTTTAGAAGGAACCTTCCTTGAGGATCATATTTTATGAGTACCCAAGAATTCCTGAATCCATTAGGCAATGCAATTGCCATTACTCATTGACTACTCACCACGTGTCAGGCACTTTGCTAAACCCATTATATGCATCACCTCATTTATTTCTCACAAAACACTATTGAAGATGTTATTATTTTTCCCATTTTACAGATGAGAGGCCTAAGAAAAGAACAGTTTTTTAAAATTGTAAAAGTCATACAGATAGTAGGTAGACGGTCTAGAATTTGAACCCAAGCAGGCTGGCACCAGAGCCCCCATACTTAACCCTTCCTCCAGTGTGCCTCTAAATAGCCCATCTAAAACAGCTGTCCAACCCCTGCGCCTGAGACCACCAGCAGCTAGGGATGCTCGCCACCCTTCCCAGGCAGCTCTGTTTGAGTAGTCTTCCCTATAACATAGGAAACTTATGTTCACTGGCCTTGATACTGGCTCATTTATTTTTATAAAAATGTACAGGATGGGTTGAACAGAGAAGACCAGAAACAAACAAACAAAAAAAGTCATTTAAGAGATTATTTCTATAACCCAGAAGTGAGTGAATAGACCTTGAGAAGAAACATTTTTGGGAGGCCTTGCAAAGGAAGAAACGATGATTTGGAATTAAGATAACATTTAGAAAAAGACAGAAATATGCCTGTGGTCAGTCTGTAGCCAGGAGCTAATTATTAACGCTCTAGAAACTATGGAGGTCTTAAGCTTTCACACATGACTGGAATCGATGATGCCGTCTGTCCACTGTCACTTTTTTTAATCAATTGGTAATAAAATATGGAAAATTTTGAAAATTACAAAATTACATATGCTATTGATCATGAGCTATTAATATGTAAATATGCTTAGAGTTCAAAGCCGTTTCTTTACATTTTATTCAAGTATAGTGTGTGTCTTTGGTAAAATACCAGTCTGCTAGCCAGTGCCTCTCACTCATCAGAGGGCATCCTCTCCAAATAAAAACACTAACAAGAACATTCATAAAACTCATGTCAACAGAAAGAATTTAAACTCTACTTACTCTCCTGTGTCCAGCCATGTCTTTATTAGACACAGCAGGGATTGATGTCAGAGGGAAATCAAAAGTGTCAATTGATTGCCCGCATTACTGTTAGTCAAAATTAGGTAGAAACTTAATTGGTAACTTAAAAGTGAATTTAAAATTTGACCAATATTTAGGAAAATACTTCCCATTTCACAGAACGGGAAATTTTACATTTCACATGTAAAAACATAGTTGCATGTCTATAGTTTAGGTACACAAAACATTCATTCATTCTTTCATTTATTCTTTACTCATTTAATTTATTATGAATGCATGCGCCAGGCTTTGTCCTAGATTCCGGGATGGGGTAGTTACCAAAAATGTCTCTGCTCTCCCAGAACCTGTAGCCACATAAACCACCTCCCAATAGGAGTCAAAAAATTTTCTGCAGAAAGATTCAGTTAATGGAGGTCTCCATTTTATACACGCTAGGTAAATCTATGTATCAGTTTGTAATGAACCACTTGGTCTTCTCTGCTTTCTAAAATGCACAGCTGATGTAAAGTCTAATACAGCACTTCCAAAATATATTCCTCCTCATAACTGCTCTGCAAGATGAACTTTTTTTTTCCAACTCTAATTTTAGGTTCAGAGGGTACATGTGCAGGTTACATGCATAAATTGCATGTCACTGAGGTTTGGTGTACAAATGATCCCATCACCTAGGTGGTAAGCATAGTACCCAATAGGTCGTTTTTCAACCCTTGCCCAGAAAGAGAGTTCCCCAGTTAAACGGCAAAGGAAAAAACTTGGTAGCACGTGTTCTCACTGGAAATTGACAATGAATGTTAGCTTAGTAAAAATTTGAAATTCATGTAAGATCAATAAACCTATGTTTTGAAACTAGCCTTTCCCAATGTGTTTGACTGTGGGAAACTTTTTTTTAAGAGAAACTCTTACTAATACCCCGAAAGCACATGATTAAGCACTGTACATGATCTTGTTTCTGCTAGCTGGATGCCACCTTCCCCCACCCATGCCACTCTCTTCTTTCAAGACCCACCCAATGCAAGCAGAGTCACAGATGGGCCATTCTATTCAGAGGCTAAATTTTCCAGTTCATTTGGTAAATCTCCCAAAGGTTTCTCATCAGACCTCAGGGTGTACTTCAAGCTTTCCCAAAAGTGAGCTCCTAGATGAATCTAGCAATTAACTGCAAAGTTTTAAGACAAGACCTGTCAACTCCAAGTTCCAAGTTTTTAGTGCAGCCCTAGGCTTTGATCTGAAGGCTGTCACATCTCTTTTCCACCCCATCCTACCTATTCTTCATTTACACAGGCAGAGCATGGAAGTCTCTGGTTTTTCCATCCATGATAACAATACAGCAGTAGATTTTGGTGCAAAGATATGATTACGGCTGCCCAGAGCAGTGCAGTGGTGGTAATCAGTTACTAGGTTGTTCTATCGGATTTGTAGGAATTCAGTTAAATTGCACTGCCTATATTATAGACTTTTAAAATCTGCAGTCTGGTTAACTTGCAGGTTACCCTAATAATTGAGAGTTACTGTATGTGAAGATGACAATCCTGACCGACATTTGAGGACATACTCCTTAAGCTAGCTCTGTATCAGGTACAAATACGTAGTACGTAGGGCCTTAGAACAAGACAGCCCACGTTGTGTTCACCTCCTGACTCTGTCACTTACTATATATGTGACCTTGAGCAAGTGAATTAACTTATATGTGCCCCAGTTTTCCCATTATAAATTTTTAGCCCTCTGGTCTAGATTGGAGAATAATGTAGGAATGATCACCTGTTGGTTTTATCTTCAAATGAATTAATATATTAACACGTCTTATAAGAGTATAATGAGTTTAATACATACAAAATGCTTAAAACAGTAGTACGGCACAGAGTCAGTGTTCAGTTAGTATTATTATAAATTCTGTTGAACTAAGCATCCTCTTGTTACCAAGTTTATTCCTAATGGAAAGGGTGGCCAGGGGTTAGGTGATAGGAAACTGGCATCTAGGCATGAACAGCTTAAATTTGGGCTTCACTGACACAGTGCTCCAGTTACCTCACTTAAAGGGTCCAAATGCTACACAAATCGTAGTACCCAAAAGATATGCTTCTGAAAAAACACAGACGCACAGACATACCCACAGATACACACATACACCCTACATGAGGCCCTTTCGTAGACTCCACTGAAGAGGAAATACTCTTCTGGAAACTGATAATTTACCTCTCCCTAACCTCTATAATATACAATTTCTGTTTTGCAGATTCACGTTTTTTGTATGCTCAGTTTTCTTACAGTTTAACAGAGATGCATAATGCTTATTCTCAGAGGTCCATCCCACTGCTCCTAGCTTCAGCACACCAAGATACACCTGCTGACTTCCCTTTTTCTAAGGCTAGCTTGGAGGCTGGCCAGCTCCACTTTAGAATAGACCTTGATGTTAGTCTCCAAGGGTTTGCAGCTTCTAGCCCGGCCTATTAAAATGTGTTCTGGTTATAACCCAATAATTTAGCTGATGAATAGTGTATATGACGTGCTTGACCGATATTTTCTCTTTTTATCTGGCTGGGCCACTGTGATATGACCACAGCCACAATGTGGGTTATGTACCCTGAAAGACTAAGCAAGCCAGAATTGGACATTGGGTCTCCGCAACCCATGGCTCCTTTACTATCGAATCAGCTTTCGTGCGGCGTTCCGGTCTGTGCTGGAGAATGGTGTGGCGGTACTCGGTATTGGTTTGAACTTTATGTGAATCAATTTATTTCGTGTAGGAGGACTCCAGTTCATCACTAATCTTGAGAACTAAAATGAGTGTAGATCTGGTGGAATGCATCAGTAAAAGCAAGAGAGATGCCCAAATGCCCTGGCCATAGGTACTATATATGGACTTAAATAAATAAATTAAGAAACTCATTTCACATAGGCCACCAAGCAGTCATGAGATGTTAATGACTTTTAGTCACTGCCAACCTGGACAAAATTCAAGCCAATGACCTACAGGTGAAAGGCTCTATATATCCCATTACCAATCCCCTGAGCCATCCAGTCGCTCCTGACAAGGTATTTTATCATACAGAGTACAGTGCAGTACAATAGTCCAAATTCCTATACTGTCAGAAAATCTTCTACTATTTAAAATAAAAGAGAACATGTAAAAGAGAGGCAGAAACCCTAGTTTCTCAAATACAAGAGTCATTTCAATTAAAAAGCATTTTGGAAGAAGGAGACGGGCATGTATACACGCATATATTGTGTTGAAAATTTTAATTCTAATATTTTTCATCATGTTTACTCCACTGCATATTTGATTCTGCCTCTGGATATTCAGTAAACTGGCATATTTTGGAGTTCCATTAAAAAAGTCATTATTTTTAGTTTAAAATTTGTTAAAAAAAAAAAAAAAAACGATTCGTTAAGCCTATGGTGCTTTCTTTCCTAGCTTGTTTTTAAGTGTCATAAATAAATGATTTAAGTGTCCCACAAGACGAATGTGCTTTAATCATCTAATGCACTGATTTATCCTAAGCCTTAACCTTAGTCCTAAATTAAGTCTGTTGCAAAAACATAACTTCATCAAAAAACACCCATCAATCCTACATGGTTTTGATAAGCACATTTTAAAAACATAAACAATCAGACAGTTGTCAATCTGGGTGAAGCCCAGTTCCATTTAAGAGTTATTCACCAGCAGCTATATTTTATGACCAGACCACCAACAGAATTACAGAAAAGAATTGCTGGTATTTGGGCCTTTGCTGAGAGTTTATATTGTGAAATTGTGGGATGTGGAGGTACAGTTTATAAGAATATAAAATGGAACAAAGACTAGACAAAAGATGATCGTTATTCCAAATCAGATACATTCTGTTTTTGTTTTTGGAAAATATTAATAATTTCACAATGCCGTAAATACATTAAAATTTTATGATCCCATATTTAGTCAATTGCGTGTCATGCCTTTGATTAATTTTCATTTGTTCATGGTCCTAAAAATCTGTCAACGAATCTGGCTGCTCAGAGCTCATACATGAGTAATGATCACGGAAAGGTTTGGTGCAAGGAGAAATGAAGTGAAAATGTAATGGAATAAACACTTGACTAAATTGGGTACTTAATACCTCATAACTAAGAATTCACAGAATTTGGTGAAATCTTAGCTTTGACAGGTGCCCACTTTAATTTCAAATTAATTCTTATGTCTTTCATTTGCCAACAGTACACTTTCATAGTAAGGCAAAGAAAACCTTCCCGTTTTTCCACTGGCTTCCTTGGGTTCTGTAGAATTATTACCACAGAGCCCCTTGGGGTTGTTGAATGCTTCCCTCAACCCCCAACTGGGGCTTTAAAATTTTTTTAAAATAGATAAGAGCATTCAGCAAATAGCTACATTGAGAATAAACTCAAAAATTATCACCAAGGCCCTTCCTCTGCCACAATTTGTCAAATCTGCTGATAGGAAACAAATTCTATTCATAAAGATTTTATTTGGAGTGGGGGTGCTCTTGTGATTTGGTAGCAATTCAATTATAGTTTTGTGAGATAGTGAGCCCGGAGAGGGAATCCAGACTGACAAGAAATATGACAGGACAGTTACAGAGTGTTTATGCAATTAAACTTTCACTGACAATACCTGCAGAATGATGAATGCGTGGGCGGAGGTATGTGAGCGCAGGCAATGCCCCACAAGTATTGCCCATTTTTCATTATTATACAACTGTTCAGATCTTTCAAGAACAGACTGAAGTGAGGTGGAAAAGAGAGTGCTGTTCTGCAGCATGTTAACCAAATGCCTTTTTTAAAATCCCCTCCCTCCAATGGGTCTTGATGTGCCAGGTGATAAAAGAACATCTATTTTAGAAAAATGTTTCGAAAAGATTAAGATTTACCCTGAGCTTGACGTATATTAATTTTGGATACCAAAAGAGGTTTTTATTATTTTTTCTGTCTGCAACTTTATATCACTTCCCAACTGATAGAATAGTGCATAATTAAACTATTGAGTTATTCATTTTATGCAAGCAGGTGCAAAGGGCACTATAAAAGTAGGATTTTACTGATGGTAGATTAAGAAAGAAAGGAGACACTTAAAAGCCTTTTGTAGAGAACCACAAAAGCTTACAGAAAAGATTAATTTGGTTGGGCAAAATCTGTATTATATGCCTTGGTCTTCCAAAGATATATGAAATCAGGAAAGTTGCAGGATTGCAGAGCCTCTAGGAGACTAAGCAGAGTTTTTCAACTTAATTAACAACCCTTATTTGGGGTATTTGTGTGAGACTATCAGTTTTTGGTGAGCTTTGGGGTTTTTTTAAACAAGATTTTTAAAACAAGTGTTTAAGTAGCCCAATGTCTTAAAAAAAAAAAAAAAAAAAAAAAAAAAGCCTTGAGTTAATTTGCGTAGACTTTATCGTAGCAAAATATCAGCAGTGCCCAGAATAACAACTGAACTTGTAGCAAAGTGAATTCTTTCAGATCCCAGAGCTTGGATGATTCATTGTGTGGAAATGAGAGCAAAAACAGTTCTAGCATGTGGCACAGAAATGCAAAGCACTGAAGTGAAAAACCACATCTTCCTTAATATTTATACATTGATTGAAATTAATGAGATTTACTGGAGTAAAGGAATTATATCCATCCTTCAACTGTTCATTCACTGATTTTGACCTCTGGTAAGCTACCTGTGGTATCAATTTGTTGTTTTCGTTTTGTTTTGCTCAATGATTTATGCTTCTTTGTTACCATTGTTATTCCTTTGGGGGACCCTAAAAATCTTGAATTTTTACATGGAAATAATCAACTGTTATGACCAATCCCTGTTTTTGCTTTCTATAGTTGGGTCCAGACCCAAAGTCAGAAAGCTACAGTTGCATGCCTACCTAGACGACTGTTTTCCTGGACTGAGTTTGTGGTTCAGTGTTGACCTTCCGCATACCCATGTGGAGATCATTACAGATCAGACTCACATCTAGAGACTGTGTTTACATGATCCCGTCAATGTGGTAAATTCAGTGAAATAACTAGTCACTTCAATAGCAACAAAACTCAGTCAACCTTATTGTACTAGGAGTTGACCAGCCATTTCTATCAAAATGATCAATCCAGAAGTCCCATACAAACAGTAGCGTAAAGATCAGTTTCTTGTAATTATCTCTTTTGCCAAAGAGCTGCACTCTGACAGCCAAGAAAAAAAGCCTGAGTTTGTCAGATGTGATTCTTAATATGCACTAAAATTGATAGTTAAAAAATATTGTTTTCACATTACTTAGGTGTTAAAATTACACAGTGGTGTTCCTTTATTTTCAAAAACCAAACCTAATCCTGTTAATTCAAAGTGAATAACAAACAGGACTAAGACTTTTTCCCAAGTTGTTACATTTATTCAACCTGCTTGTGTTTTGTTCTTCATCATAATTATTTCCAAGTCAAATCTGCACTGATTTCCTTGCGGACCTGCGTACCTCTGACTAACTTAAAGAATTGAGCTGGGATAATTCACACAATTCCTCAGGGGTCATGTTCACTGTTTTTTTTCAAGGACATTTTTATTACAAAGCTGATGAAATTTGCATATTAATTCATTTCTTTCAGTTTTTTAAGATTAAATGTTGTCAACATGTATCAGTGCAAGGCTCTGACAGTGCTGATGAAATGGGTCAGTCAAGCTTGAACATTTAGAGTAATGCAGCCATCTGCAACCCCCTCGCCCCTTGTGGAGTTCCATGCTACCATTGCAACTTGATTAAAAAAAGTTTTATTCAATGCAAGATATTAAAACATTATCTAAGAAATGATATGTGTTAGTCTTTCCATTTACTCAGAAAGTGAATTTGACAACAAAACTGATCTAAGGAGAGCTGTGCTGATTTGGAGTTAGTGTTCTGTCAATCTTAATTAAATGACAGCCAAAAAGCCCCCCAAAAAGGTTTAAGTTTAGTAAAAGGACCTTAGGAAGGAACCTGCGTATAACATTTCCTCTCCTGGTGTGATTTAATAGTCAAAGGAGCTCTTCCCATTGGTATTCTACACAAGAAGTGATAATGGGGAAGTTTATAAAATGTATAGAATGTCAAAGATCTGCTGTAACTTATTTCTTGGTGTCTTCACAGGTCGACCTGCCCTTTATTTTTTTACAAAGCTAGTAAACATGAACATTAATGGGTCAGATCTAAAGCTGTCACAAAATGGTACCAGTGTTTACATGGAGATCTTCATTTCTGTCTACATTCCCAACTTGAACATTAAGTTATATTGATTTATCCAATTTCCTTATAGTCAAAACAACATCTTTCCATCAGATACTCTGCGACAGCAAGACCACCTAAATGAGAAATCCCTTTAAGTGTCACATCACCTTTCTACGTGACCCCTGATGGCTTTTCCAGATCATTTAATTCTCTGTGTCTGCTTTTTTGGTAGAAGCCTCTTTGTAGCTTCATGTACATCTCCTACCATCATGTATATGATGCCCTTGATAGCTTCTAAAGGCCTTGCAAAGAAAAATATTGCCTGGCTGTTGAGTTTAGGCAGCAAGGAATCCTACCACCACATCAGTTCTGGCCATACAACTAACTGAAGTACCTCCACATCACAAAAGGTTACTTCTTGTCCTTTGAGGTTCTACTGCGATGACCTCACAGAACCACATGACCCAACTTTTTGATTCCTAACTCTGCTTTCAGATGGTCACCCTTGAGGGAGCTTCCATAATAATTCACAGTATTTTTTAAAGTATTTTCTTTGAATACAATTTATATGTAAAGCTGGTCCTATGCTACCATATGAGAGACTCTGACTTTTAAGGTTGTTACCCTCTACCAACACATGTCCACTGCTTAATTCCTAGTTGTAGCATTGTTGTATAACAACGTTAGTTAGAAAAGTTTGTTTCCCAAAGTGAAAATAATACACTGTCTAATATTAAGAGGACAACAGAAAAAGGTGGTCTCAGAAATGGTTTTATCTTGATTTTGAATTAAACTCCAAAACTCATATTGGATTGAAAAATCAAAATCAGACTTCACATTGTCAAGTTGGAAAATGTCAGATATGAAATATTTAAACTGTGGAATGCAGTCTTCGACTTTGGCTTATAAAACTTTAATTTTGTGAGTTGGTAGCACTCCAATAGTTCAATATTTTTAATTCTACAAATCCATGTTTATTAACTTTCAAGGTTTAAACAGTATCACCAAGTCTATTGAAACTAAATTATTCTGACTTGTGAGAGCTACAGGGTAGCTATAATTTGTTTTCTATTTCTACATAAGTGACAAAGACAAAAGAAAGAACAAATAAAAGGAATTGATTGCCACAGCAATCCCTTTCTATACTTTCAAAATGACCTAAAACTTTAGCTGATCATTAAAGCAAAGATTCAAGCCTGCACAGCTGTAACTGTGGGGTTTCCCTGCATAAGTCAGGTAGCACTTAATGTAGGGGTACCCTATGTCATTAAAAAATGACTTTCATTATCTTATTGTTGAGAAATTGACTGTATTCCTCTCGAAGAAGAAATATTACTTTCTTTTCTTCTCTTTATTTAGGAACAGTTTTGAAAACCTCTACCTTGATGTCATGATTAGAGTACCAAAGTTCCTTCTTAATAGCGGTAATAACTATTCATCTTCCTCCAATTAGTACTCTTGTCTTGTAACTCCCCAGGTTTTAGTATTTTTCTATTCCTAATGTTATCTAACCTGTCACTATTCATTTGTTAATATATTTAGCGTTTGCTCACCACTTACTATGTGCTAAGTAAATGAAATCCTTTAATGAGACAATAGTGGTGGCACAAAAAGAACCCTGGACTAGAAAAGTAACCCGTATTCTACTCCTGGTTCTGTCTCTGCCAACTGGCTTGCCTTAAGAATGTACTTTAAACACTTTGAGCCACTTTCGTCACCCACAAAATGAAACGAGTATTTATTCACATGGTTATTGGGCCATCGAAAGACATAATAAACACGAGAGTGCTTCATGAAAACATGAAGCGTTTCATTTGAAAAGCTCAGTAGAGTAACGCATTCGGTAAATAGTGCAGCATTATTCTTTGGGGTTTGTCTTGTGATTTTTATGTTTTCATAGGTGGACAGCAGCCTCCTGGATTTTTATACTCTAATACCATATCCATAGCAGCTGCTGTTGACTTCAACATCCAAGTTAGATTATCCGATGAAATTCATTCCTCCACCTAACTAAATCTCTATGTAATTTAGTTTGCTTCCAGGAAAGGAAAGTACATTTGCTGTAAACCCAAAGTCCTGGTTGCTAGTAAGAAAATTCAGTATGTTTTGTTTCTTGCTTTTGTTTCGTATATAACGTATATGACTTCATGATGATTTGTTCAGGGAAGAGAAGTTGAGGAGTTACCCCTGCATCTAGAATCTGCTGAACATGCGCTGCAAAAGCATTACTTACTTCTGAGTTGCCCAAATCAACTTGGAATACCAAGTTACTGCCCCAAGGGCTGTTTCTCCACAAATTTATGAACTACCAGTTCATGTTTCTTTTCTAATGATACATTCAGTGATGGGCCTTTTCTGAGCTATAGAAGAAAGCCTGGTCTTTCTTCTACTTCGTGTTTATAAAGCCAGCTACTGCTGCCTGTTGGCCTATTCTAGGTCTGAAGCTCTTCAACTTTAGAGTGCAGGAAAATCTTGCCAAATTAAAGATTCTTGTCACCAACCCTGGATATCCAGATGCCTGGTTACATCACTGAGACTTTTCTGAGCTATCTTTGGCATCTAAATAAGCCTGCTACCTATGTCTATCAGACAGCAATACTGTTCAAATTCAAGGCTGAATTTGCCCCCAGGCAGCTTGGACTCACACAGCCAGAGCTTACATAACAGAGAAGAATATCATCCAGGGGGTTGGCAGAACTTTTGTTCTTGATTAGGATGATCACAAGTTAAGCTGAACCGGTTTTGAATGATTTATTCTCCAAAACAGAAAAGGCTTGCCTTCATTTTTCAACATATAATTTAATTATGAGGGCCGGGGAAAAGTTGGGGGCAATGTGTTTATGGCAGTGATACAAATAAGAGTTCAGTCTTTACTAACATGCCAGTTAAATAAGCAACTAACCCATTCTCCAAAAATAACTAGATCAGATTGAACCTTTAATCAATCTTCTTAAATGGTGATGGGAAACTACAGTAACCTGATACCCAAGATGACTGAAGTGTGCCTCGAAGTTGTAACTTATCTGCTGACTGTCTAAAGCTTCCTAAAGAATTATACATTCATGTATCTTATGAATTTTCTTCCTTTTTTCCACCCAGTGTTTTAGACTTCCACATTAATCATGGCGAGTGAGATTTTATTAATAGATTGTTAAATGTGCTAAAGAATTGTGTAGCTAGTTCTTTAACCTAGCATAGGCAGGGTTATTAGACATTCTGGTTTTTCTCCTCAATGTGTCTTTCTCTCAAATGGGTCCAATTATAAGTGATGAAAAGAAATTTCCATTCTGGAAGAATTCTTTATATTCTTACTATTTGAGAAGAGTATCTTCTTTCTTGTATACTTTCAATGCATAGAGACCCTTGCAGCTCATGCATCCGATGGTCTGCAAAGCCCTGTGCCAGAGCTGGGCAGGCCACAGTGAAGAGCTCACATGCAGACCTGCCCTCAAGGAGCAAGGGTTCTGGTGAGGCACTGACAGTAAATGACAAATCATCACTCAACCATCACAGGGCTAGGAAAGATAACTACAGGTGTCAAGAGACATGTAACCACAGGTACCAAGAGACATACAACATATGACCTCCAGAATTTTCAGAAGATAAATATTAAATGTTTTTATTCTGCTTTTAGGAACACAAAAGAAAGGTTTTTTTAAAATTATGTGAGTAAACAATCTGTGGCTTTTGCCATGAAACTGGGTGGTTTCCATGTTCTTTTGAAGGGGAATGTGAAGTCTTGGTTATCTCATTTATCATAGCTTAACTTCTTTCAAGAGAGAGATCACATTAAAGCTTTTGCCTCGCCAGCCCTCAGAAGATGCTCACAGGATGCTACAGGAATATCTTACGTTGTAAAATAATTTCACTCCCCAAAGAAGATAAATCACATTTTTGGAACTTAAACACTTTCTCATCATTCCACATCCACCTTGCTCTTTAGGTCATTCTGAATTAGTAATACCCTCCCCTAAACGTTAGCTTTAAAAGCCCCTGACATACTTCCCTTCCTCAGACAGGTTTCACAAAGGAAACTGAAATATTCCAGCAGAATTCCCTATTTAAAATAATCCTTTGCACAAAGAATATTTATAAGAATCTCCATTGTAATTTTCAATTGAATTGATCTATAGTTAATCAATAGTGGAGACTTGGCTAAATAAAGGATGAAGGTAAACCATGGGCCAAAATATCATGCTGCCATTTAAAAGAATGCTGAGGATGTACATGTCCAGATATGGAACCCAGTTTTCAAGCTATCCAGCAGAAAAGGGAAAGGGGCAGAACACATATTGGTTGCTGTCATTTATGTACCAAGTGAAAGCAGGTACAGCCACATGTGCTGGCATGTGGACAAGAATCTCTGCAGGGACACATAGGAAACACAGAGGTGGCCTGTGAGACAGACCCTAGGAAATCTCAGGTGAGAGTTGGGAGGAAGGCTTGTTCTCGCTGTATACCCTTCTGTGCTGTTTTAACGTTTCAAAAAAAAACATGTGCATGTGTTAACTTTCATTTTAACGTTTTTAATTGCTAGAAAATATCAAACATTTAAAAGCTGGAATAATAAATCATTTTAAAATAAATATCATTAATTAAAACCAACCAATTAAGTAAAAGGGAAATAATTTTCTTAATTATATTTTTATATCACGGTGGATCCTTTTGTGATGAAAACAACCCTGCTAAATTGTAAATTTGCGTTGGCAATAGATCTGTTTTTCTGAAACCGAAGCGCACTCTCTGAGTAAGTTCTGGGAGCTCAGGAAAAATTATTTGCACGGAATCACCAAGCAGTTAGCTCCTCCAGCCTTGAAGACAGAAAGGGCGCCAGGAAAGTGGCTGCATTCGTGGAAGAGGAGAAAAGCGAATCAGAATGCAGCCCTGTAACCTCTGGCAACAAATAGTACTCAATGTGAAATGGGCACTAATAGAACATTCAATGCTGAAACCCTTTGCCTCGGCCAGAGTAATTAGAACTGTAATTCAGATTTGGGATTTTTCTCCAAGGTTTCACAGCTTATGAAGTCAGCAGAACAGGGTTATTAAATCATAGCCCAGTACCAAGTCAAAGACATTTTTTTTTAAATGTAGAAGACAGGGAAAATGCAAGCAGCAGCTGAGCAGTCCTGTGGGTGAGGCGATGAACCCGTACACGGCACAGCTAATGACCTGTTTTAGGGGCACAGCTCATATATTCCAAATAACAGGGGGGAAAGAATTCCAAATAGCTTAACATCATTAAACCCAAAATGCTATTGGATCCTTCCTCTGTGGCATCATAAAATACCCTATCCAAGTGGAGAAGGGATATGCTTACTGTAAATCATGGAAAGTTTATGCCACCCCAGATGCAAACTTCATACTAACTTGTTCCCTCTGGGGAAGGTTCATGGGTTTGCTTTGTTTGGGGGTTTGGCTTGTTTTTTTAAAAGCAATAATAGTCTTTGTAGGATGGCTGCCGTGTCAGCATTTATCTTGAAACTCATGGATATGAGTTCTGACTGGAGTCACCTCTCTGACAAGTGTTATTGCGACTGTGTTTTATATCCCTGTTCAGAATGGTTTCTGATGATAATGCTCTGTCTACCTCGCTGCTTCACACTAAATTATAGATGCCACGATGACAGGGCAAACTGCATCCGAGCACAGAGCTCAACTCCCTTTGTGTGATGTCAGTGCCTCCACCCTCCTGTGCCTGGAATTAAAAATGGGGAGCGAAAATATGCAAAACATTTGTGCTTAAAAATAATGTTCTGTCAGTTATTAAACAAGTGATATTTCATTTAATCAGCTCAAGGGATTATTTTAAATGAAAAGGCAGAGAGGATGATTTTATTAACACATTCCTGCCCTAGAGTCCTACGGTAATAATTCTTTACCTGCCTAAATTAAAAAGTTATAATTCAGTCTGTCTACAGGAAGAAGTTCTGGGTGATTGGATTTTATTCGTTCTTTGATTTTTAGTTGCTCACAAATGGAGGTAAAGGCTGAAAAGCTTATCCTATAGCAGTGAGGATGTTTTAGCTAGTTAATAAATCACCCCTTCTCTAGATAGTGATTGCGTCCAGGACTTATAAAGCAAGTGTGCTTCTGAACACAGTATTTTATTGAAATGGGGTTGGTCTGACCAATCCACGTATAAATTTGAACTTCCCTGCAATTCATTCCACCACACGTTTAAACCCAGTGTGGAAGATTTCGCTACTATCCAAAATATGTTTCTTAATGTTGTTTAATTGTCAAGTACAGATAAAGCACCATGTAGGTTCTGGAGGAAAAAGAGATACAAATGAATACAATTACATTCCTGACTTTAGTGGAGCTTATAGGCTAGTAGGAGAAGCACGCATGTGAACAAAGAATTTAAGGGCGTCCGTGAAACAAAGGGGAGAGGAGAGGAGAATGAAGTAGCTGATTTGTGGGTTCCATTACCTACCCTGTCCTAGTGCAAGGAAGCATCAGCACTCTAATACCTTTCATGAATATGGTGCTGCACAGCCTACCAAGTATTTTCAAATACATGCTCATGTTTGTCCATCTGAGTTCCATAACAACCCTGTGAGGTTAGGACTGTCTTTTTTATTTCCATTTTACAAATGAGAAAACTTCAAAAACAGAGAAATGCATAACTTTGCCTGATCATTGATCTCATGGTTTAAACCTGAACTTCAAAGTCTGTCCTTATTAAAGCATAGATTGTTAACCTGCAGGTCTGTTTGGCCATCCCATATTGAGAGGAACACTATATGCAAAACTGCGTATGGATGTGAGTCATTGTTCTTGAAAAAGGGATTTGCTCAAATTCTCAGAGTGGACCCTGGCTCCAAAAGACAGTGGGAATTACTGTTTCAGTAGAATCCTTCATTAGTTTTTAGATCCTTGGCTTTTCATTAATGTCACTAATTTGTTTTAATTTTTTCTAGAGAGTGGGGAAAATGTTATAACAATTTTGGTTTGCTTCATATTTAGACACAGTTCCACTCCCAGCCACCTTTTGTCTTACAATTTCTACACAGGAGTATTTAGAGCAACTCTTTAAAGGCCTGTTCCTTCACTCATTCATTCATTTATCCATTTAACAACTTTTTGAGTATTTCCAGTGTTCGTACTGAATCAGTCTCTGCCCATGAGGTACAATTTGTGATTAGGTCATTGGTTCATTTGTTTATTTAACCCAAATTCTGTGTGCAGAGATATCTACCAAATGCTTTGGAGGCTACAAAGATGAATAAGAAATGGTATCTGCCCTCAGGGATCTTACAATCTAGCAAGAGATGGATGTAGAACCAACTATATAGGAAGCAAAACTAAACTGAGATGCTGTGGTAGAAAAAAAGTAGATTGTCAAACTGTTCAGCCTTCTAGAGAAGATGCAAGATAAAAACTGGAGAACTTTCTGGAAAAGTGCCTAAAAGGAGTATTTTCAGTTCCTTTCAGAAGTAACTCTCTAGAGAGGCTGTCCTCTGTTCCATGTTAATTGTGATGCTCTTTCAAATTCTCTTTAAACATGCAAATGGTATTGGTCATCCAGTTATTGCTCTCACCCAGTATCAATAGTTATCCCTGTCCCTTGGACAGAATTATCTTGGCTATGTAAGAAGGGAATTCAGCCAAAAATGCAATTGGTGGGAGAGTGGCTTTCTATTGCATTTGGAACATACTCCTATCATTTTCAGTCATTTTCAGTGCTTTTGATGGATCTCTCCAGTTGGAAAGAACTCAAAACCAATTTCAGTGCAGATGCAAATAATCCTAACAAATTATTCTATAAATATACCACAAATAGCAATACTTTGTGAGGTTAATAGCTCTTACTTATCAAATAAGGGAACTGAAAAACAGAAGTTGGGTCCATGTGAGGAAAGTGGATTGACTCTGAATCCAGAGACCTGTTTCATGGTCGACATGACTTTTCTATGTATAACCTAGAAGAACACTAACATTCAATGGATTGACTCATAATTACAGGGGTTATCTTTTTAAGAGTAACTTATCATTTGTCTGGCTCCTGTTCTAGATATGTATGTGGAACCTGAAGGGGAGAGGGTGGGAGGGCAAGAAGATAGAGACCTCATCTAACCCACATTAGACAAGGAGTGAGAATAGAATCAGCTCCCTGAATGGCAAACTTGTGTTACAACCACTCTTGTCAGTAAGGATTGAGGGAGCTGGGGGTGCGAGTTGATGTACATTCTCTTCTTTGAAAATAAGCCCTAGGTTGATCATTCTGGGTGTGAAATATCCACCTGACAATTTCCACTTAAGCTAGAAGATATAAGCCACATTATATGGCTTTATGTATATATATCAAACTTTCCAATTGAATTAGGACTTTTAGTTTAATACAGCAGATAATGAAATGCAAACTCCATCCTGAGTCAATATATTTCCTTTGGAAATCGCATTAGTTGGAGGTGGGGTGGGGGAAGAGGATTGGGGCAGAAGAATTCCTGTACTGTTTAATGTAGAACTTGCAAAATTATAGTCAAAAGATACATGTTCTAATGAATAGCGTTATGATATTAAATTACCCTTGGCTGGGAGCAGTGGCTTATTCCCATGATCCAATCACTTTTGGAGGGTGAGGTGGGATTGCCAGAGGCCAGGAGTTTAAGACTAGCCTGTGCCACACAGTGAGACCCCCCATTTCTACAAAAAAAAAATTTTGAAAACATTTTTCAGGCTTAGTGGCATGTACCTATAGTCCCAGACACTTGAGAGGCTGAGGCAGAAGGATTGCCTAAGCCTGGAAAGTTGAGGCTACAGTGAGCCATGATCATACTGCTGCACTTCAGCTTGGGCGACAGAGCAAGACCCTGTCTCTTAAATAAATCATTGACTCATTCATTTATTCATTTATTCTCATAAGTCTTAATTTTTCCAGGATCAGGGGACTTGCTTTCTAGGTTAAGAAAATTCTGGTTTTAAATTTTAATGTTATCATTTATAATGGTTAAAATCTACAACTATCATGAATGGGAGGCAATAATACATGATGATAAAATTAACAACAACAATAATAATAGCAACAAATAGGGAGAACTTCCTATGTGCCAGGCCATATACATGTATTATCTGGTTTAATTCTTACCAAATCCTTTGAGGTAGGAACTATTATTAACCCCATTTTACAGGTGAGTAAAAAATCTCAAAAAGGCTAAATAACTCATCTCAAGATCACACACCAGTAAGCAAGAGGGCCAGGATTTCAACCCAGTAGCCTGACCCCAGAGCCCATGTTCTCCACCACTCTGTACCAAGAGCAGAGACTCTAAAGTCAGGCACACTTGACTTTGAATCTCGTCTCAGAGCTGGGAAACCTTGGACAAGTTATTTTACTTTCTAAGCCTCAATATCTTTATCTGTAAAATGAATATACAGTAATAAGACCCACTTCAAAGGACTATGTGAGGATGAAAGAAAACCCGTAGAAAAGCACAAAGTAAAACACTATATTATTGCCCATTACCTTGCACATAAATACGCAGTGAAATCTAGAGAATTTTTAGGAATAAAGAATGAAGTCATGTGATAACAAATTAGATGGCTAATATGAGTTATGAAAGTGTGTGTACATATAAATTATAATGTGTGTGTACATATAATTTTTATCTCTGCAGATTACTTTTTTAAGTTCTTGTAACAACAGAATTGTAGCTAAAAATTAATTGTTAAGTGAGAATTTAAAAATTTAACATGGGATTAACCAAGTACATCACTCTCAGAATTTAGAAATTGGAGGTACAGCTATGGTTGTAGTTAAGACATTATTTTACTTCCTTATTGCATTACAATTGATTGTGTAGAAAAATCTCAAATATAAAAATAAAAAGTAGTTCATGCATAAAGCATGATGCCCTGAAGCATATTAGATCTGTTTATCTCTTTGTTTAAAATGAATGCTACCTGGTATAGTTTACATAACATGGCAGGGATCAGCTTGATAAAGTGTTTATATCACCTGGGGAACACACTGGCTCATTTTCTCAACACCTTTCCACATGACTAGCTTGCCAGCAAGTATAATAGCAAACAAAGTTTTAATAGGTCAAGAGCAGAGTAACTGCTCACATTAACAAGAGGGAGAGAGCGGCTTGACGTGCACCAAGGCTAATAACTGACATTTTCAGCATGCATTTTTGAATGCTGCTTAATGGAGAGTTTAGAAGAAAAGGCTTTTATAAAAGCCTGACATAACTTCTAAGCTTTGGGTGGAAAGAAGAGGAAAAAATAGGGTGGCATTGCTATGCACCCACACTTGAAAATATGGGTGCAGTTTCAGGCAGGTCGCTCATAAACCATTTCTCCATCACTTGTCTGCCTTAGCAACTCACAATTAACTCCATTATTAAGCTTAAGGATTTATTGCATCTCTTCCACTTTTTTAAAGCTGTCCAATAGGGGAAGCGCCCTCATTTTTATTTGTTTGTTGTCTAAGTGAAGCTGCTACTTAGAGACTGTTTCTGTCATATCACACCAGTTTTACTGAAAGGTACAACAATACAGATAAACATGATCTGTTTTAGAACCTTTCTTTCACCTACCAGGAGGGAAAAGGGGGTTGTACATCCTCTCTCTCCTTCCTTCCAGCTTTGTCTTCCTAGGGCAGTGTGATTATCTGTGAGGTTAGTAGCATCTACACAGTTAGTTCATTGGCTCCCTTTTCCCCCTAGAAGCATGCACAATAATACATTTCAGTAAAGTTTTGGGAGTGTTGAAATGAAGATATGTTGCTAACCCTGGCTTTGGCAGCCCATAAATGACAAAGGTTTGTTCAACACTGAATTTATCCTTTCCGCATTACCAAGAGGGAGGCGAAATCGGCTACTGTATTTAAATGGAAGAATGAAAAAGACTTTCTTTTGTTGCAAAACCCGTGTCTTTTGCGGACATTCTAGAGTTGAAGCCTCTAATAATACAGGGCGTGGAGAAGCTATGTAGAAAAAAAGAATTGGAAGTTCGTGTGGAATGTTCCTTAGATACAAGCCACTGTGGCAAATAGGAAACTTTGTCAATATGTATCCAGGCTCCTGTGGGATACAGATCAGTAACTGAATCATAGGTAAATAGATAGATTAGATATGGCAGTGGTGGGAAATACGTACTGAAAAACAAATCCACAAGAACAATTTTACAGGGCTTGTCTTCTATTTTCATAAGGAAACTAAGCCAAATCATCTGACAAGGGCGGAAATCAAATCATCTGTCAAGTTCCTCTACCTTTCATTTATCACACAGTTTAATACCATAATGAAAAATAGCAAATGAAAAATGAAGTGAATGACCAACGAAAAATGCATTCTCTAAGGATACAGTGATGTGTTATTAGCCTAAATCCTCCACCCCTGTACACATGTAACTGCTAGGGGAGGCCCTGTGGCCACACAACCCTTTTCATTCAAGTATGACAAATCCCGGGATGACATTAGCACCATGGTTGGGAGAGCCATCAGTACATAAAAGCTTCCCTCTCCTTTTATTCCTCTCAGCCTCCTACATTTCTTTATCCCTTCTTTACATCAAAATATGAGCTAGTAGGGGGTTTCTGTATGTAAGCAGAGGCCCAGAAATTCCATACACAGCAAAGAAATCAAGTGGTGGAGAGGGAGGATGGAGCTACCATTCACTGGGTGTTCACCACATGCCAAAGATTTATCTTTAGAATATCCATGTAAGGGATTATGAATCCCATTTTCACAGCAGAGGAAACTGAAAATCAGAGCAATTAAAGTCATTCATCCAAACTCTAGAAATGGTGGAGCCACAGTTTGGACCGAGGCCTAGCTGACACCAAACACCATGCCTTCCCCCATAGATCTGGCTGTTTCTCATGATCCAGGAAGATAGAAACGTCTGACAAAATGGACACTGGGGCACGTGGATAGGAGTAAAATGAATAAATAGGAACTTTTTACTGGACAGCCTTAAATATAAAATCTAAACAATAATGGCTAACATGTGCCAAGCATTTTCAAAGTATTATATTACTTTGAAACTATGTGTGCCAAGCATGAACTTATTCAATCCTCCCAATAATCCTAGGAGCGCAGATTATTGTTCACCCCATTTCCAGATGATGGACTTGAGGGCTCAGAGACGTCAATAAGTTAGCCCAAAGTTGCACAGCTAGGAAGCAGCCCTGAGCAGCTGATTCAGAGCCTCCCCTGGCTCCGTCTCACGTCTTTTCAGCCTAACCTCAAAGAAGGAAACAAGAACTTGCCTGGGACAAAAACGCTCCAATGGCACCCTCTTGGTTCATCATAAGAAAAGGCTATCTTTAAGAAAATCACTTCAGGAACAGCAATGAAATAGCTCCATTTAAATAATACACCCATTAAAATAAAATATTATGTGTCCTCTATCTTCCTGTCTAAACAGTGTAAGCTTGGGGGAGAGATAACATTTATTTTACACACTTGGTAAAGTCTAGCAGATTGTGGGTACTCACATCAGTCTCCTACTCCTAAGCCAAGATGATTAATAAGGCAGAATATATTTATTTCTAAGGAGCAGAGGAGTTGATTCTGATTTAGACAGTATGTGCTGTTGAGCTGCAAAACAAAATTGACCTCAGCATAATTAAGTTGGACACTGGTGGAGTGAGGACTTGAACACAAATAGTTCTATTTCGACAAGTAGAATTCAAGAGCAGCTGGTTTCTTTTTCTTCTTTTTTTTTTTCAAAAGGAGAATGATGATTATTTAATATTTGTTGAGTGCCAACAGTGTACTCAGCGCTGTGCAAGACCCAGGAACTGGATGTTGGAAACTGCCTGAAGGGAACTTTAGCAAATTAAAATCCATAGAATCAGCATGAAGGCAGCTGAGGAATACCTGATTAGAGGAAGAATCTCTTCGCCTGTCCCAGAACAACAACAACAAAAAAGGAAGTGATAGGCGAGAAATAAAAACCTGTATGGTTCAAATCGCAGGAATGCAGTCGGGTGGAAAAGTATGCTTTAAAAGAGAGAATTCCTGCCCAAGTGGAGCTAATAGAAGGGAACATAAACTTCAGCAGGCAAGATGGAGGGCAGGAGAAGGAAGAATAAATTCAAAGAACAAAGACATCAAGGCAAATTATCAGCCTTTCCTCTAGCCCTTCCAGAGAAAGAGGCCTGGAGGAAAGGCAGCCCCATAGGTCAGGGTGTCGGGAGAAGCTGGAGGGATCTGCAGAGCACAGCTAAATTATCGCTTTGCCTGCATGCGTGGCACACAGCACAGTGAGTCAATATCTGAACCGGGGGGTGGTGAGGGAAGGTATGCTTTTGGTGGTGAATGTGAAGTTGTGTCCTAGATGTGGGAACGTGGAAGAAAGCCACAGTAGAAATTACATTTTATTACCTCACCAGGGGCTGATGGCCCTTACTTGGCAAGTCATCGAGCAGCCACAAAAAAAAACACAAAAAAGCAGCAGCAGCAGCAGCAGCAGCTGGCCACCACCAGCACCTCACCGTGTTCATGGCTGCAGCAGCTGCCCTAACGTAGGCAGGTTTCGCAGCAGCCACCCAGCCCTGGGACAGTGAGCCCAGAACAGACCTCTCAATGAGCAAGGCGGTGTCCTCGGAAGAAACCGCACAGTGATAGAATAATAGCAAATTGGAGAAGACTTAGGTGCTTTAGAATCCTTTGAAGAAGTCCCCAAAACCATGGATAAAAGGGAGTACTGGTGGGTGTGATACATTTTGACTTTCAAAGGACTTTAGGTAAGAAAGAAAGAAAAATAATAATAATAATCCTTGCAAGAGGCTATTGAGCCAAATTGGTAACCATGGGGCAAGTGTTAAAATTATGTTACATCTTAAAAACTAGTTAAGAGATGGAAGGCAATGAGTAGGAATAAAAGGCCATTTCTTTCTGTAGAAAGAGGTTAATTGTGGGGAGCCCAGGGGAGAAAACCAATACAGGCTTTATTCAGAGTCTTAACGACCTGGAAGAGGAAGATGAAAAGCAAGATGGCAAAACTTATTGATGAAAAAGAATTATTTAAAAGTATTTGAGTCATGGAAGAGTCAGAGAGTCTAGAAAACACAGACACATGGAGGTGGGGGGAGCAGGACGGGAAAATTAAAAATAACCCAGCAAGTAAAAATTCAGTCGAAGCAGGCAAAGGGCAATGCATCTCTGAAAGGCAGAGGAGCCCAGGTCATTCCAGGGCTCAGCATATGGGCACTGCTGTCCTGAGTGTGTGTGGGTCTTTGGTAGGATTGACTGAGACTAGGGTTTGGTCATGCAGAGGCTAGCTTTTCTGCCTCTACTAGACCTGAGCACCTCAGTATTTCATTTTCTCCATTTGCAAAGTAAGGACAAGAAAATTGGCTTCATTTGTAGGTTTACTGAGAGATTGGATCTATTACTGATTGAAAATAGATCGGAAAGCCCAAGTGAGATGGTGTTACCCCCATATATTTATTGATTGAATGAGTGGACAGTTCTCCACAACACCCAAGTGGCTTTTGTATTCCACTCTTCTGCCTGCCTGCGGCACATAACTGAAGCTCTTTTCTATTCACAAAAATAACTGCTTTATTTCTACAGATGGCACCAAAGCATACCCTGCGCGCGTAAGTCAGTCATTGTCCCCTGGAGAAAGGTGGTTGTTCATGAATAGGAGGTTAATCAGCTTCTTATAAATTTTAGCTATTTCAAATTTAAAGGAAAAACCGTCCCACCCCGAAGGCTGATGAATAATATCACAGGATGCCAGGAGAGGCAGAAGTGAATTCATACTCTCTGCTACTTCCCGCCCCCATTCTCCCATCCCTGGCCATCTGGAGAACAGAGCCTACCCTCTGAATAAATAACTCGGGAGGGCAAGAGTTTAGGTTGACTTCATGGCTGAATTGGATGATGTCAGAGAGTAACAGCACAAGGAAAGTTTGGGGAGTTGATATTATGAGTAACATTTGCTAAGTTCTTTCCAGTGTGAGAAGTGCTTTCACATCCATTATTGAGTTTGATTCCCACAAGGGCCAACCCTGTGTGGGAGTCCACATATCACCATTTTATAGATGAGAACACTGAAGCCCGCAAAGGTTTACCGCCTGCTAATGAACAGCCAAGCCCAACTTCACCATGGCTGTTCTAATTACAAACCCAATCCTTTCTGCTTCACCAAATAAGAGGAGGAAGAAAATAAGCCTGCCCTTCCTCAGGACTTAAATATCCCCCATGCATGTAGGATGGTTGATATGTATCATGCTGGGATTTTTACAGACCACTCCCTTACCCTCCCACACACTGTGCACACAGCCCCACGCCCAGCCTGGAGAGCACTGAAGGTAAACCGAAGTGGCGACTTCAACACTCACACTTGTGTTAGCAAGAGCAAACCACCAGAGAGATGTGTTTACACATTCAACATTACCCTTAGGGAGTCTGTGGAGATTGTGATTTCTATTTGCACTCATCTTATGTTAGTGATTTTCATATTACATTAGCAAATTTAATCTCTGCTCATGTGATAGGAAGTTACTAACACAATGCGACTTGATGTAACAACTTTCAGACTTTGGTGGCAAAGGCAAAACTTGTGAGCAGAACGCCAATTCCAATCTCTAATTAAAAAATAGATCAGAACACAGAGACATCCGCAGTTCCCATATTTTAGATCTAGAATAGAGCCAAAGTTGAGGGTAAAGAGTTTGTATCTGAGAAATTTGTGAATGGGGACAAATAGCTTGAGGAATCACTGCTAGGCTTGAGATCTTATCTTTCTTGTCCTGAGTTGATAAAGGGTCATTTGTGAACCACATAGCTTCTTATCCACCAGACTCACTGGAACCTCAGCAAAGTGTGGGTGTTGAAATCACCAAAATAATGATCAAATCTCACTCTATTAAGCCGAGGCCGCATTCTTCTCCTACAAGCCCTTACCCTTTTGGCTGGAAAACGAATGGCTCAGTCTCATCAGGCGTGCCCCGCTCCTGACTGCTCTCTGCTGTCAGTGCCGACAAGGGGAGACACATCCAGACAGTGGGTCCCCGGAGAAAGGAAAAAGGAGTGCCCCAAGTGAAGGACTGGCCCCAGGACATTGTGCTATAGGCTGAGTGTCCCTAGGACATTCTGAGAACTAACTCTAGTGCTAACTTTTATTTATTCTAGGCTTCCATAATGCAGCCACAGAAATTGAGACTGCTTTAGAATCATGGTAATAAGCTAGAGAAATTTGAACATATCTTACAAACAAACCTTTATTTCCGTTATGTACATGAGAAGTATGTAATTTAGATTACCAGGTAGCCAGATATGCTGAGATCCAGAAATTCATACAAAGTGCCAAGGTTCTCAGATCATAACCCAGTCTTATGCCAAACACAGAACTTCTCGAATATTTGCTTTAAAAGTTCTGCTGGGAGCAAGCGCAGGTTTCCAACTCTCTCACCTTCATGACTGAAGCCCGTCTACTATTAGTATTTTTCTTTTTACCAGACGAGGATTTGTTGCTGTAATACATACGTGCATGCACTGTATAATAAAACTTTCCTGATTATCTTATAACTGCACATTAAAAATTTACTAAGATAAAATTAATGTGATTTTAATAACATTGTTTTAATATACAGAATGTCAGGTGACAGGGAAAAAAATCTATTTTGAATTCAGCATGCAGTATGCCTCTTTCAGCACCTTCGTAACAATAACTGAACTGGCGGACGAGTGTTGTCTGTTAAGATTTCTGATACGCACGTCCCAGGGGAGATGGCTGAAGTTGGGGCCTTTTAAAATGCGACCGGACAATGCTTTTGAGACTATAACATAGAGAACTTCCCTGGGTGACAGAGAGACCGGGCCAAATAAACGTAGATAGAATGTTGTTTCCTGTACGCTTTTCTGTAAGATTCAGCCAGAGTACATAACTTCAAAGAATCTTTTGATGGAGAAAAATGTTTTCATTCGCCTGTTTTATGATAGTGCTGCAGGATACTTACAGTTGATTTACTATAATGACAGGACCTAGATATGGTCCCAAAGGAAAAGAAATCCTACTTTTCTTCTGCCACCTACCCATCACATTTATTATTCCCAGCTAGGGGGTGTGGACAGGCAAGTGTCAGGTTAAAGGGAAAGATGGTCAGAACATGGTGAGCAGCGATCATTAGATTCCTACCAGGGTCACTCGCACAAGGCCTGTGACTCAGGGCAGTAACGTTCCCATAGTCAGGTGCCTGCTCACTCCAAACCCCCAAGAAAGAGAGCAGACCTCCCAGTTCTGCACGGCTGCTTAGGGGATTTGAGGGGCCAGGGAGAAGTAACAGTCTGGCTTCTACCCCGTTGGGCAGAGACTCAGCTAAAGGAAGTGCCAGGACACTGTGCTGACCCACTTCGAGCCCTTCCTCTCCGTTTGTTCTCAGGCAGAAGAGATACAAAAGCATCACTATGGCATGGTGAAAAGTTGGAGAAGCATTCTGCAAATTGACATGCAAATAAGCACTCCAAGTACTCCACTTTGTTCTAAAAATTCCCATCACTGGGAGCTGTAAAAAAACACCAATCAGAAGAGGGGCAGTGATGGGAAGGACCTGGTGGTTTTGCAACCAGAGTCTCCCCCTTGGAGGGATTGCTTCTGTACCACGTTCTAGCCTCAGCTGGCACAGGTGAAGCAAAACACCCCCCACCAAATGACCAAGAAGCCAACAGATTTAGATGTAACTGATCTGTATTCTATAATAACACACACGCATTCAAGTGGCATCTGCTATGAATGATATTAGCTGTCCACACAAGCAAATAAGATGCAAACAGGCTTCATACCCTGGGTTCATGAAGAGAAGCCAACTATATCAAATGAGACAAAGGCAACTGTCTCCACAAAGCCAGTTCCTGCACCTTGAGCAAATGCACAACTTTTTTAGTGTTAAGGACATTCAAGTTCGAGACAAAAACAAATCCCTGCCTTAATCACGTAATCACTGTTTTTTAAATCACCACTGCCTCTGATAACCTAGATGTCAAGACCCCACCAACAGTTCCTATGGCACACTATGTACAATGCTAAATGAAGTCAGATATCACCAGGAAAGTGAAGTCTCTGACTTGTTAATGGGCTACACCAGGCTGCAGAATGTCTCTGTGGCTTAATTCATGATACACACTAGAACCTGAGAAACCCAGTTCATTCTTACAGTGGGCAGTGCAGGCCATGGGTAAACAAGGTATAGCACATGGGACGGGAAGGAGAGGTGTTAAAGGAAATGCTCCGAAAGCTAGGCTCTTTACTGGGAAATTAGAGGATTCATTCTAATTACAAACCTGCCATTTATAATGTGTCTCCCTCCTCTCATCAACAGGAGGCACTTTCTCTATGCTGTGTGGGGTCATTTTGCCATATTCATCTCTTACTCCTCCCAATTATCCCAGAGTCAACCCTTCTGAAAATGATCATCCCTTCTTCTCTCTTACTGAAGGTGTTCTTTGTCAGGAAAGCCAAGCCACACACTCAAAGTCCTGAGTTTTGTTCCATTTTATCATCTACTATCTGCCAACAGAGATTAGTTCAATTCTGTTATCAACTCAATTGATTTACAAGGTCTCATATAGTAAGTCGAGAGCAAGTACAACCCCAAGGCTGGTTAATTCAATGGTCCAACGTGATTACAAAAAAACAGGTTCCTTCCATCGTGCTACTCTTGCCCCCTCAACATATGAGTCTCATCCTCAGCCTTATCCCTTAGTTAAGTTGGTAGCAATAACCATAGCCTCACAGCCATGTCCAGATGAAGACAAGGCATGTTTGCTTTTTTGAGGGAGGAGGGGGTCTCCTTTTAAGTTTAAGCAAAACTTCTCCCAGAAGCCCCATCTGGCAGACTTCCCTAACTTCTCATGGTAGAATTGCATCAGTGCCTATGCAGTCACCTTTGGAGGCATGCTTGATGCTTGACATCTCTCTTCCTCTGACATCCACATTCAGTCCACAAGCATGTGCTGTCAGCTGTTGCTTCGAGATACATCTTGAATCTGACCTCATCTCACTATTGTCACCACCACCATCTCACCCTGCACTGCGGCAGCAGCCTCCTTGATTGTGCTCCCACCCTCTGTCCTTTAGTCTCACACAAGAGCCAGATCATGCCTCAGCTCTACTGAAAACTCCCATGGGGCCTTTGTCATCATATTTAGAGTAAAATCCAAAGTTCTTCAGGGTCATACCTGTGATATGTCCATAGAACACATCTCAGCATCTCTCTGCTTTTATCGCCATCACTTTTCCTCCCAAACTCTGCTGTGTCCACATTGGCCTCCTTGCTATTCCTCAAACACATGATGTTCCTACCTCTGGACTCTTGTACAGGCTGTTTCTTCTTCCTGGAACACTATCTCACCGGATATCCAAAAGGGTCACGACATTCCTTCCTTCAAGTCTGTAATCAGATGCCCCCTTCTCAGTGAGGTCTTCTCTGGCCACGTTATTTAAAATTACAACTCTCACCTGCACATTGTGCACATGTACCCTAAACTTAAAGTATAATAATAATAAAATTTTTTAAAAAGACTAAAAAACAAAAATTACAACTCTCTCCCTCAGCATTTCATATTTAATCCTCTGTCTTATTTGTCCCCACAGCATTTCATACCATCTAGCACACTAGATCTTTTTTCTAAATCTTCTAATGGAATGTAAGCTCTATTAGGGAGACATTTTTTTTCTTTCTCCTCCCACCCGTCACTCTCCTACTGTAACTTCAAAACCTAGAACGGTGACTGGAACCAGTAGAACTTCATTAAATACTTGTTAACTGAATAAATTCTAACACCAGCTGTGGACAACTGGACCCCATGATGGCTTACACCAATTACGATCCATACTTGGGGGTGAACTTGCTTTCCCTGAAGATCGTAGCTGGGCACAGGAAGATGGATACTTGGGAGGAGATAAATGCCTGGGGGAAAATTGAGTCTTTCTTAGGAAAATAAGAAAGGAAGACTTTGGGTAAGAAGTCAACAGTACTAACTATATTTTCTTTAATTTATTTCCCTTTTTAAAAGCAAGAGAGATAATTATCAAATTTATCCTGGAGTCATGAAAAATACCTTACGTCACTGATTCTATTTTTTTCACATTTTAACATCTCTGACTTTGGAGTGCATCTTACAATCACTGTCATCCAATGATCCCATAACTGGCAGTGATGTTTTCTTTCTTGGTGCTTCACAAAAGGATGGGGCATTCTTAAAATGGATGGGGTCTTAGATTCAATGACATCTCACTTCTGATGTACAAAGTGATGCTACAGAAAAAAGAAAATCACCATCATTGTCCATAGACATGTAAAGCTGGCAGTTATGACATAAGCCAGTCTTGACATCTCTCATGATTCCCAGGAAAACTAGACATTCTCTTTTTCTCTTGCCTTCATATTGAGCAGCTTTGATTTAAGATAATGTCTGAGCAGAGAAGCTTTGTTCAGCAGTGTCATTTGACCCAGATTGTATGTTTTTATAGCTTGAGCCAATTAGTTAAAGTGACTTTGACTATAATAGGGACCTGTGACTTTCCTCAGTATTATTGCATTAGTCACCCTGGAACAGTTTCTGGCTTGTGTTTGTAAGCTGGCTCTGATTGTGCCTTTCTCATTCTGATATTTATATGATTTGTTGCTGTCCTATAAAATAATGACCTTTGAGTCCTTGAAAGTAAACCCTCTCTGATTCTGTTTATTTCAATAAGTCCTTGGCACTTGATGGCATAGTGTGAATCACCTTTACTGTCCTGATTGCTAATTGAAGTGGGTTGTTTTTCAGTATTTTAAATCTATATTAATTAAATGAGCATTGGGCTGGGAGTAAGGAGACTCCTTAGAGTTGTACTCCCAACTCTGTTCCTGGGGAACAGGATAAACCTGGGAGGTCGCTTACTCTCCCCTGCTCTTGCCTGTACATGGGGAGATTGTTCTAGATCAGCTAGCTCTATACGTCTGTGTTGGAATGGGCTAATGGTGCCAGTCACAGTGTATGCTTAATTTGGGCTACGATTCCAGCCTCCATCACAAGTCTGGGCCTCAGTAAATGTACTAATTTATCTACAAAATAAAGTTTAATAAACACTGATATGGTTTGACTGTGTCCCCACCCAAATCTCATCTTAACTGTAGCTCCCATAATCCCCACGTGTCATTCGAGGGACCCAGTGGGAGGTAACTGAATCATGGGAGTGGGTTTTTCCTGCGCTGTTTTCTCATGGTAGTTGAGTAAGTCTCACAAGATTTGATGGTTTTATAAAGAGCAGTTCCACTGTGCATGTTCTTTTGCCTTCTGTCATGTAAGTCATGCCTTTGCTCCTCCCTCGCCTTCCACCATGATTGTGAGGCCTCCTCATCCATGTGGAACTGTTAGTCCATTAAACCTCTTTTTCTTTATAAATTACCCAGTCTTGGGTGTGTCCTTACACAGCAGTGTGAGAACAGACTAATACAAACACTGACCATGAACTCCTTGGGGGCAAGACCACTATCTCATTGGTCTTTGTAACCTGTCTCCACACAGATACTACTGGTTAGAGACAGTATCCATACAATTCACTTCTGTATCTCAACTGCCCAGCAGAGTGTAAGTGCTTCATACATATCTGCTGAATGATCAATAATTGGAATATGGTACTCCAGCTACTGTTTCGTCTTAGCCGTCATGGAAACCACAGCTTTTCATTCTCTCCACCCTTTGTATCATGATTCTTCCCTATCTTGTTTTTCTTGTTTTTCCTTCTCTATGTCTACTTTTGCTTTTATTTTCTTTTCATCTGTTTTTTGTCTCATTAGTATGTCATGTTTCATTAGTATGTGTTCTAATCCCTTTTTTGTGGTAAAATATACATGACATAAAAGTTATCATTTTGCCATTTTTAAACATACATTTCAGTGGCATTAAGTACATTCACATTGTTGTGCAACCACCACCCCTGTCTCTAGAACTTTTTCATCATCCTAAACCGAAACCCTGTACCCATTAAACAGTAACTTCCCATTTTTCCCGCTGGAAATCCTTGGTAATCTTTATTCTACTTTCTTCCCCTATGAGTTTGCCTGTTCTAGATATGTCATATAAGCGAATTCTCATCCTTTTTTGTGTTTTGGAGTATTTTCCTGGTCGTTGTGCCCCTTCTTTTAGTCTGCATGTCCTTTTTGTTGCTGTTGTTTCTGAGCGCCGCCCCCACCCGACGATGGCTCATTTTCTCTGTCCTCCTATGCACCCTCAGCTGCCATCAACTGTGTAGCATTTCCTTTACATCTCTCATTTCTTATATCCATATATAATCTTTACATTTTTAATTCAATCTTTTGAAAAGTGTTGTGTTTCATTTAAATGTGTTATAAAATGTTTAAGGAAAGAAATATGACTCTAAAATGTTTTGAAAGCAGGTTTCTGTAAAGGGCTAGCTCCTAAAATGACAGCACTCAAAGAAGGCACTGAGTAGAGAGGGAATGGGAGTTGATGTTGTTAGAAGGGGTTTTGCCAGAGAAACCATTTCCTGCTTGAAAACCACTGTACGATTGACATAAACTTATGAATTATGTAAGTTTGTTGAATAACCTAAGCATTCTTGGGCTTTTTCCATCTGATCATGGCCAAAAAAAAAAAAAAAAAAAATCGCAAGGAGAGGAAAACCAGTTTCCTCAGGGACAAAAGGTAGGAAGGAGTCCTAGAGTTTAGTGACATAGGCACAATGATTCCTTCTTTCTGAGAAGGGGCAAGTTAAGCACTCTAATTATTGATGTTCAATAACAACTTCTCCCTGAAATCCTAACTGTTCAGAGCAGGGTGAAAGTGAATATTTCAGGGAAGTTCTGGATAATGCAAGCAACAACCCCGTAAACACACAAACCTAAGTACATAGAGATAGATATTATTATAGAATAATAAATACTCATTTCATAAAATCTGGAAAATAAAGTAAAAATTAAAATCACCCCAAATTCCTGCCATCTTTTTGCTTGCATTCTCATATATTTCTTTCTATGCCCAAGGAAGGACCGTGAAATATGTTGCAGGAGAGACCCTGACAGAAAGCTAAAGATTTCTAAGTGAATTACAATGACCACATCTAGATTCCGTTTAGGCCATGCTATATAAGCAACAGTGGGTGTTTTAAAGTACATGGTCATAGACAACAGATCCTCTTTAAAATAGGGAAAATAAAGGTGCTTATCTCAAAGAGTGCTGCGACAACTAAATTAAATGTATATGTAAATCACCTGGCATTAATCCTAATCCCCCTCTACCTCAAAGCTGGTATACACAAAATAAAATGGTTATTGAGAAAGTCTAGCCAGTCACCCAGCTTTGAGGTTTAAAATTATAATGGTTGCAATTTTTGGAATACCTGCTTTTGTAATGGGTTTTTTTTTTTTAAGTGAGTACCCAATACATGTTGATTCATGCTTTTCCAGTTTTGCAGGCCTGGGGAAAACACAGGTCTTTGGCACACGCAACGCCAAACCAGCAGCTGCTGACTTGCAAACTCAAGCTACGATGTGGTTATAAGAATAGCGTTCCTGTTCTTTTCATTCTTCTTCTTCCCCTTATTTCCTTAATGTGCCTGGGTTCTTGTTTTGTCTATTTTGTTGTCACTTTGTCTGTGTAATTTTTATGTATTTTTCTCATCCCTTAATCCTTTGTCTTTATCTTGTCCGTCTTCTCTAGTTTCTTTCTTGCTACCCTACATCTTTCTTTTTCATCATTTTTATTCCTTGCCTAATTCTCCTTTTTTGCATTTACATTTTCTCATGTTCACATTTATTCTGTACCATTTTCTAGTAAAACCAGTGACTGTAAACTTTTCTTACTATCTTATAGTCAGGTTCGTGACACCTATCCATTTCTGAAATTTATCAGCCTAGAAATCTGTTATCCAAAATCATGTTGATGATAGCATAAACTGAAGTATTAGCTCACACCTGAATTTCAAGAACAAGGTAGTAACGTGTGTATACATAGATTATTTTTCCAGTATTAATCAGATTCACATTTGATATGGTATCACAGTGCCAGGTACCTCAGAAGCGCTCAACAAATGTTTCCTGGTCAAATTTAACTTACATTTATCAAACTTTACCTCCACGTGGATTTATTTGATTGTACAACCTCCCGAAGTTAGGCAAGTCACATAATATTACGCCCTTCGTAGGGAAAAGGGAATGGTTGTTGAGGAGATGCATAACTCACACAAGGCTGTAAAGCTGCGGCCAGGTACGGTGGCTCACACCTGTAATGACAGCACTTTGGGAAGCCAAGGCAGGAGGATCAATTGAGCCCAGGAGTTCAAGACCAGCCCTGGGTAACGTAGCAAGACCCCATCTCTACAAAAAATACAAAAATCTAGCCAGGTGTGGTGGTGTGCATCTGTAGTCCAAGCTACTTGGGAGGCTGAGGTTGGAGGATTGCTTGATCCCAGGAGGTCAAGGCTGCAGTGAGCCGTGTTCACACCACTACACTACAACCTTGGTGACAGAGCGAGACTGTAGAGCTATCCCCAGTTGCTAAGCCTGGCCTACGACACAAACTTCCCAATTCCGTGGCATATGTCCAACTCCCATGGACACTGCTGCTCTCCATATCTGTGGTCATCATCCTGTCCAGTGGTACCCCTGTTGTTATTCCAGGATGGGATTTGCTGCTCTGGGACCCAGCAGATTATCGAGCATTGCAATTCTTTCCTGTTCCTTGATCCACCCAGTAAGCCTAAAAACAGATGTCAGAAATAGCTGTGGAGATATTAGCAATACCAACTACAACCATGAAAGCTTACATTTACTTGGTGTTTATCACGTGCCAAGCTAAGTGATTTACATGGATTAGTTCATATATTCCACTGTAAATGTTTACTCAAAGCAAATACATTAGAGCTTTCTAAATACAATATATTTTCTAAATACATATGCTATATATGCCTTACCAAACAGTGCCAAAACTGTCTAACAGAGAAAATATATCCACACATTTAAAGAGAAAAGAAGCGGAGTCTTAAGGAGATTAAAACAAAATGGAAGTTGAACCAACAAACCTGGTTCCAAGCCCTTTCCTTCTCTTCAACGAGTCACCAGCCTGTACCATTTGCCTTTCTGATGGACTAGTCTCAAACTCACACTGAGCTAGTGACATTAGGGAAGTGAACCGTCATATGGTAAAGATTGTCTTGCTCTTTGTCCTCAATGCTAAAGGTCTTCTTTCCATAGAAAGGCACTCTTTCTTCTCAAGGTATTTGCAAAACCTCCTCGTAAGACCCCTCCTTGTTGCCTGTGTTAATTGTCGGGGCATCATTGGCAGATAATAACAGAATTTGGGAGTTTTATAATAAGAAAATAAAGAGATTTCATGTCTAAAAAAAAGAAAAGCTAGTGTAGAAATTACATTAAGAGGAACAAATCTCATTGCCAAATATAAGTTCCAAAGAAGATAGTCATTACAATAATAATATTGTTATTACCAATAAAAGAGAAAAAAAGCTTAGTTGTAAGTTCATCGAAAACTTTCCCTTTTGTGCTGAGTGATTCTTCTCTAGAGCCTCCCAGGAGTACAAGGCTATAATTTTAATTATATCTTGGCATTCTCATAAAGCAAACAGCCTGCTCAGGTAGTATTTATTACCTGTTAGGAAGAATACTTATGAATATGCTTCACAGATTCCAACTGCGGTGATCAGCAATGGGCCTTTTCAAGGACAGAGGGGTGAGTTGGAACACACATAAGAGAAAAGTTGCTCATTAAGGGAAGGTTTGTTATCCAGGAACGTATAATTAAGGTGACGGTCCCAGCTTCTGTGACAGCCAACACTTGGGTAGTTGTTTGATTGCTACGTGGGTCAGGGATCAGCTCCTGCTACAAGATGTAGCCACATTAGTGTGTTAGTGAACAGGTTAGAAAGTAAATTACAGCTGCCTTTCTCAAGCACATTACTGTCAGTCTTCATTGTATTGTTTTTACTGTACATCAGCAGGACTGTGGCTTCTGAAGACTTTGTGTGACAGGTTAGGCATTTTATCCTTTGAGTAAACAGTAATCATGGTGTGAAGAAAGTGGGGCATTGGAGAATTTTTCCTATTCTTTGAGAATTCCACTCTTCCTTTTTAGTTTGCTCCAAGGGCTCATTGGGGATACATATATTAAGCCCTTTAAATAGTTCATAATAAATCTTTGTCTCAGGCTGATTCTGACAGTTTTTTAAAGAGTCTTTTAAGAGAGAATCCTCAATCATTTGTTAATCCATGGGGTGATCTTCAGACTTCAGGAAAAAAAATAACAGCCTGGGCTCTTGGGTAGTGAAAATACAATGTAGGGAAGAAAATATATAAATATGGAAAATCCTGCGATTACATGTTCTGCATGTATCTAAATGCTTCTTTCTTCCCCAACAAGCCAAAAATGAAGTAGAAAATAATTGTCAAAATAGCAGGAATTTCTATTGTTATTTTTATATTTTTGAACTTACATGCGTCTCCTAAAATGTTAGACTTCAAATCATATAAGAGAGAATACTCTTTTTTAAAGTAAGTGAATTCTTTTGGTGGAAAGATAATTTCTTTTCTTCCTTTCTTTCACCTTTAAGACCACCTCTGTCTTCCCCTAAATTACTTACATACACACTGCTATCTTACCTGGTCGGGGAGAGGTATTCTGTTAGAGAAAAGGTTGTAGATATTGGTTGTTGGCGTCAACAACAAAAAAACTTTGAAGGGCAAGACATAGCTTTCAGAATAAGGGCCTTTTTAGGTTGGGTTTACATATTTTACTTTCAGCTTTAGATATGGGCTAGTTGGTCAATTATATTAGATGTTCATAATTTAAAGACTATGACTTGTGATTTTAGCATGCGTAATTTTAACACCCCAAAAAAATCACATAAAACACTTACCAGAAGAGACTAAAAGCAATATTGTCTCCCATGCAGACAGTTAACATTAGTAGTAATCATAATACCTGTGTATTATTTGCACAATGAATCGAAAATATTTTAAAGGGAAGAAAAGTGTGCTCTATGTCAAGTATTTTATGTGTAAATCATTGACTATTTCAAGAAAATTTATTTAGGTTTCATTTTGCTTGTAACTGAAACGATTAAGAAGGAAACTAAAGAATGCAGGTCATAGATTTGAGTAAAACATGAGGATAAGCACTACGTATATGATCTGAACCTTTACGTCATTTCCAAAATGCAGCTTCTCAAGCTATTGAAAAATACGGAGAACTTTACTAATGACATGCAAATGGAATTTGTTAGGGATAAATGCAATAATAAAATGGAGAAATGGGCAAAGGACAGCCTACTGATACTGATGGATTCATTCTCACGTCAGGTCGAATAATTGAAGACCCCAGAACAAGGGCAACCATAAATACCTGGAGTCCCTGCTGTTGAGAGGATTAACCACAAAACAATTATGACAAATGCAGTGGGAGCATTCAGCTCCCAGGCAACAGGAATGTGTCATGCCAGTTTTAAAAATACTTATTTGGCATTATAGAATATACCATTTAGACCCAGAAGCCATCCAACATAACATCGAAGTGTTCATGGTAAAAACATCAAGTATGTCATTGGAAAGCTATATTTGAAGAGATCACTTCGTTTCATGAAGCAAGAAAAAGGGAAATAATTAATATCAACAAATTTGTTTTGCCCATGGTTTGAGAAAACGCTGCTTCAACCCCATTTTCCCCATCACCATCAGCAATATCCTTTACCTTTTTTAACTTAAGGAAAGGGGGGGTAATTCTAGGGCAAGAATAACTGCAAGCTATATAAATGGATTTTTTTAATGACTGCTTTTTTATCCCCTCCACTTGGGAAGATTATTCATAACCTTGAAGAAAATATACAAATGACCTAATGTCGAGTTCAGATATGGAAATGATGCCTACACATATAGTAGCTGACCAAGGTTATAATGATGAAGCCTTGTTTTAAGGCAGAGCTACTTCTTGCAAAAGATTAGATGACTTTGTTTAGGTATTAAGATGGAGCAGTGGTCATTGAAACTTATTAGGATCATGAGAGAAAGGAAAATTAGCTTAATTAAAGATGTCAAAAATAGAGATTCATTAGCAAAATAACAGATATAGATAATTATTGGGTTATCTCTCATTTCTGGCTTCTCTAAATTATTACAAAGTATAAATAATGTTACTAAGAATATTCTCCAATAAATAACCCTCAATTCTTTATTGATGATGGATTTAATATGGTACTTCTAACTAAAAACATTTGAAAAATAACCATTTCAAGATGTGCTGGAATTGAGCCATAATAAAACCAACAAATCCTAGCTGCCCAGTCAAATTTCTCCTATGTGAAAAAAATTAATTAACAGAAGATACTGATTCAGGAGATATTGTGGAGACCTGCCAACCTGAGACTCCTTCTATCTCCAGAATATACACATTCACACGGGAAAATTAAAATTGGCCATTGTGTCAGACCCCATACCTAAGATGGCAAATTTGAAAAAGCCACATCATCACACCAGATTTTACTTGAATTCTCAATAATTGCTTAGTTCTGTAGTACCTTCCAGTGACAAAGCTCCAGTCACTCAGCATTCACTCCATTAAAGAAATGTATCTTGGGCCAATCTTCTAAACTCTTCCATTTGTCATCCCTGTTAAGCATAAGACTGCACTCATGCAAAACCCTTCCTCTGTGTCACATTAAATCTTTATTCTTCTAGGAAAAGGGCTGCCGGATTTACCAAATATAGGATTCCCCATTCAATTTGGAATTTATATGCAATATTTGGATCATACTAAAAAAATCATTTGTTGTTTACCTGAAATTCAAATGTAATGGGGCATCCTGTATTTTATTCAGCAAGGTTAATTGGGAGTAAACTCTCCTTAGCCACTAACTTTTCTACAAGCCTCACGTCTGCCTCTTCACCCTCACTGAGACCTTTCTTTCTTGGAAGCCACTACTCTCTAACCCTCTCCAGTGCAACTGTCCAGTTCGGAGTCCTATGTCCCTGAATGTCCCTGTATGAAGGAGAAGTGGTCACCATGCACTGCTTCTGCTGCCACTTCCACACCATTTCCCTAGGATCTTTGCTTCAATACTTCCTCTCAAAAAAAAAAAAAAGAAAAGAAAAGAAAAAAGAAAAGCATTCTTTCTCTGTTCTTAATGCCATTGTCTATCAACACTCACATCACTCCCTGAACTTCCTTCAAGATGTCAGCTCATGCTCCACAGCCTTCCTGTGTACCCCTCAGCTCAAGGAGGCAAACGGATGTCAGAATGAGAGTTTCCATGAAGGGTAACCATTCAACACAAAGTTCCTTGACTGCCAAAACTTAAAAATATATATATCCATTTTTTTACCTTATCTTTAGCACGCGTAGCACGATCAAACCTTGGGCTTTAACCAGGCTTCATTTTCAAAATCTCAAATACCTGTTAAAAAATTTGAGCAAAAGTCACTTGGGAAAAAAATGTATAGACTACTCAATATAAAATTTTAAGACATATGCATTTATGTATATCATAAACAAAAGTAAAAGGCAAAAAAATGGGATGTATTTGCAAGAAATATGTCAGAGTTAATATCCTTAATATATATGTAGTTCATTCAGATTGATCAGGAAAACACTAAAAACCCAATTAGAAAATAGAGAACATAAATATGTGATTCATTTAAAAATTCAACTGGCCAGTAAATATGTATTCAAACATAATCCATCCTCAATAGAAATAAAAATGCCAATTGCCAGGTGCAGCAGCTCATGTCTGTAATCCTAGCACTTTGGGAGACCAAGGCAGGTGGATCCCTTGAGCCCAGGAGTTCAAGACCAGCTTGGGCAACATGGTGAAACCCTGTTTCCTCAAAAAACACAAAAAGTAGCCAGGCGTGGTGGCGCCCACCTGTAGTCCCAGCTACTCAGGAGGCTGAAGCAGAGGATCACCTGAACCTTGGAGGTCGAGGCTACAGCTAGCTGTGATTGTACCACTGCACTCTTGCCTGAGTGACAGAGTGAGACACCAATCTCAAAAACAACAAAAAATGCATATTAAAAACATGTGAGATGTTTTTACACATTTCTTATCACAGAGAACCCCGTAAATATCGTATCTGTTATCTTCTGGTAATTTAATGTTTTCTCTCAAAAAAAAAAAACAAATCTTTAAAGGTGGCAATAATATGAACACCATTAAATATTACTGATAGACATGCAAACTGGTACAGTGCAACTTTTCTGGAAATCAATTTGTCTGTGTGTATTAAGAGCTTTTTTAAAAGCTCAGCCCCAGTCATACTCATTCTAGAAATTCATCCTAAGAGATAAGAAAGTTGAAAGATTAATTTCAAAGAAATTCATTACTATGCAATGAAATATTGCACAGCCACTAAAAAATAATGTGTTTGAAAGTGATGTAATAATACGGACAAATACAGATACTGTAATGTTCTTTAAAAATTTGTTTAAAAAAACTGATTTGCAGCCAAGGCCCCTAGAACCCCAACATCCATTTATTCCCCTAACAATGTCTAATAAAAGTATGGTTATTACCTAATGTAAATGACGAGTTAATGGGTGCAGCATACCAACATAGCACATGTATACTTATGTAACAAACCTGCACGTTGGGCACATATACCCTAGAACTTGAAGTATAATAAAAAATAAATAAATAAATATAAAAAATAAAAGTATGGTTATTACCACATAGTAAGCTATGACTTTTTAACATTAAAAGATTAGGCAGACACAGGTTTTATCCCAATTTTGAAATAAATTTATCAATAAATGGTAAATAAGATTGCGAGAAGACACATTGGGGTTACTAGTGACTATAGCTGAGTGATAACATTATGGGGATTTTTTTAAATTTTCCTATTTATACTTCATGTTTTCAAAATTTTCTCTGGACATATCTATTTATATAAACTTTTTTAAAGCAGTAAACAATATTCTCAGAATTCACCCTCTGAACAAAGCCCCTACTGCCTACCTCTCTCATGTCACCATACTCCTGTCCTGCCATCCTTTGCTAGTCTCCAGCTCATCATGTCATCAGTTTTCACTTGCCTCTTAACCCTTTGGAATCCCTCACCCTGTTGCCTTTCATTGCCACTGTCCTGGCTCCCATCTCTAGAAATTTAAGCCAGGCAACTTCTAGCTACTAAATAATCTTAGTGCTTATTTTCTATCAATCCCAGGTGGTTTCCCTACACAGGCTGTTTCATGGCTTTCTTTGATCGCAAAACCCTGTCCTTCTTCCACTTCCTTTATCTTAGCAAACAACTTTATTGAAATTTATTTACTTTATTGAAGATAAGTTGTTCAGAACCATTTCTGTCACACTCCTGTCTCTCTCCCTCCACCTCCCACTTTCTCTTATTCTTCCTCTTTATTTCCCCCATTTCAAAGGCTCACCTCTCCTTCTCTGTTCCTCATTCAATATCCATTAGGGTTTAAATTCTTTAATTAGCATTTCCAACTCTAAGCTCTGGCCTCTCCATCAGTAAACATACTCAAGTCTCTATTTTCACCCCCAAAATTCTCCAAAGAGAAATGTATCATTTATTCACTGTATCCTTATCCCACTTTTTGACTGAAGCTGCTTTCTCTGGAGATCTCTAAAGACTTGCCAATACCAGTGGGTACATCTGAGAGCATTGGACACTCTGATCAATCATGCCCATTAAATATTTCCTTGGTGGCCTATATGTCAAGTCATACACTGAAGGCAAATCACTCAATCTTGGACAAAAATTCAAAAGATAACTTCTCTAGAATTTCATAGTCACTGCTGCATAGCTGTCCAAATAATAGCTTTCTGTAAAGCCTTTTACCAATCTGGAGCCATAAATTTACCATAAGAATCATGAGCACGGAGATGGGCGTGATTCCTTCACCCAGACGTCCATGACTTGGTCTCCTCTGAGACGCCACCATGTCAGAGAGGCCCTTGTGACCACCCAACCAAAATGTGGCTCCCATCACTCTCTAGTCTCTTACTCTGTGTTATTCTTTATAGCATTCATCACCACCTGAAATTATTGTATCTATTTTTGCTCCTCCTCTAAAAGGTAAGCACTGTTATGAATGGTCCCAGACCACTAGTTACTCAGTAACTGAACGAATAACTGAACAAAGAAAAAGTGAGCTATAGTAAAACATTTGATGTGTGCTTACATGGGTTTAATCACAACATTGTCTTCTAGGGTCATGTGCTGAGTGAGGGCAAGAAGTTCCAGGGATAGCCAGAAGAACAACCTTTAAAATAGTAGAAGGTGCACGCTCAGTCCACATGCCTGCACGTGGAGAGTGACACTTGCGTACCAATGGTTTGAATCACTGCCTGATTTTTCACCCTGTGCTGTAGAGCAGTTCCTCATCACACGGTATTGTAGTTAGTAATAGAGCTTTAAAGCAAGGAAAAGGCAGAATGCATGTGTGTGTGTTTGCAAGTGCCTCTGTAACCAGACTCCTCTATCTAACTCCGTTTTAAAATACCGTATGTGGGCAACATCTGTGCCTGAGATGGAGATTTGGCCAGAATGTTAAAAAAATAAACATGGCGGTTCAGCTGGATACTGGCAACCAGCTACCGCCCCATGGATGGCCGCAGAGAAGATTCATGTATATAAAATAGTATATTAAAGTAAACTTACAAAAGCAAAGAGCAATCATTGCAACCATAATTTTTTCTTCCTCTTTGGGATTCTAATTTTAAAAGCATTAAAGGAGACAGCTGCTCATGCTGTGATATGCGCTAAACAGCCTGAAGGATAGAAAAAAATATATTTGTAGCTCATAATAACTATTGACCTTTCTGATATACAATGTTCTCTGTGTTAGCTATTCGGTTCTATCAACAGTGAAGATTGAACATGACTTTTTAATAGAAAACATGGGGTTTCGAGCTGCCTTCACAAAGGTGTTTATGTATTGTTATTTTGTATTGTAGTACAAAGACTAAGTCCTGATGCCCTTTGTCTGACATGATGTTTGTCATTAAAAAAAAAGAGAAAAGAAAAAGAAAAAGAAGGAAGGAAATAAAAGAAATAGAAAGGGGGGAAAGCCCTCAATGTTATTGACTGTGTTTTTATATGAAGAATTGGCTCATAACCACTTTATAGTTGTGATAAAAGCATTGCCACACTCGATCCCATATGCAATATTGGCAACGGAATCCACGCAGCATCGCAGGAGGACATGCTATATTTTTCTCCCAGAATAGATCCCTCAAGTGGCAACATTTATAGGGAGTTTCCAATAAGATTTAAAACACTCACTTGCAGTATTCATGTGGCACATCCTTTGGAGTGCACAGCCTGCTGCAGAATGGGTCATATTGGATACCATGTACTCTCAAAGGCGATCTTTACGATACTCAGTTTTTCCCCCTTGAACTTTCCCGTTGCTTAGTAGTTGTGTATAGAAACACCCACTGGTAGCAGCTTGACTCTGACACTGTGTATATTTCCCCAGAGTGGTATCATCCAAACACCAACTGCAGAGCAGCAGGCAGCCAGCAAACACTCTCTTCTCCCTCAGGGGACAGTCTCACCAAGTAGTAACCCCTGCCAGGAGCAAGAAACCTGAAAGGCAACCTCATGCATTACAATTCTCATTCGAGACAGGCCAGATAGTCCCAGGGAGTTTATGGTGACAGGTGGCATTGGTTGGCAGACTATTATTTTCATATTTTAGGTGGGTTATTTTTAACGTTACTGTTAAAGAAGGTTATTACATCATTATTGAATCACAATTATTTTCACAGCTATGCTCTAGAGTTTCAGTTAATGATTCACAAGTTTCTAAACAATGCTGAAGACTCACAACTGGGTAGGGACAGGAATCAGCCCTAAGGAGATTTAAATATATCAGACACTTTTGTTGGACTCCAGAGCAAGCATTGAAGCTGATAAAGTCTGACTGCTGAGCCAAAGTATAGTGGCTGCAACTGCATAGTCTGCAAAGGGTGGTACAACTTGTGACTGCAGAAAATGGAAGGCACTGCCTCGCCACCAGTAGTCAAGGATCACACTCTAGTATACTAAAAGCCGTTACCCGCTTCAGAATTGCCCTGGCACATGGTAGAAGACAGGCCAGTGGGATGAAAACCAACTCTCAAAAGACAGAGAACAAAGTATTCTCTAATTCTGGGAGAAATCAGGCCAACCCCCCTTTAACTACCAAACCCACTGGCCTAGAACTCTCAAAAGAACACTTTGCAGAAAACACTTCCTTAGAGATGAATACAAGGAGAGGATTTAATGATCCCCTCCTTCAAGAGAAAAAGCCTTCTTGGGACATGATATTGTTTGGTGTGTGAGAGAGTGACAGGGATAGAGTGAAGAATTCTTCTTAGAAGAAAGTATCTGAATGTCACTTTATTTTGACACGTGTAACTGAATGCCTACTTATATAAAGCACAATCCTAGGCACAAGGAAGACTGGAGAACAGGAAAGAGAGACAACAAAAAACAAGTTAAGACATCATTCCTTTCTTTCAATATCTTTCTTACAGTCTTGTACATGGCACTATCGATGACATCTTTTGCAAATTTCCCATTTTAAAAAAGTCAATTGGGCATTTACTTTTGAAAATATAGACCCTACTTATAAAAGTCAATATTTCAGGTAGTGTGCCCTACACATGTAAATTCAACCAGTTATGGACACGCTGGGCCACATAGTTTTATCCATGAACATGATCGTCACGTATCCAAAAAAGGCTATGATTTTTCCAAAAAGAGGTTCTACATTAATGCTATATGAGTTGTCTGGTATTGGATAACAAATTACCCCCAAATATTGACGGCTTTAAAAAAGCAAAGATATCTCGCATAGTTCCTTCAGGTTAGCGATCTAGGAGCAGCTGATCTGTGTAGCTCTGGCTCAGGGTCTCTCATGAGGTTGCAATTGAGATGGCAGCCGGAGCACAGTCATCTGAAGGCTCACCTAAAGCTGGATGATCCAGCTCTAAAATCACTGAAGTGACTGTTAGTAGGAAGCCTCAGTTCCTTGTTACATTGGCCCTTCCATAAGACTGACTGCCTAAGTGTCGTCCCAACGTGGCAACTGGTTTCCATCAGAGTGAATGACCCAAGAGAGCAAGGAGGGAGCTGCTGTGCTAATCACACACCATCGATTCCACCATATGCTCATTATTAAAAGCAGGTCACCAAGTTTAGCCCACACCAACTCGAGGGGAGAAGTAGTAGCTCCACCTTTTAGAAGGAGGAGTTTTGAAGAATTTGTAGCATTTTAAAACTACCACAGATGTCATCCTGGATAAACATAAAATCCTCTGGGATAATTTCTATGAGAAAGATTTATTTTTACCATGCTTGTCCTGCTTTTCGGAAACTAGGTTGGGAAGATCTTATTAAATTCACTATTTAGTGAATGTTAGTTACTATATATATACAGACATACACACATATATAAATAGACATATAATAATAATATACCCAGAATAAAGATTCTATCAATATATAGATGCAGATATCTGGATACCTGTATAAAAGGAGCCACACTAAGTGCTATACAGCATCAAAGTTAGACTCATCTTAGCCCTGCTGCCCTCAAATATCTAGCAAAAGAGATTAAATGGAGATAAAATAAGTACATAAATAACTGTAAGAACAGTATATTGGCAACCTCATGACCTTTGGAGTCCGACAAACATTTGTCATATTCTTGCTCTGCCCCTAGCTGGGAGAACTTGGAAACATAAATGACTCAAAGAATAAATAATAAAGATTTTGTATTTGTGTTAGTCAGTATGGGCTAGCTTAATGCTACAGTAAAAAAAACAGTCCCCAAATTACAGCAAAGATTTATTTCAATAAGGATTGGCAGGGGTTCTGCTTCACATTGTCTTCCAAGACTCAGGCTGGTGAAGTTGTTAAAAGTCACCAGGACACAGGAAAAGAGAAAGCAGCACATCATGACTGGCTCTTGAAAATTCCACCTGAAAGTGACATGTGGCTTTTGCTCACATTCATTGACTAAAGCAAGCCACGTGAGCATCCCTAACTCCGTGTGGCTGAGGAAGTGCAGTCCTCTCATGTATAAGGAAAAATTTTGCAAGGAAAAAACCAACTTGTCAAATCCCAGTGGATACATACTCATTCTAAAGTCCTAAACTGCATCCATTTCTAGCAAGGCTGACAGCATATGCCAGTGGAACAATCTGGCTTTATCAAGATCATTGCAAAATGAACCAACACCTCTTTTGCCTTGTTAAAGTCATTTTGGATAATTGCTCTTTAGTTCGTCCTGTGTGCACAGAACACCTAAAAATGAAAAGATTCATTTAGGCAATGATGTGGGAAAAGAATGTGTTTAACTTCATGTCTTAACAACCTATGGCAACTCCACTTCTCCTTTAAAAGGAAAAATACCTTACTTACTTTTGAGGAGTAACATTTCTCAAAACTTTTTTTTTCTCCCTCACACATCAGGATTTGGTGGGGGCTGGAGGGTTCTGACACTTTAATTACAGTGAAAACACTTCAAGTATACTGAAAAAGAAAGGTTCTTGGCTGGGCACGGTGGCTCACACCTGTAATCTCAGCACTTGGAGGGGCCAAGGCTGTGAATCCCTGGGCAACATGGTGAAACCCCATCTACAAAAAATACTAAAAAACATTTAAAAATTAAAAAATAGCCAGGTGTGGTGGCACGCACTTGTGATCCCAGCTACTCAGGAGGCTGAGGCAGGAGAATCGCCTGAGTCCAGGAGTTTGAGGCTGCATTAAGTTATAATCACGCCACTGCACTCCAGCCTGAGTGACAGAGGAAGACCCTGTCTCATTTGAAAAAAAAAAAAAAAAAGAGAGAGAGAAAGAAAAAAAGGCCCTTTTTAAAGGCATTGGCTTCATACTCCTACAGAGACCCTGGAGAGAATACTGAAAGTGTTCCAAACAAACCTGGCCCTAGTTTCAGCCCAGTGAGAACTAGGTGGCTCCCAGACACCTCCTCTTTCTGCCTTCTTTACCGCCTCCTGCCCCTACATAATAACAAGGGGAACAGCAACCACACCACCAGCTAGGGAATCATGAACAGATGTGGAGTAATTCAGATATCATTTCACATTATGGTGGCATTTGCCAACATAAAAATTATTACTACTTTTGCTGTAAATTTTCCTGTAAATTTTACAAAATATGCAAAAACTGACATTTCAAGAGCTGAGATAATTTAGGTTTATTAAAAAGTTGAGACCTTGAGATTGAGCCAAATAGAGTATATTTCTTTATTTAGCTTTTAGTTGTGTAGGTCTTGTTCTTTTTTTCAGCTCCTAGTTTATAATTCATAGGGCAGAGCTGGGCGCAACTGGGCTTTGACCACTTAATCCAGCTTTACCCGTAGATTTTTCCTGTGTCTCAGGCAGCAGATACAACTTCTCTAAATCCCAGATTTCTTATCAGAGCATGCAACAATTATGAGCTGCCTCAAAAAGTTGACAGAAAAGCATTTCATGTCTAGAAAGCACTCTAAAATGCTTCTTAGACATAAACTGTTGCCACTGTCTTTATAGAGCACTATTCCTAAGGAGGCTTTTCTCACTATTCCATCTTCTCATCCTCTCTTCGCCTCATCCCACACACATGCACGCATGTGCACGCACACACACACACACTTTCTCTTCAGTGCCACAGTGGGGTCACACACCACCAAGGCCGTGCTGCCTTGGATCTCCCCCAATAGAACCTTCATCAAAATCACGCCTCTCACGTGAGACAGTTCAAAAGCATCTCTTCTAAAGCTGCTGCTCTCATCTGTCACATGCAGATAATCTGTCTTTTCACATGAGAGACACCATTGTCACAGCTGGGATAAACCAAGTGTATTTGCTAGCTCTTGAGAACCCATGGCCATGGTGTGTGAGCTATGAATGACTTTATTATAATAAACGTGGCTCCTTACTTGTGCCCCTGTCCTCAGAAGTAGGAAGTCATATGGAATTTCAGTAGAAATTGTCATCAGAAACCAGTCTCTTTCTGGGTTGCCCTGTCTCCTTCTCTTGGACTCTCCATACCACATGCTCTTGAAATAAAGCTTGAAGACTAGTTTTGATTTTAAATATCAGCTTCACTGAGGCAAAACCGACCTTAACACTCCCCGCTTACACCGGTTGTCCTGGGTATAATTAACGTTGCCCCTGTATGTTTAGGCAATTACTGTTGCAACATGTGGTACGGTGCCATACTCCTGCCTCATTCAGGGCACGATGCCGTGATTGGCTCCACAGCTCACGTGAAGCTTGTGTCTTCACCCAGCTGGAAGCACCCATGCTGTGGTCTCTAATGTACCCTCTAAGTGTTTTACTGTGCAGTTCTCCATATAGAAAACAATGATTTCTCACAATGCCTGCATTACCCACCCTTTCTACAAGTTTGGTAGTTCCTCCCTTACTGGGTCAGGGGCTCCAGGACCCCAGCGCTAAAACAGGTTTCACTTCTCTGGGAAGCTTCATTTTTCCTCATCAATTGCAAACATGATCTTGCTGAACAGAGCTGAATTTTTAAGGCTGAGTTTGTGGTGTGGTTCTGATGGCTTCACGTTAGTTCAAGTCTCTGAGGACCAGTGCCAATAAATGTGAAAGGAACAACAGTAGATTGGTATACTTTTCCATTTCCACCAGGATGAAAAAAACTGCTATAAATTAAGTCTAACCTTAAATGTATAATCTGTCCTTGGGAGGAAAAAAAAAAAAAGGATATAGCATCTTCAAGCTCTCGGCATCCCTTACGAGAAAAAATTGGTTCTAAGGGTCTCTGATCTTGTGTTTTAGTAAAATAGAACTGCACGGCTGACTGACAGTTCTGATCTAAAGCATTTACGTTTAAGTTTTGATCTCTCTGCTTTTGATTAAAACTAATGAGCTCATTTAATTCAAAATGGGAATCTCTGATAAGAGAAATAAGGTTGATGTGATTGGATTAGAGGGGCAAATTAAACTCTTAGAGCAGAAGTTTGTGCTTATATAGTGTATTAAAAAGCTGTTGGCGTATTATGGCGTGTTAGATGATGAGAAAAATTTCATAGTAATTCATATTTAATCAGAAGAAATGAAAGTACTAAATATAACATGGCTCTGCTTTTCCCTCGAGTGATAAAAAGCTGTACATTTAAAATGACATCAGATTCATGCTCTCTAAAACAAAAAAAAAGAGGAAAACCTTAAGAGAGACACATAAGAAAGGGACACTTGTCAGTGATTCCATCACCCCAGAATAGAAATGCCACAAAAATAGGAAAACATAGTCATGTTAAGATAAAAATGATAGAAGAAAAGCCCCAGACCACAGATAGCAAGGTTTCTGTTATTACAGTAGCTCTCATTCTTCTTTCATCTGAGCACCAAGTTTAATATGAAAAAGAGATTACTCACCCTTAGAAATATATGGAATGCATTTCATACTTCAAATTTAAAACTTGTTTTGCCCATTTTTTTCTCTTGTTAATAACTGTTTTCACATATACTTAATTCTTAAATCTCTTTATTACACATATTTCTTTGCCCTTACTCCAGAGAAAATTAGCGTTAGCATACGACTACTCGAAAGAAATCCTGTTTCTTGGACAATTTTTTTTTTACTTTTGAATAAGAAAAACTTAAGAAGAGTATAAATTAGAGTATTTGTTAGGCTTAAAAACCCCAAAATTAATTTCTTTGCCAGAAAACACTTAAATTTATAAAATACCTTGGAAGCTTGTTTTTAAAGAAAATAGATTTTTACGTTGCCTTCTGACCTGTTTGCATAAAGGTGTTTTTACATCAGCAAGACGGCAAACTACCATTTTAAGTTTCATAAGCAAAAACATTCTACTTAGTCTAAAAGTACATAAAAGGAAAGAGTGACTATCTTGTTTAAGAGAGAAAATCATTATTTCCTCATATCAGAAGCAGAGAGGTGGAAAAACAGACTGTTTCCTGTTTGGAGGGTTGGGGTTGAAAGCTGCTGTAAAGTGACAGGAATGGAAAGTTGGTATCGTGAGTAGTTTCTGTTTCTGTCTATACATCCCATTCTTATCCCTCCATGTCTTATTTATGCTTCTTACTCCCCATGATGAAGAAAACCAGCTCCGAGGGGTGAGGACATTGGTCAGGACATGACTCTTCCACCTTGATAGTAGATCCCAAACTCCCAGTAGGCAAATGGCACAAGAATGGATTATCGGGGAGAACAAAGAGCAAGCCTTCCTTACCCTTTATCAGAAGCATCTCTGCCTGTACCTTAGTTGACCTCATAAATCTACGGGTCCTTGTCTTTCATGACAGTTCTCTCCATGTGCACCAGCCCAGCCTCAAGTAAACTGCAGTTACTTATGACGAGACCCCACTTAGGCAGCTGCTGGAAGTAAAAAGGCCTGAAAAGCTCTTGTTAGAAACTGGAACGAGGTGACTCTAGATACATTAATTTTTCTTTTTTATTTTCCGCAAAGTAAACATTTTCTAAATGAGGTAAATTGATTACTACTGCTCTTAGCACCCATCAGTCATTTATTTTTAGTGAACTCAAGGATTGCACCTGAGCTGTAGCTGTGAGGGGCTGTGTCAAGATCTAAATCGTGTGTGTCTGTATTTTTGTATTCCTCAGTGGAGTCAACCAGCCCCAGTCTGCTAACCACTGACAACACTCTTGAGCGTTCCTTTTTCATCCGAATGAAATCTACTCTGACCAAACGCGGTGTGCACATCAAATCATCAGGATATAAGGTAAGCCGGTTCCGGGAGGGGAGACATTGCTGTCTCAGGCCAGTCCTAGGTAATTTGCATTGAATTTTCCAGCTGCTTTAGGTCCATATAATGAATACATGTGATCTTGAGGAGCCCATAGGATTCCCAGTCATCTTCCTGTCTCAAGGCAGGAGCTTCTTTACACCTCTCCTTCTCACTTCAGACATTGCTGGTGCACTAAAAACCCCAATATAGTGTCTTTTCTTAACACATTGATTAAAAATATGCCAAGTGCTTCAGCACCTGCTGGAAATTCACTTTAATGGAGAAGGTGAGCCAATTTCATATCAGTCCTCAAGACGAGTGCTCTAGGACTGCTACTTAGGAGAGTTCCACTTCTCTCGCTTTCCCCTTCAAATTCTCCCTTTCTCTTTACAGAAAGGCTGTCCGTTTTAATAACATCTTAGCCACCGAGATTTGTACACATAGACGAGAAAATCAGTTGGGATATTAGAAACCTGAATTTCAAAACTGTATTTATGGAACGTGCAGTCACACCTTAGCATTCATAGAATACTCGATATACGTAAGTTCCTCACAAGCAAAGACCAAGTCCACAGTCAAAATCTACATTATCATCATTTTAAGGTTAAGGATATAAAAGCCTTCAAATCTCAGGAAATTCCAATGTTTCAGTTACTATAGCAACGTAAATTAAGACCTATGAAATTCATGAAATGCCTTTGGCAACCGGAATCTTATCAATTTTACAACACACTAACCAATCTCAAACAATATTGATTATCTGTGGGAGGGCAAACGGAAATGGCATGTGCCATCAATGTGGCCAGCCGTTGTGACCTTCCCCAGCTTTAGAATTTAGAACTTCTGATAGTTCAGTTCTTTAAGGCGACTGCTGTGTTATCGCGGATGGTAACAGCCAGTATCATTAGGCCTTCAAAACCTTACCTAAGCCATCAGGAGACTAGCAGCTGTATAGAAGTCAGAGTCAGGCACTTTCTTTGATATTAATTCTTCAGAAAAACAAGAGAGGTGGGAAAGCAGATCCTTCCAAGAAAGACCTTTAGCTGAGCTGTCCTGGAGTCTAAAAGGCACAAGTGGAGCCTCCTTAACCTTTAGCAGGTGCGATGCAGAGGAGAGGCAAGTGGGCAGCTCCACCTGCTCTAGCTCTACCCGATAGAGGCTTCTTACAAAGGAGTGTGTTCAGGGAAAGAAAACAGACCCTATCCTTAGGACCATTTTCTATTGCCCTGCCTTGCTGCATTCATTAGCTAACTATGTAGCCTTAGCAAGTTTGGAGTTCTATAAGCAGACCACAGATGTTGAGATTCTTGTTATTTTAATGCTAGAAAGACACATTCTTTGCATTTCAGATTTTAGGAACCATGGGGCTTCCTTTCTGTTTTCTGTCTCTCGGCATTCTTTCTTCACCTTTATTCATTTTTACTGGTTTGGAGGGGCACATCCCAGGAGGGAAGAAGGGTGCCAGGAGTGAGATATAGTTTCAAAAAGCAATATTAAGTATAATTCAATATTATTTGATAATTTAATGTTGATTAAAATTTTTTTCATACCACAAACTAGAGATCATAAAGTAATGATAGCTAAAATTAATAACAGCCAGTATTTAAGAACACGGCAATATGCTGGGCATGATATAGTTCACATGTGTTAGCCCTTACAACATTCCTAAAGTGTTTTTGTTTCCATTTTACAGACAAAGAAACTAAGGATAGAAAACTAATTAGCATTCTCAATGTCACACGTTGAAGGTGCAGAGCCAGGGTTTGAACCTGGGGAGTCCAGCTCCATACCACATGCACTTCACCACTAGGCTATACTGCTATGCAGATAGCAAAGAAAGTGTGAGGGGGTGGCTGATGAGGGCAGGAGGCCACTTTAAATAGGAAGATTATAAAAGGTCACGCTGAGGAGGCGGGATGTCACCTATGAGTGGTAAATGAGAAGGGACCATCATGCAAACAAATGGAAGAAAGATGTTTCTGAAGCAACTTGGGCTTAGGATTAAAGATGCTTTGCAGTAAGAATGGGCCTTCCAGAAACAAAAGACGTAAAAGTGCAACCTTGAACATCCAGGATTGGAAAAGATTTAGGAGCTATTCCAGATCCCATCGAATCATGCAATGTTAAAGTGACCATACTCCCCTGACATACCCTGTCAGCAGGTCTTTCTCAAGATACCATGAGAGTCTCCAGCCGATGCCCTACTCTCTTCCCCAGAACTACTACCAACAAAAGTTGATTCATCCTCTGTTCCCCAGTAAGATGAATCATCCAGCAGATCCAGCTCTTCCTCTCCTCCTCCTCATCTGCAGTGAACTTCCCTCATTAATTAACTTTGTCTGAAAGTTAGTGGAAGAGCTGAGGAGAGCCCATGGCATGACACAGCTGAATAACATCCCTATTTATCTGTTCATTCTCAGTGAGTAAATCTAGCAGCTTATAAAACATTCCAATAAAACTGGTAATCACCCCACCACCACACAATAAACACAAATAAAAAGAAACAGTGATAATCATTTCTCTGTACTCCCAATATTCCCCCTAATTTATGACCATTGTATGCATCTTTTCCCATAAAGATCCTAAGATGTCAAGCTTTGCTCAGTGCAGGCCACTATATTTCTGTCCGTTTTTCTTGTGATCTTGGCACATGGACCTTTGTAACTTTCTCCATCACTTTATCTGTTGTTGTCGTCATAGGAACAAAAGTACCACTTACTGAACATTGACTGCGTGGCAGCCACTGTGCCACATGCTTCACAGTTATTTAATCCACACAACAGGATTATTTGAAATCCTCCTCTATGCCAGGCATGGTCCAAATGTTATATTCTATTATTATGCCCATTTTGCAGGTGATGAAACTGAGGTCTTAATAGGTGAAATACTTTGCCCATTTTCATACAGCCCTTAAGTAGCTACTGAAGCACCAGAATCGAATCCTCCAAGGCTGTCCGCTTGGCCCCTCTGCTTCACTGCTTAAAGGATTAAGTCCCAAGAATGGCTCAGCATGAGCTGACCTCAACATATGAAAAAGTAATTAACTTAAATTTTTAAAAGAAAAACTTCTTGCCTGATTGAGACCTTCCCTCTGGGGCTCACCGTATCCCACTGCACTAGTGTATCGGTGCTTGGTGATCCCAATGCCCCCAAGGAGTTACAGAGATGTACTTCTTTTCCAGGACTCCATGCCTACTCACATTCCCCATCACCAAGAATTCTAGCCAAGGAAATACCAACCTGCATCTGCTAATGTGAGTTGCTGTTGCAGTGTCTGCCACACCCCCTTCCTCAGGAAAGTCGCCCTCTCTCCAGTGAAGTTTCCCAAATATGAGCTGACATTCAGTTGTTTCTGTCCTCATTTGCTTTGAAATCCACAGTAGCATGTTATCCGGACCAGCCACTTTTTATGCCTCAGGGGCTTCCCTGTTGTTTAGGCCTCACTGTTAGTCACATAGCATAGCACAGCTCTCATTTAAATTGCACTGCACATAGATTCTGCCTTCTTGATTAGGTCTATGTCTGGGGGAACTTGCTAGGTATAGCGCATGGGGTAAAAGAAGATATGTAATCAGGGAAATTAGAGAAGGGAAGACTAATTGGGTCGCCTCCTTAGCTCCGTCTTTGGAGGATAGTTTCCTTTGGCATGGGACTTTCAGTTTTCTGATCTCTTCTGAAATGCCTACCAGCTCCACTGTCATTTCCGAAGTATTTATCCACACACATTATGATGTCCTCATTCTAATGGCACAGTAGACAGCCTAGACTGGCAAACGTAGGCAAACGGAGAAAAGCTGTCATGTTTATATAATGCTCGGAGTGTCTTCAAACTCTTCACAGTGGTGAAATCTTCAGATACTGGAGTTCCTGCTATGACATACGCAAACATATTACTAAGGGAGGGAGGATGCAAGAACTCAAGATTCTTCAAAATAGTCCCCCATCTGGGATGATTTGGGCATGGATTTACCTGTAGCTAGGTACTAAACTAAATGACTTCTGAAATCCTACCCAGCCTCCTTTATGATATAAAGAATTCTAAAGAAATAATAATTGGTAGTTTCACTAGTTTATTAGGATCGCTCATATACTCTAGCTTTAAGAATATCTGCATCTAAACATGAAGTTACAAAATTAACGAGAAGGTGCTAATTAGCTAAGGAAAATTATTTTGCCTTCTCTAAGCCCAAACATAGGTGTCTCTTAAATTAGAAACTTCTCTTGTTACTAGAACTTCATAGTTGCATATGCTCTGTGGAATAAGGTGCACATGAAATTTTAACAGATTTGTTTTATTTGGAGTATCATAGAGCCCTTTAAAGATTTGATAAAATCTATAGAGCCTCTCCCAAGGTAAGTTCATTTTGCATCATTTTATCCATTGATTGCAGGTTACAAAACCCTATTTAACAGTATGATATCTTCAGCACTTATTAAGAAACCAAGTTAGTGCATCTTCCAGAACATATTCCGTCAGTATCACAATAGTCCTTTCCTTCCTCCTCATTTCTCCCTCCCATTTATCCATCCAGTGTTGATACATATTGAAGTCCTATACCTTTCTGCCACACTTTCACCTGGAAAACTCTTACTCAACCAGTATGGCCCCACTCAAATATCACTTATTTTTTCATTTCCCCTAATGCATATAAGTAAAGTTATCCCTTCTCTTCTGTGCTAAATAGCATTTTGAGATTTTACTTACATTCTCTGTGCCTCATTTTCTTACCTGTAAAATGAAGCTATTAATAGTACCTAAACCAAAGAATTTTCCTACAGATAAAGTGAGATAACACAGGCTCAGCTAGGCATCTTTTTTCCATTTTATGATGTACTTTCATATAATATCATCTGAACTTCACAATAATCATTTTAGAAAATTATCTGTTTCCTCAATTTTGAAGATAAGTAAAATGGAGGCATAGAAATACAAATTGACTTATCTAAAGTCAGATAAATGGTAAATGGCAAGACTGAGAAATATCCAGATCTTCTGATTTCAAAAGCCTTCTTTCCAATACCCAACATTGGATACTAGGTACTTTGTTATCCTGTTTTCTTCCCTCAGCACCTAGCACAGTATGCTGCACATAGTTGTCACTCAATAAATGTTGATTTAATTGAATTGCATGCTCTCTTTCCGATATACCAATGAAAACTGTTGACAGTACCAAGCCCTATGGCATACCACTAGAGATCCTGCTAGTTGACATCAGTGTCTTTTACATGTGACTGTTGGAATAGCTATGAACCCAAACGATTGTACCGTGATCTGGCTCACATTTCTCCATTTTGCCTACAAGGATATTGCAAATCTTTATCGGTGCTTTACTAAAACTGAAACATACTGGGTCCATAGTGTTCCTTTTAGCCATCAGTTGAAGATTCCATTCAGAAAATGAGAAATGAGTCATGTTAGCATCACTTATTTATCATGACTTCATGCTAGCCTGTGGTGATCACAATTTTTTGTTAAAATATCTTTCGATAATTTTTTTTTCTGAATATAAACATTTCGGGCCTCTCTCTTTCTGAAAATTAGGATAATACTTGCCAATATCCTGTCTTCTGGAAAAACTCCATGATTTCTCAGGGATTGCTAAGAATATGTGACATATTATAATAAGAATGCTGATTCTTATGGAGTTTTAATTATACCAGGAAAAGTATAGCCTGGAGGTATGCCCAGCACTAATGTAGGGAGCAATGTGGTAGTGGTCCTTCTCTGGACATTTCTAAGAGCATACACTGAACTCATCAGCTAGGAGTCTCCTCCTGCTCCCAGACAAGTGTGGATGGACTAGATGCCACCTGGATGTTTCTTCCTTATCTGAGATTCAGAGTTGTTCCAGGTGTCCAGACATACCAATGCTTCTCCTAAAGCCTTTTGCTTCAGCTTTGTGTTGTCGTGAAATGATGACTACGGCATTCCAAGTTGTGCAAAATGTAACTGTCTTGTCAAATCAATAGGTGAATTTTCAGAGACCAAAAATTCTGTCAACCCATTCAGAGTTTCTAAGGCTATGCATTTATTGCCTTTCAATCAACCCAGACACCCAAGATAAATTGAAGGAGAAAAAATTTCCAGGGTGGAACTTACAGGCAGAGGTTATCCTGATGAAAAATGCAAATAGAGGAGAGAACCAATAAAATCAAATTTTTTAAATCCTTTTACCTCGTTTTAGTCTCTGCTGACCTCTGCACAATTGTCCATTACAACGTGGTTTCCAGTGTCATTTTAAATACAGCCGGCATTGTTTCTGATCTTAAAGAATTTATTTCCCATTACCAAGGCATGACAGTAGTTCCAGCTTGGGATATGTCATTTCTGCTGGGACTAATCAGCTAGCTATTTTACCAACTAGAGGCATAATCACTAGCCATTCTGGGAAGTGTCTTTAAATTCTAAGTATGTCAGTGACTGCAGCCCAAGTATGTTGCTAACTTAAAGATCCTTCATTTTCCGCTACAGAGATTTCAGGAAGCAGGTAGGGGAGGTAACAGCATCTCTTCTCTGACTAATGCTGTATCTTTTCAGATCAGTTTTCTGAGCCTTTGCTAGCTATGAATAACAAAAGTGATGATCACTTTGAAAATGACACACATATGTATATGTATGTACATATACATACATAAAAAAGTAACAAACTTTCCTATATATAATGTCTTTTAACCAACTATTGCTCCTAAAAGTTATTGTTAATGCCTCTGTAAATACCTTCTCAACCTAATAGATTTATTTATATAATTATCACTATTATGAGACTTTGGCCTATTACAATGAGTTGTAAAGCAGACCTAAGAACTAAAAAACAAACGCAAGCACAGGTCATTTTTCTTCAGGCTTTGCACTCTTTAACATGCTGAGATGCCCTAACAATAGCTGCAGACACCCCACATTTCTGTTTCACTAAAGTAATCTCTTGACCTGGTGGTCTGAAATAGCAGTTACTAAACTCTTTACAGAAATCGAAGGTTTCCAGATACAGGCATATCTTGGAGATACTGTGGGTTTGGTTCCGACCACGACAATAAAACAAACGTGGGAATAAATGAGTCACATGAATTTTTTGGTTTCCCAGTGCAGATAAAAGTTAGGTTTATACTGTAGTCTATTAAGTGTACAACAGCATTATTTCTAAAAATGAATGTGCATATCTTAATTTAACAATAATTTATTGCTAAGAACTGCTAACAATCATCTGAGCCTTCAGCAAAGTTTTTGCTGGTAGAGGGTCTTGGCTCCATGTGGATGGCTGCTGACTGATCAGGGTGGTGGTTGCTGAAGGTTGGGGTGGCTGTGGCAGGTTTTATAAATAAGACAACAATGAAGTTTGTCACGTAGATTGATTCTTCCTTTCATGAAGATTTCTCTGTAACATGCAATGATGTTTGATAATATTTTTCCTACAGTAGAACTTTCAAAACTGAAGTCAAGCTTTTCAAACCCTTATCAATTAACTTTATAGAATATTCTAAATCCTTTGTTATTTCAGCAATGGCCATGGCATCTTCACCAAGAGTAAGTTCCATCTCAAGAAACCACTTTCTTTGTTCATCCATAAGAAGCAGCTACTCATCCATTTAAGTTTCATCACGAGACTACAGCAATTCAGTCACATCCTCAAGCTCTACTTCTGATTCTAATTCTCTTGCCATTTCCTTCATATATGCAGTTCTTCCCTCCACTGAAGTCTTGAGCACCTCAAAGTCATCCATAAGGGTTAGAATACACTTCAAACTCCTGTTCATGTGACCTCTTCCCATGAATCACAAATGTTCTTAATGGCATTTTGAATGGTGAATGCTTTCCAGAGGGTTTTCAATTTTCTTTGCCCAGATTCATCAGAGGAAGCACTATCTATGGCAGCTATAGCCTTACAAAACATGGTTTCTAAGTAATAAGACTTGAAAGTCAAAATTACTCTTTAATCTATGGGTTGCAGTATGGATATTGTGTTAGCAGGCATGTTTACAACACTGACCCCCCTGTATGTTGCCATTAGAGTTCTTGGATGACTAGGTGCATTGTCAGTGAACAGTAATATTTTGAAAGGAGTATTTTTTTCTGAACAGTAGGTCTCAACAGTGGGCTTAAAATATTCAGTAAACCATGATAATATACAGATGTGCTGTCATCCAGGCTTTATTGTTCTATTTCTAAAGCATAGACAGACTAGATTTAGCATAATTCTTAAAAGCATAATTCTTAAGAGCCCTAGGATTTCCAGAATAAGTGAGCATTGGCTTCAACTTAAAGTCACCAGCTTCATTAGCTCCTTACAAGAAAATCCACCTATCCTTTAAAGCTAAACATTGATGACTTCTCTCTAGCTATGAAAATCCTAGATGGCATCTTCTTCCAACAGAAGGCTGTTTTGTATCCATTAACAATCTGTTGTTTAATGTAGTTACCTTCATCAATGATCTTAGCTAGATCTTCTGAAGAATTTGCTGCAGCTTCTACACCAGCACTTGCTTCATCTTGCACTTTTATGTTATGGAGATGGCTTCTTTCCTCAAACCTCATGAATCAGCCTCTGCTAGCTTCCACTGTTTCTTCTGCAACTTCTTCATATCTCTCAGCCTTCATAGAATTGAAGAGAGATAAAAGGTCTTGCTCTGGATTAGGCTTTGGCATTATGGCTGGTTTGGTCTTCTATCCAGAACACTAGAACTTTCTCCCTAACAGCAGTAAGGCTGTTTTACTTTCTTATCATTTGTTTGTTCACTAGAGTAGCACTTTTATTTTCTTTCAAGAACTTTTCCTTTGCATTCACTGGTTGGCTAACTGGCACCAAGAGGCTTTTGGCCAATCTCAGCTTTCAATATGCCTTATTCACTAAGCTTCATCATTTCTAGCTTTTGATTTAAAGTTAGAGATGTGCAACTCTTCCTTTCACATGAACACTTAAAGGCCATGCTAGGGTTATTAATTAGCCTAATTTCAATATTGTTATGTCACAGGGAATAAGGAGGCCTGAGGAGAGGGAGAGAGACTGGGGAACAGCTGGTCATTGGAGCAGTCAGAACACACACAACATTTATCAATTAAGTTCACCTCTTATTTGGACCATGATTTGTGGCACCCCAAAACAATTATAACAGTAATATCAAAGATCGCTGATCACAGATCACTATAACAGGTATACTAATAATGAACTTTGGGCCAGGCATGGTGGCTCACACCTGTAATCCCGGCATTCTGGGAGGCGAAGGTGGGAGGATCGCTTGAGCTCAGGAGTTCAAGACCAGCCTGAGCAACATGGCGAAACCTTGTCTCTACCAAATATACAAAAAAATTAGCCAGGCATAGTGGTGCCTGCCTGTGGTCTCAGCTACTCAGGAGGCTGAGGCAGGAGGACTGCTTGAGCCCAGGAGGCAGAAGTTGCAGTGTGCTGAGATTGCGCCACTGCACTCCAGCCTGGACAACAGAGTGAGACCCCATCCCAAAAAAGCAAATAATAATAATAATAATAATGAAGTTTGAAATATTGTAAGAATTACCAAAATGTGATGCAGAGATGAAGTGAGCACATGCTATTGGAAAAATGGCAGCAATGAACTTGTTTGAAGCAGGGTTGCCACAAATCTTCAATTTGTATAAAGCACAGTATCTAGACCGTGTGCAGTGGCTCACACCTGTAATCCCAGCACTTTGGGAGGCTGAGGCAAGAGGATTGCTTGAGCCCAGGCATTCAAGACCAATCTGGGCAAAACAGCAAGACCCCCTCTCTACAAAAATACAAAAATAAAAATACTTAGCCAGGCATGGTGGCACACTCCTATAGTCCTAGCTACTTAAGAGGCTGAGGCAGGAGGATCGCTCAAGCCCAGGAGTTCGAGGCTGCAGTGAGCCATGACCGTGCCACTGCACTCCAGCCTAGGTGACAGAGCCAGACCAGAGAAGAACCACAGTATCTGGGAAGTGCAATAATGTGAAACACGATAAAACAGGAAACAAGGAATGTATGTTACCGTTTGACCTTTATTATCTCAAAATTACTCTACTGAAGAGTGATAACCAGAGCAGCTGTGACATCAGACAGCTGAGGATTTGGACTTAGTCCTGCATTCCTGGGTCTGTGACTTTTATTTAACTTCTTTAAGCATCTGGATTTTTTATTGTAAAATGAGAGTACCAATACAACCGTCTTCATAAGGCTATTGTGAAATAAAATGAGATGAAGGTAAAGTGCTTACCACAATGCCTGGCCCATAGTGAACACATACAATCCATGTCTACATGTGAAATTTCATGTATAGAGGTGAATCTAGACTATACAAAACCTTAATTTCTACACCTCTGCAGATGCACCTGTACCTATGAAAAGTAGTAATTCATCAGTAATATTTCAGATTATCTCCTGGAAGTTATATGAGCTCTAGAATAATAAATGATTTCTTCCAAATATAGAAAATGCATTTATTTCTGGGAAATTTCTTCTTGCTTAAGTGTCCTGAATATTGATTTGATTATAAGGGACAAAATATGACTGAAATACGTCATCTGTTCCTTTAACAAAAGAAGCACATACCAAATGGTTTTCTTTGGGATTGATTTAGCATCATGGGAAGACTAATATAGCCCTTAATGCAAGAAATGAAGTAGGGAAAGGACCAATTTGAGGTTGTTGATCTCTGGAATAAATGGAGTTTCTAAGCCTCCTATATAGCCCGTAAGTCTCCATTGTTTGATTAGAGCATCTATATCCCAGAAACTGAACCTGCGGGGAAGGCAAACTGCCCCTGTGGCTTGAACCCTGCTGCACCTGAGAGGTAGTATGCAACATTCCTTAGGGGATTCTATTGACTCATTCTTTTTTATTTTATTTTATTTATTTATTTATTTATTTATTTATTTTTTTGAGATGGAGTCTTTCTCTGTTGCCCAGGCTGGAGTGCAGTGGCACGATCTCAGCTCACTGCAACCTCTGCTTCCCGGGTTCAAGCGATTCTCCTGCCTCAGCCTCCTGAGTAGCTGGGATTACAGATGCCTGCCACCATGCCCGGCTAGTTTTTGTGTTTTTAGTAGAGATGGGGTTTCACCATGTTGGCCAGGCTGGTCTCAAACTCCTGACCTCATGATCCGCCCACCTCGGCCTCCCAAAGTGCTAGGATTACAGACGTGAGCCACCACACCCGGCCCTCTACTGACTCATTCTTTTTTTTTTTTTATGATGTATTTATTAATAAACTTATAGTTAAATATATTTGTAACACTATTATTCTAAATAAGATTTAAGACTGTTTATATGTGTAAGATGCTTTACAAAATATGGTTGCACACAGCAACTCTGTGAGACATGTATTATCACTCTCATTCTGCAAGAGAAATTACCGAGAATTAGAAAGGTTAAGTAACTGGTGTAAGAATAAACAGTAGGTGAAAAAACATATATTTCTTTTTTTATTATTATTATACTTTAAGTTTTAGGGTACATGTGCACATTGTGCAGGTTAGTTACATATGTATACATGTGCCATGCCGGTGTGCTGCACCCACTAACTCGTCATCTAGCATTAGGTATATCTCCCAATGCTATCCCTCCCCCGTCCCCCCACCCCACCACAGTCCCCAGAGTGTGATATTCCCCTTCCTGTGTCCATGTGATCTCATTGTTCAATTCCCACCTATGAGTGAGAATATGCAGTGTTTGGTTTTTTGTTCCATTGTGGAAGTCAGTGTGGCAATTCCTCAGGGATCTAGAACTAGAAATACCATTTGACCCAGCCATCCCATTACTGGGTATATACCCAAATGACTATAAATCATGCTGCTATAAAGACACATGCACACGTATGTTTACTGCAGCATTATTCACAATAGCAAAGACTTGGAACCAACCCAAATGTCCAACAATGATAGACTGGATTAAGAAAATGTGGCACATAGACACCACGGAATACTAGGCAGCCATAAAAAATGATGAGTTCATGTCCTTTGTAGGGACATGGATGAAATTGGAAATCATCATTCTCAGTAAACTATCGCAAGAACAAAAAACCAAACACTGCATATTCTACTGACTCATTCTAAGTAAAAGAAGAGAGCCAGGAATCTGGAGCTGATAGCTCCGTTGTAGTGACTTTCCAGGGCACAAGGGACCAATTTTATCTGTCCCATCCCTCTAGGGATGCCCCCCATCCCACCATCAAATGAAAAGAGTGACCTCATCACAATGTGATTTGAGTAATAAGACTCTTACAAACAAAAGAATCATCTGTGTAATCAAATTCTCAATCATCTGTAGTTACATCTAGGGAAGAAGCTTTGGGCTGCTGCCTGGGCAGGTGTGTGTCTTTTATTTGAACTACCAGTGAGCAATGGATATCTCTAAGTGGCCATGTTGGAAACATCACCTTTGGCTCATAGTTGGGCAATTGTCTATGGAAACAAAAGTTATCCCTTGACTTACAGCAGCATTTACATATCCCTTCTATCAGGGCTTTCACATCTGCTTTTTATTCTCTCTAAAGTATATATTGTCCTGAGATATTCCCATGGGTCACACCTGCATTTCACTTCGATTTCTGCTGAAACATCACTTTCCTCACCTCCCCATCTACAATATATCAAGTGTTCCTTCTGCACCCCATCATCTGCTTTATCCTGCTCCTTACTGTTCTTCATCACACTTAACACAACCTGACACTGTTTTATACATGTATTTGTACATAGTTTTCCTCTCCTACTACAGTATAACAGGAAATTCCTAGAACAGTTTCAGGCACACAGTAGAAATTCAATATAAACATTTGTTTTTTAAAAAATGAATTAATTTATAAATATTAGACATGATTTGTACTAAGCCAGAACATATTTCTTCCTTGGGTCAGTGTTCTACATCTTCCTTGAGTCAGTGTTCTAGTCCCTTTAAAAGAAGTTTAGAGATGAGAATATGTAGCCAATGGAATTATACAAGTTTTTTAGTATTGGGGCCCTGATGATAAGGATAAGATGATACTATAACTTTTCTTTTTAAAAAGCCTATACTAATGGTTGACACATTCTATGACATATTTTTCATGCTATCATATTCAGTTTTTTAAAAATCAACGTGTATTTAACTTGTACCCCACTTGTACCCAATTCTAGGGGCTAGAGCTCTGGAAGTACAGTCAAGAGATACTTGATTATTACTTGGTAGTTTTGAATATATTTAACAGTCCTCAACAGCCCCTTGTCAAATGTCCTTCAAACTCATGATTCCTTGTAGAAGTCATGAAAAACAGAGTGCCTTAATAGGGGCACACCTGGTGGGGAGAGTCAAAAAATTTCATCCCACTACCAGCACTTTGCTTCTTACTTGCTCTGCAATGTCGGACAAACAGCCTGATTATCTGGGCCTCTATTTCCTTGATGAAAACAAAGCGAACAATTGACTTTGATGTTCATTCGTCATTGATGGTTGGCTGACAGTACCTACCCTTGAGCTTCACCCTGTGCATTAGTGCTTTAGCCCCTTTGAGACATTCTGGGTAAAATGGAATAGAGGATTGGCCTTCCCAGGAACAGCCCCTGATTTCTGGGAAGAGGGGAATTAAAGTCTGCCCAGAAGTTCCCAAAGGGTCATTCAGAGTCACCAAGAACTGTCATATTGCCTCGTGGTCAAGGCTAGTTTGAGAATCTGAAATATTCTAGGAAACATTTAACCAAATGAACGCCATGAGGGAAAAGAGGTCTGGGAAGGATTTTGTAATTTTTAGGGAGGGGTCAGTGAACTTTTGCACCTTGTTCTTAGAGAGACTATGGATGGACTAAAACCAACCAGTCTCAGAAATTAATCTATATCCTCAACTGAAGACAAAAAGTAATAGTGATTAGAGAGAAATACTCCTTTGCCTCATTCCATAAACAGTGGCAAATTTCTTTTCCTCACTAACTTTAAACACAATATAGATTCACCCCTCTGTTTATGCCAAATAACACACAGCATCATGTTCTTTTTAAAGTTATCTATCTTCTTTAATTATTTGCAGTTGGCTTATTGGTGAATACCTAGGCCAGTGTTGTCTGAAATGGGTGTACGTTTCCAGTTTTAGGGACCTGAAATGTTTAACCTGCCTAGAATAGCCCCATAGGCAGTTGAGTCTTGGGTAAATGCTCTTCTGTGATGAGTGAAATTAACAATATTATAATTGTCAAACTCCTCAAAGAAAAATATAATAGGAATGTAAAATATTCTTGAATGTTTTATTATGAATTACTATCTTCTCTATGAAGTGTGTCTTTTCTTTATACTGAAATGATATAGAGAGTGATGCAATTTGCCCAACAACTCATAGTGGCCAGACCCCAAGCCCCTTGGCACAGCGGAGGACTGTTAAGCTCTGTGGATTTGATCTCTAGGACAAAAAGGTGGCACTGCGTAGCACCTCCAGGTTCTCATGCACTCCGAGAACCCTGAAGTAGACACAGATTGATGCAGAGCACTCAGTAAGTGAAAAAGGGAGTGAAGCCCAGAACCAACACACCATACCATCACTGTCCCACAGAGTGCTGACAGATTGCAAAGCCTAGAGAGGCCATTGTCCAATCTTCCTCTCCACACAGTGGTCCTCTTCTTGGGGAAAACATCAGTGGAGATGTGTCACAAGAGCCCAGGAAACACTTTGGCCCCCAAAGAATCTTTTCTCTCTTGGATTCATAAATCACACATCTTAATCATGCCATCCAGTCCTAAAAAATTTTTTAAGGATGGTACTCTGCTAGTGAAAATTCATAGGCACCTGCTCTTGATTTACTTCCTGCTTAGAAAAAAAATTTATACAGCTGTGATATTGCAGAGTGACTCCATTCAAAGTACCAAACAGTGAGGCGTTGTCAAGAAGGGATATGTTGGATGCTTGGGTTATGATGATTTCAGCTATTCCTTTTTTTTTTTTTCTTACAGCATCATTAGTACTCTGTCATTCTAATAATAATAATTCCCTTTTGACATCATAGAGGTAGAAGAAATCATCACTGACATCAAAAATGAGGTGATATTTCAGCAGTATTATTTCACTGAAGATAAAATGGAGAGATTTATTACTCCCCATGCTTTTAAAGAAAGCTGAACGAGGCATATGCTGACCCTAGAGCTTATCTACTTCAGTTCCTTCCAGACTGATATGAAATAACTAATTTTACGTATTCTAACTAGAGTTTTAGAATGTAGTTTTTTTCCCCAAAGCTTTGTTTACATCTACATAGTGGAAAGTTTTTTGAAAACATGCTTTCTCAGTTTGTAATAACCTGAGAAAACAAAAGAGAAGTCTAGTGTAACCAAGAATGATCTATAACTTTCATTCTTCAACACCACCCTTTGTTCAAAGTATTTAGGAATTGATTTCACTCAATCATGTGGTCAATACTGATTGTGTACCTGTTGTGTATTATACACTGTACTGGGTACTGGGAAGACAAAGATGGATAAAACAGAGTCCTTGATCCAGAGAGCAGAGTCTAGAGTTAGGCAGGCACACAAAGAAATGATAATGAGATAATGTGATATGTGCTATAATAGAGGTATGTTCCAAGGGCAACGGGATAAAGCAAATGATTCTGTCTGGTATAAAAGGAGAGGATCTCAAAGACAGCATCATGTTAACCAGCTCTTAAGGGATAGGCTCACCTACAGAGATATGAAGGAAGGGAACTCTAAACAGAGGGAATGGTATCAATAAAGAGATGAAGGCATCAAGTGTAGTGAGCAGAAAGAAATCTGGGTATCAGGAATAAAGATATCTAAGCTGAGCTGGCATATGTAGACAAGAGTAGGAACGTTCATGTGGTGTAATGCTAGCCCCATGGGCTAATCAGTGTTTGGGGTCACAAGGATGAAGATTAAGAGTGTTTCATGTCAACAAAATTTTTTGGAATCATTGTAAGAGAAAGAGCATTATTTTCTAACAAGAAGAACTTGAAGGTTGCTCTCAGCCTATTAGGTAAGGGAGTAAGTATATAGATTTAAACAAGTCATTAAATCATTCCTTTTGGAATTTTCTCCATTCGTTTTTCCTTCTACCATTCTGCCAACATGAGTGCAGGGACTTTTTCCCCTTAATCTCACATTGCTCATATAAATAGACATTTGGAGAAGAGCAATATGATCCTAGAACCAGTAACTCAAGGGAAAAAAAACTAAGACCTGTATGCATTGAAAGCTGGCATTGCAAAATGCATCAGAGATACAAAGCACTGCATAGACCTCAATCACTTAGCACTTGGTCTACACACCATTAGGTATCTAGATTATTGGAAATGTCTCTGTATTTGGTAAAATATAAGCAAAACCTACATTTCAGGCGCCCACAGTTTCCCTTGAATATACCATTTAGTAAAACCCCTGACCTTTCAAGATGATAATTATCTCTCATTAGAAAAATTTTATTTGTTCTTCAACTCACTTAATTCTGATTTTGGTTGACTATTCAGAATTTCTACTAATTATAGCAACCTTTGTAAACAGTGTTGTCTGAGTACCCAATCCCTTTGTCCCAGTAAGATCTGTGCATGTCACATCAGTTACAAGTGATCTGCGATTAAAACAACAGTTCTCAAGTGAACAGTAAGTGATGACATAAAATATGAGTTTCATAACCATGCAAATATTCAAAGTTATGTGTTTTTTAAAAAAATCAAATACAGTATATGACTACTAGATTTTCAATAGGAGCAAAATTTCACCCCTTTCTCTCCTTCTCCCCAAAAAATAAACCTTTATATTCCTGGATTGAATGATTACTTTTTAAAAAACATAATTTTCACAAAGAAAACAAAGAAAACCTCTCCCTTTCTTTCTAAATATTTTTGCAGCATCTGCATAGGCTTTACCTTTCTATAAAATATAATATGAAACTTTGGTGCTTTGTATTGCAGATCATAAGCTGAGTTGCTTTCAGCTGCTTCATTTTATTTTATTTTTTTTCTTTCTCAAACATCTTTTTCTTCTCCAGATAATCAGTGCTCTCAACTGCTCTCAAATGCACGTACTTCTGTCACCATAAAGCTAGTGTAACCCCATGGAGTACACTCCCAAGCCATGCAAGAGCCATTTAAGAGTAGATATTTTTGTTTAAGTCAGATCTCAGGATAGAAGGGGACATCATCCCCAATTGACTCTTGGCTCTTTTTCATGTGCAAAAGCTAAAAAAAAGAACTGGACCAAGTTGGGTTTGGGTGTTTGTTTGGGCTTTTTGCATGTACTAAAGCAACACAGAGCTGATGCACAATAAACAAACATGCATTATGGGTTGTTTTCAGTCACTTTATAGACATATGCATTCATAAATTTTGATACGGTTGTAAGAAGCTGACTTTGATGGGACCAAACTCACAGACGAGCTTTCGATCACTGGAGCAACCGCAGTCTAACTTTATGTTGACAATGTATCAGCCCTTCTCCGTCAAGGAAAATTGTTTTTTAGTGCTTGCCTATTAGCAATCACATGCATAATATGAAATTGAGTTTTGGGGAGGACGGCCTACCATCTGTCTTTCTGATATTTTTTTTCAATGTTTCGCGCTCAAGTTCAACTCTCTGTGTATCAGAATGCTGTAAAACAGGATTCACCCATAATATGGGCACTTAGCAAGAAAAATGGGCCAGATACCAATGTAATCTTTTAACTTACTGACTTTTAAAAAGGAAAATCATTGATGCCCCAATCTGTGCATTATCTTTTGAGTGCACTTCAAATTCTGCCTGCCTCTCAAAGCCAACTTTGGTACGGCTGATTCTTCTTAAAGAACAGTTCATTAGTGTGCTTCGAGAAGTGTTAAAACACTTTTACAAAAATAAAAATTCAAAGAGAAAGTGGAAAGCAATGTGAGGTTGGAAAATGGAGCTCTAAAGGATTGGTGTGAAGAATGAAAAAGATGTATTTAGTTTCCCTTCCATGTTCCAATATGCTAAGATTTTTATCAATAATATTGTTTTTCTGCAACAATACCTGCCTCAGGGAAAATCTGCTCTGTAGCTGTCAGGATTATACTTCTCAAAATATGCTTAAGATGATTCTGTTAAATTGATAAAAAAAAAAAAAAACGTACACTCCACAATGTAGAAGGATTGCTCAAAAGAACATTCCCAAGCCTTTCACGTGTAACTGCATTTGTGCGGCAGGGCATTTATTATGCTATAAATTCCATCACTGATTTTGGCCAGTTCAGATTGATTCTGCAGTAACTGTAAGTAATGAACCTTCCAGAGCCAAAGAGGGGAGGAAAAGAAGTAGCCAATACACTTGTGGCTGTGGGAATACAAATTGTAGGGTTCATTTAGTCACAGCTTTTAGCAGATCATGCAGCCAATACCCTACAAAGCAAGAAAATATATACCCAGAAAAATCTACAGGTTCCTTGATCTGACTTCAGCAGCTACAACAGGCAAACACTATGAGAACACTTCTTGGGGAAAGTAAGTGATCTATTTTTTCCTAAGCTTTTATTTCCCAAATTTGTTCCCTCTCATTTTTCCCTCCCACCAAAGTATGGGCAAATGTCCATGCTACAAGAGCAACAAAATATGGAGCTCTCTTTTCCTAAGTTAGCCATGCCTGAAGCTTGCCTCCCACAGTTCCCAGTGCCAGGGGCTTAAGGGACCCTCAGCACAGAAGAAGCTCCCAGGGGTTGAGATGTAGCAATCCTCTGTTCAGATGGTTGTAAAGAGGAAAATCAGTTTCCCTAGAGTGGTTGATGCCTGAGCCTATTAAGAAAATAAGGTAACCAGTGATATGAAAAGCAGGAGAAACATCCTCTTGGAGGTGCCCCGCGACCCCACTGGGGTGGCGGCTAGAGAAAGAATTGGGTGAAGGAAAGAAGCTGCATTACAGACAGACAGTGATCTGTACTTCAGTAAAGCATTGCTGTCTAATATTAGAGGGCTTTTTTCCCTGATATTCTTTAAAACTGAGCACTAAGGAAATAGGTGGGGTGTGAGGGATGGAATAAAGTGTGATTGGAATCCGGGGTATCAAAAGAGACACAGCAGAGTAAGAGCCTTTGGCCAAGAGGAGGGAGGAGAGGAATATGGAAATGGATGACATTCAAGACACATTTCACCTACTAGGGAGGCCAAGGAAGTCCTCATTCCCTTCTTCCCCAGCTCCCTCTCCTCTCTGACCTCATGTTCGTGGAATGCTTAGGAGCAGGGGAAGAATAGTGGCTGGAGTCAGCCTCAGAGTGCTGGCTCTATGGCGGTAGCATGGTCAGAGGGAGACCATGGCTTCAATGGAATGTGCAGGCAATATTTTATGACAGTCCGGGAATCTGCATCCTCATCCCCATCCCACTGAATTTCCAGAAAGACAGAGGTACAAACAGGTAATCCATCTTAGAGAACAGCACAGCATCTTTACTGTCCTTAGTCCCCAAGAACAAATACCACAAAATCTTTCAAGATTCTCTCTCTCTTCTCCCTTTCCCTCTTAAAAATCATAGAATCGTAGAGCTGAAAAGCCTGTAGACATGGTGTTTGACTATTGTGAGGTACACCTGAAAGAATAAACCATCTGGGGCCTTTCTGAAGCATCTACATTTCTCGCTGGACTGTCTGAAGTTATTTGGGGTAAATGCCATGACGTGTCTCATAGACGAGACCATGGACACAGCAGGACAAATCTTTAGATAGGGACAGTGAGAGTTAGCCAAATGGAGACACATATTGTTGTTTTGGGTAACTCAGTAGGATGCAGAGCCCTGGCCTTAGGATCAACAGATGTAGGTTTTAGTCCTCGTTTTGCCACTTGATATATATTTGACTTTGGGGAACTCATTTAGCTTGCCTAAGTCTGTTGAAAGAGGATAATAGTACCTCTCCTGAAACATCGTAGAGTTATTATGAGGTTAATGTAAGATAATATGAGTGAAAATATTCTGTAAACTCTAAGTGACTGTGAATACCCAATATTATCTTTATTGGATTATAACTGTAAAATGTAGGGTTTTAGCATTTCAGAATATATTGGCTTAGCTTATGTTTATCACAAGTAATTGACCTCCTCATTTTATTTCTATTATTGGTACATTTATTTTTGTGAAGAAAAGCCACTTTTAACAGAAGCCTTCAGATTACCCATTTTATTTCCAAAGAGGGCAAAGGCAGAAGGTATGTTCATAAAATAAAAGTAGGAAAATAGCTGAAAGTTACTACCATGACGCCATCCCTGCCGTGGGGTCTGTGAATTGCCTCGGGGGAAAGGATTATATAGGAGTGGCTATGAATCATGGCTGATGTGATTAGGCTGCACTCTAGACCGGGTGGGCGTGTGGGCCTTTCAGGACTCCTTGTCATTGTTGCTCACTTAGGTTAATGTTAAGATTAGCTGTCTGGTGTTATTTAATAATATTACTGTCTTAGGCCATTCTATGTTGCTATGAAAGAATACCAGAGGCTGGGTATTTTATGAGGGAAAGAGGCTTATTTGGCTCACGGTTTTGCAGGCTATCTAGGAAGCATGACACCTGTATCTGTTCAACTTCTGGTGAGACATCAGGCTGCTTCCACTCGTGGCAGAAGGGAAAGGGAAGCTGGCAGGTGCGGTGATGCCATGGAAAGAGAGGAAGCAAGCAAGACAGTGGGAGGTGCCAGGTCTTTAACAACCAGCTCTCCTGGGATCTAACAGAGTGAGAACTCACTCACCCCTGAGGGAGACCATTCATCTATTCATGAGGGTTCTGCCCCCATGACCCAAACACCTCCCACTAGGTCCCACCTCCAACATTGAGGATCTAATTTCAACATGAAGTTTGGTGAGGGCAAATACCCAAACCATAGCAATTATCCAACTTTGAGTTTGATTTCTTTTATTAGTGATTGAAAGCTTTATGTATCCCTCTTTGCATTGGAATAAAGTAATCATTTATCAGAGTCAGTAATGAGTAATACAGAGACCATAAGTTTCTTGAGGGAGAAAGGGTAAGAGGGCCCAGATGAGCCAAACCCACCTACTACATAGTGAATGCCCTGGACAATTTCTGGAATCCCAGTTGGGTGGATTCTTGCAGTACCCAGTTGTATTCACGAAGTAACTAACCCCCAAGAAGAATCTTACTAATATGTTTTCTAAAGGGAATCTTATATTGAAAGGTTTTTGAAGTAAAAGGGAGAACCAGACAGATTGAGACTGCTCAGATGGATCAAAATAGCAATTGGGAGTGGCAAGAGATGCAAGGCGGTCTGTGAAAGAGAGCACTGAGCTTGGAGGAATGTCAGAATTATATTTTAGCTGTGTAATCATAACCAAACACTTCATCTCTCTTAGCCTCCAGCTCCTTATTTACAGAAAGGAGATACTAATATGTGCTCTACCTACCTTAGAGGCTATTGTAAGGATTAAAAAGAAAGAAAGGAAGTTGAGAACTTTGTGAGCTTTCATGCAGTAGATAGATGTAGCATCTAAGCAGTCAGTCATCCTGTAGTCTGGTCCTACGAGGTACACAGAGAAATAAAGGATGCATTCTGTGCCATCTGAAGGAAAACAGAGAGTCAGAGACAAAGGCAGAGACAGCAAGAGAGCAATCCCTGGTAGTACATACCTAGGTGCTGATTGGGTAGCCGAGACAAAAGTAGGAATTCAAAGGGAGGAGGACAGCACTGGGCTAAAGTATCCAAGAAGAGGAAAAGGGATTTGATATCACCCTTGAAGAATGAATATTATTTCCACTGATGGTGGGGCATGGGGAAGGAATTCTTGGTCTGAAAGGTGATGTGAGAAAAGATATGGAGAAGATAAACACAAGGCAGATTCAGGAGATGCTGGACAAAGCATCTGGAGTCCAGGGAGGGAAGTCATGGAAGATAAGCCAAGTTGTCTTGGCTTGGGACTGAAGCTTGAGACTGAATGGACACAAGCTTTTCATGATGAGCTAAGTGGTCTGAATTTTATTCCAGAATCAATCAAGGCTCTTGAGTGGTGATAGTGACAATGCTGCAACTTAATATCTACATAGTGCTACACCATTTTCAAGGCGTTTTTAAATGCACCACCTCATTCCATTTTCTCAGCAATTGTGTAAGACAGGGATGAAGAGGATGGTCACTGCTGTTCAACATATGGGGAACTGAGGCTCATAGAGGTCCTGCTGCTGCTCCAAAGTTATACAGGCAAATGAGGAAGACCCTATAGCTCCTGGTCTACTTCCTTAAAGATACTCTAGGAAGATGAATCTGACAGTAAAATGCAGGATGGACCAGAGTGGGGAAGAATACGATGGGGGAAAAAATGAGAGAGACCGGTTAGGCAGCTGCCCACCCAATTGTCCAGATGTGAGATTTCAAGAATTTGTATTACAGTGATGGCACTTGGAATGGATATACCAAGAAGTAAGAAAACATTCCTAGGTCTTAATGACTGACTGGATCTGGAAAATGAGAGAAAGAGGATCAAGGATGAGCCAAGAGAAGTGATGCACTCCCCTTTTCTGCCTTTGAATGCTGATGAAATGGAAGCATTCGCAGAAATAAAGAGTGGTCCAAGGTTGAAGCCTGAGTAACCAGTTGGACACTAGTCCTACTGACATTCATTCTTTACCCTCATGTGGAGAGGCCATTCCTTTTATTCACCTTTTCATTACAGCCCTGATCACACACTTGTCAGGTCAACACAGATGGACTCTGAGCTCCTTGGTAATTATGCCTCAGTGCCTGCACAGAGCACTGCCTTATAAAGGTTAATTAAACATTGAATGAATGAATGAACGAATGAATGTTGTCACACTCCTAAATCTCAGGTGCAGTCATATAATCCTTTCTTCAGAATTCTTCTGTGGTTCCCCCTTTGTCTGTACATGAAGTCACAACTCCTTTGTACAGCATTCATAGCATTCCACAATCCAGCCTGCTTCACCTCCTCCAGCACCTCCCCACCTACTCCACTTTGTCCTCTGTCTGCACTCCTCTCCATTTCTGAACACAAAAAGCAGTTTTGTGTCTCTGTGCTTTTGCTTATAATAGTTCTCCAACCTAATACCAGTCAAATCCTACTCACCCATAGAAATTTAACTCAAATGCTGCCTCCTCCCTGAAAGGCTCGCCCTAGTGCCTTGTCAGGATGGCTCTCCTCTTTGCTACTTCTGCACGGGGCATCCCTCTGCAGGTCTCATTCAGGGCTTGGCCAATGTGTGCAACTCCTGGACAAGCTGGCCCCATAGGGCGTAGCAGAGCGTTGACTCCTATTAAGATTTTAAATAGGGGAAAAGAAAGAAAAGCGGCCAAAGAACTATTTAGGGAAGAAGGCTATGAGCTTAATTTCTGTGTCCTCTAATGAAATTTACCTCTTTCCTAGAAATTCTTCTCAATGAAAAATAATATTCATTTAAACATTGCATATTTATACAAAGGAACTGCTTTTTTTTCTCTGCCTATTAAGATGCAGGGTAGTTCTACTTTAACATCCAAGGTTTTTCTTATTCCTTACTCAGCAGAAAAAGCCTACTCAAACAAAAGGAAGAAACTGACATATTTGGATTGACAGATGTCAAGGGACACTACCATCTAATTTCCTTGTTGATTAATTTGAAGGTAATTTCCTGGTAACCCAGGCTTCCAAAAATGTATTTTAAGTGGCATGTTGGTAAAAGAAAATTAATTTCTCTGTGTTAAACTTGCCAGCTTTTGAATTAATTGCATGAGCATAACAATCAATTAATAAATGTTAAGCAAACAAGGGAAAATCGGTCAATTAAAAATGATAAAATTGATTCGAAGGGTAGATAAACCAAAAGTGTGTCATAATGCCCACTTCTGAGTTTAGATCTCCTGCCTCTGTACAATTTCCCTCCCACTTTTCTACACCACATTCAAACTGCTGATTCTTTATTATAATTTCTTATAAATAAATTACCACCTAAGCCCTCCTTGCTGCTTTATTGGCATTAAAGAAGCCAAACATACATAGCAGTCCTCCAGCAGCTATGGGGAGAAGGTCATTGCTTTGGGAAAGTGTGCCACCCACAGTACTCTGCAGAAGTGTTTTTGAAAGGGAAGCCTTTTCAAAGTGGACCAATGTTCTCTAAATATTTACCAGTACATTCTGTCAAGAGGAAGCTCAGTATATTGTCTTCTTTTCTCCTGGTCATACACTCAGATGTCTCCCAGAGATCAGGCAAAATGGGAAGTGGCAGGGCCTAGAGAGAGTGCTTGCCCCATCGCAGAGCATTCATATGAAACATTCTTAAACACAGTGCTATGTATACTTTCATATCTGGAGCTGAAGGTGACCTGGAATACATGGATTTATTCTTCAGCCCTGGATTTTGAATTTGTTTCTTCACTTGGGAAGCTAGGTGCTTTGGAAATAATGTTTTAAGAAAGTATAGGAAAAATAAAATGTATCTAGTAAAAAGAGCTTGCAGGCTGCGTAGTCTTTATAACTATAATGGAAGATTGTCATTATTTACCTGGCCTGCTACTGGTTGTCTTTAGTCCTGACTGAGTAGCGTGTTTTACCACAAAATACTTCCAATTGTCCTTTTAGACGTGGATTAAAAAGAAATCAAAGATCGCAACATGCACATCACAAATTTCTCCATTTTGCCAAGGGCATTTAGCATAATGGATATGATAAAGTTTCTAGAATGATTTTTATTTAAGCATATATAAGATTTCTGAATAAAATTGGGAAAAAATATCAAGACTTCCTTAGTACACTTAAATTTCTAAGTCCAGCTGAATCTTCACTTGAATGTTGACAATTTCTCAATCTTAAGGGTGACCAAAACAAAACCCACCCCAAGATGTTTTGCCATCCACCTGCCCTTCCCATCTCAGTAAGTGGCACCACCCCCTGGCCAAAAGCTTAAGAGTATCCTTTCATTCCACTCTTTACCTGCCACCTCACAACTAATACATCAACAAGTGCTGTCAAGTCGACCTTCACAGGGTATCCAACATCCAACTACTTGACACCATTTCTTCCTGAGCTACCATCTTCTCCCTCCTACCTGGCTTTCCCAATTTTACTCGGGGCCCCAGAGCAGCCATTTAAATCAGCCAGAGATGTTTATCAGAGCTCATCTTTCCCCCTTTATCTGTCCTTTTCATTGCTGTATCCCCAGAATCTAAAATAGCGCCTGGCAATAAATTAATCTCAAAGATACTTTGGAACGAATGAAATTATGTAGTTTGGAAGAAGTGCACAACATGATACAGGATCATTTGGACACTTCAAAAACATTATTTGACCGTGTAGAGACCAGGAAAGACTAGGACACCCACCCCTGAATGTGAGTAGTTCATACATCTGTCATTCAACTGCTCGCCTCATCCCTTCCTTCTAAAGTGTTATGGAAAAGCACATATCGTGGGTGAGTGGGGTCAGTTTGCCCATCCTGCCTAAAGCCTCTCCTTTGGGGGTTATGTCTGCCTAAACCAAACAAGTTAAAAAAAAAAAAATCAAGTGCTGATTCCAGTTATTTTAAACAGTTTCATACTTACTTGGCAATTATGATAGCACAAGTCTCTCCAATAATCAAAAGAATCATTACTTGTTTTGCTAAAATCCCAAGGAAATAGCACAATATGTAATATTTCGGCACTAATGAGGTTGTGCCTGAAGAAGTGTGATTTTAATTATGATAGATTTGGAGAATCCATTGCAAAACTGCAGGAGAACAGCATGTTGTACCAGTTCCAGGGAAAGTGCATTAATATCCCATGTTTTTGTTTTATTTAGTCATCACTGGCTGTGTGGAGAATCACCTAAGGTAATGATAGAGCTACCAAGAACTACATCAAATAGAACCCTATAAAGAAACTTTATTTTCTCCTCCCATACTATGGACAGAACGTGTACTACAGGGGAATATTTGTCTTGAGTTGTCTTACAAACTTACAAGATTGATTTGCTTGGCCACTGACAGTTTTGATCCTAACACAACTTTTCCAGCACCTTCCATCCTTCAAAGGTTGAAAGTCACCACTTAAGCACAGTGGCTCACTAAGCCTTTACACTGGCAGAGAGAGGAAAGGAGTTTCTGTAGAATTTCACTTCATTCAAAAGACTGATCTGGGTTGGGTTTGAAAGCTCTGGGTGGAAGTCTGCATATGAGCAGGGCACTGATTACTTCATTAGAACCCTGTGCACTTCAAGAGCCATATGCTTTCAAGTTTCTTTAAATGGTATTAGGGAAAAATATCCTCAAGGCATTATTTTTAAAGGGGACTTCAAACATTCCCCAGAAGAAAAAAAAAAAAAGAGTATAGCACATTTGAACTCAAGGGGGTTTCAGGAGAAATCTTACTTAGCACGACTGTGAAAATGGAACAATCTTTTCAGTTTCAGGGTAAAGTCAGCGTTGGTCACAATCAGGGATAAATTTGAAATGTGGATGGAGAAAGATGCAGAAAATCTCCAAATCCTTGAATCCTTACCATAAAATAGCAAAGAAGATGACTTGAGGAAGGAAATTTTTTAAAAATATTTTTGTTCTTACGTTCGAGGGAATAGGGAGAATTGAGTGTCTTGCACAGTGCAAAAATTGATGAATTCTTCCCATTTCATTCCACATAGAAGATCCTTGTAAAATAATTCTCCATCCCCAACTTAGGCTACATGTACTCAAACATATTTTAAAGACCCAGGAAGCCAGGCTACAGGTAGAAGTAAAGCTATTCATTTTGAGTTTTACTGCAGAAGGTCTGCTCCAGAGGTCAAATCAAAGAGATGCTTCTCCAAATTTAAACTCTTCTTTTCTAAATAGATCCCAACCTGATCTCATTTAATGCATTGATGTTTAGTTTCTTAGGCATTATAACTGCAGTATAACATACCAAAAGGACTCTTGAGAAATTCTCCCGAATTGATAATTCTAATTTCTTATGTATAACTACTCTATATTCACTCAGAGGACAACTGTATTGTATGCTAAACCATGAATCATAAAAATTGGTCCCTTTGTATGTAGGTTTGTATTAAATTGAGATGCTGTCTTTTTTTTTTCCCTGTTTGTTCCCACACTTGAGTTCCTGATGTCAGTTTGTTTTTGGCTTCTTGAGCATATTAAAGTTTTTCTAGTGCTTATGATGTTCTTGCCAAGAGCACACTTGCAGCAATCTGCACTAGAACAGTCTTTGTGCCAATTACTTCAAAAAGTATTCTTTAAAATAAAAAGGGGGAGGGAGGACTTTTATTTCAGGGAACTTTCAGGTTATAGTGTGGTGGTTTCAATTTTAATTTTTAGAGTCAATCTTCCTGAAATGATGACTTACAGGCTCTGGAATGTGCATCTTTGTTTGGGGGCTCTTTTTTTTAAGACTTTCTACAAAATGGAAATCCTGATAAAGACATACGAATAGCAGCGGGAATCAGTGGTATGGAGGAAACTGCTGTCGCTGCTGACACCACACCCTCATCTATTTAAACAGCTTTGGAAAGGAAACTGCTAGAAGCTTGTTAAGGAGTTTCCAAATGTGTGACTGTAAATGACTATCTCTAATCATGGCTGAATAAACCAAATGCAGCAAATGAGTTGGTGACACGCACAAAAGTCATATGAGTGTTTTGAATTGCATATGCTGAATAGATAATAACCTGTGTCAGTGCCGTGGGGTCTTTTGAAGGTTAAAATCTTAAGTTTGATCGAATCATTTATATAGAGAGAAATAAGCACATTTGGGAAAACAAAAGAGGAAAATGGAAGGGGATATGTTCTCTGAAATGTACCACTGAATAGTAGAAAAATCGCTGGGCAAGAGATTAGGAGACCTCTTTTCTTCTTGTGTCTGCCACTAACTGGCCCTGCATCCTCGGGCAGGACATTTCACCTGACCAGACCTCAGTCTTCGCTTCTTTAATGTGGAAGGGTTGGCCGAGTGGTCTCCATGGCCCCCTCCAGCTCCAGCTTGCTTGAGGTCTTTCTGGGATGCTGAACACAGGAGGTACTTGGCACCGCCGTGGATTCATCCACTCCATAAAGCGAGACATTTCGAGAGGCATATTGTTACCAGAAATTACTCTCATTTAGGATGAAATAGAGGGTTGAATTAAACAGCCTTTTAAAATATTATAGAGTTCAGAGGGTAGCTTAAGAAACATGGAAGAAAATGTCCTGTGCTAATTAATATTAAACACAGAACATCTGTGCCTAGCAAAGAGTGTAAACTAAGAAGAGAATGGAGATAGAAAGTTACAGAGGCTTAGGGTTTTGGTGATGGGTCAAGGCTTTGTACTTAAAGAGACTGGATTCAAATACACCCTGCTAAGGAAGGGGTGGCCTCAGATGCAGTGTAGTCAGGCTCACTCACTTTCCCAATGAAAAAATAGATGCTGAGAAAGGAGGTCCTTGCCATCAAACAGGAACTACATGTTGTCCAACTATGCCAGGGAAACTGAGGAATATTGGCTTCCACTCTGCATTCTTTCTTTCTTACATATATTTGTGTCTACAATGCCTTAAGAGAAGTCTCTTTGTTCTTTTATTACTTTAAGAGTTCCAGATACCTACTGCAGCCTCTTGGGAATTGATCATTTTTAGGTTTGATCACTAAAGAATTTTTTATCTAAATTTGGGGAGTATTGGTTTTTTTTTTTTCCAAAATATATATGACCCACGTGTTTGCTTTAAACAATTTTAACTATAAGAAATAGAATCACTGTTATTTGTGGTTTCCCCTTTAAGGGGATGGCTTCTTTAAAAAAAAAATTTCAGCTCAAGAGACAGCAGAGTTGCACTTCCCTAGGGCTGGTCTACCCATCTACATGGACAATTGTCTTTACTTCTACATCCTCTAAAGCTGAGGAAGACAGGAGTGGCTGGCTTCACATTTTCCTTTATTATCAAAATATAATCATTTATTCTCCTAGAGCCCTTGAAGTTAAATGGGGGCACTGGGGAGGCTATCCTTCCGTGAGGCTGCCTTAACATCTTCTCACAGCAGCAGAATGCTCTCTAGGACTACCATCTTCGGCGGAGGGGTACACGGCTGTCTTTGAATATATGTTGCATTTATTGCAGTTTAGTGTCTGTGTCCAAGTTCTGCTAGCAAACTCAAGAGAAACAAACAAAGAGAAACAAAGTTTAAGTACTAACTTAGAACAAGACTAGTTGGGAAACTCAGGACATTTAAGTAAAACACACATTCAACAAAGGCGTTAAGCAAGAATAGAAAATAGAAAATATTTACGTAATTTCTTTTCTAATAAGAGCTTGGGGGTTCTAAAGAAAATGCATCAATGTAGTACAGTACTTCTTCCTGGGGAGGTGCTAAGTAGGGGGAGTAGGGAAGCAGTTTTTCTTCCTTGCCTGACGTGGGACTAGTTCTGAGTCTTTTTTTATATAACGTTGTTGGAAAATACAATTGCCGTGTGTAATATTGAGAAGAACTGCCTCTCTACCCTCAAGACAGTGACACTAAGCCATGAGGGGCCTCAGGGGGCTATGAAGGGCGACACCCCGCTCCTTTACATCAAGTGATAGAGGAATAAAAAAGTTCCCCTCCACAGTAGTACAATGGGCCTCTGTCCTTCTCTAGGAGACTTTAATAAAGTAACTGAATCAAATGAAATTTGATCAGATGTATACAGTTCAGCCTTCTTGCTTTGCCCCTTAACAATTTATCGAGGTGTTTCTACCCATGGTCCTGTTTTATTAAATGATATTTGAAGTGTTCCACCCTCTGAGAAAATGTGGTTTATATCCTTGGCATACATTTACATAATCTCATTAAGGAGATCTCTCCAGCTTAGTTAAACTATCCCAATAAAAAATCTTATCTTTAGTAGAAAAAGACTGTTTTCTCCAAAGGGAACAGGAAGCTAATGGGGGGGCCAGGCACATTTTGAGAAGCTAAAGCTGTAATTATAGTTATATTTTTTATGCTACGTATGTGAAGTTTGTTAAGAGAGATGGATGGGAAATAATTGTTGTTTGGAGGATACAGTCATGTAAGAAGAGAATGCTGTGGCTAATGTATTTTAAATGTGGTTTTAAAAATAATTTTTTATTTGCTCCCTTAGAAAATATTTCTGCATTAAAAAAAAAAAAAACTAAGAGTGAAAAATTACCAGCAATCTCTCAGCTCCCCACTGGAGCCATCAAATGAAGGGTTAACCTCTCAGAATCCCCGGAATTAATCAGGAGCTCAGCCAGGGGCCGGCTGGGCTAGGGGGAGGGGATTGGCAGAGCTCAGCCTCCCCCAGAGGCTTACAGCACTACAGTGCAGCCCACTGTGGTGCGGCCACTGAGAGAATGCAGACCTTTTCAGAGATAAAGGAGCGTGCACAGGAAATATGCCCTGATCCCACATCAGCCAAGGCTTCCTGCTTCTCATGCACTGATCCTCCATTTTCAAAGAGCCAAAAGGCAACAAGTTATGTTCTACAGAGTAGGATTTTTTTAAGTACAGCTTTAATCATAAATATATGTTCATCTTTCTTTGCTCATTTAGAAGGCAGTCTGTGATGTGCACCTGGGTCATCTTTATTAAGATCTCTCAATTCATTCTGCTCTCCTGATGGAGAGGAAGCTGCAGCTGGGTGGATGGTATGTCCTGCCAGCCACTGTCATACAGGGCACTAGGAGTTCTTGCTGTTATGCGGATTCCCAGGCCCCTGTGTCGATTTAGAAAATCTGAACTTTTGGGGCAGGAACCTGGGAACCAACATTATTAATAAGCTCTCCACGTGATTCCTGTGCACATTCAAATGTAAGAACCACTAACCCCAGAGGTTTTTTGTTTAAAAGAAATCCCTCACATCAGCATTAGGTGTTGTAAGCTTTCCAATTAAAGTAAAGAACAAAATAGGTTTTCCCTCATGTGCCAGGCCCATTTACTCATTTTAATAATTTGGGTGTTGAACAAAGTGAGTTGACTTCATGTGTAAGAGTAACAATACCCATGTTCACATGCATACGTGTACCTGAAGTCTGTTTTCCTTCAGGACTTTAGTATGTCAAGGAGAGGAGATAAGTTAGGCCTTGACTTCTTTCCTTTTCCTGTGCCTTCCTTATGTATAACTTCAGATCTGTCCATTTCCTGAACCAACCTTCCCTTAGTCTCTTCAGGATTCAGACCAAGCATCAAACTATATGCTCCAATTACATCACTCTTCCCGCTCACCTCATTCCCATTTAAAACAAGTGAAAGATCATGGAGTCCCTGATAATTAACACTTTTTATGTAATTGTAGACTTTTTATGCCACAGGACTGGTTTCTACCAGCCTTCGTTCCTAACTTTGGCTGGGATTCTCTCCCTGGAACCCACTTTCACCTGCTCTCTTATCCATCACCAGAGCTGCCCTTAAGTTGAGCCCACCTGAAACCCTGACAACCTAATTCCTGCTGGTCTTCTATCCTTAAGTGCTGAATCTTACTCCCTTACTTCTGTCTAATATTGAATATCCCTGATCTTACAAGAATTTGGTTGGACGAACTCCCAAAAAGACCCCTACCATCCACTTACTTCCTGAGTTGATAGCCATCTCCATACATAGCTGATGACAGCATTCCAGGACCACCTCTCCTGTTGCATCCTCCTTGGCCCTGGAGGAGGTCTGCATTGTCACCCCCTCCCTGGATCTCACTTCCACCTTGTGAAGTCAGCTTTTCCCTGTTCTGCCTTTTCTCATCCACAGTTGCTAAACTCCCACTGTGGCTTATGACAAAGCCTATAGTTTTAGTTGTAAAGTCAGTTTTTAGAACTAAAATCTGAGATCCTGTAAGGGAAAGGAAATGCCATTCTACTCTGCTTCTGCCTCCCAGAAGGTCTAAGGGCTCCTCCTTCAGTTATGAGCCGCCTTCTCCATGGCGCTTGCATCTGTGGAAGAGTCCCTGGTTTCAGCTAAGGCTTGTTTTTATTGGTATTTGTTTTTTCAGGCCTTGTGCAAGGAAAGACCTAGGTGGCAAGAGTGAGACAGAAGCAGATCTGCTAGGGCAGATTCTCCAGCCTATGAATATGGTCTAAATCCTGGAAGCCCCACTCCCTATAAATTTGCATGAAGTAGTCTACACAAGGTTGATATTCTCATGCTGGTTCAGATTAAGTTGTTATGCTGTAGGCTAGATGTTTAGTTTCAGAAGACCCGGCTAAGCCCTTATCTTTCGGCAGGTTTCAGGCCACCTCAGAGCCCCCGTCACTTAAAAATAATTAGCTGACTCTCCCACCTGAGCTAGTGATTTGACGATCTGTATGCTAAACCAGACTTCTACAGAGGAAAAAAAAAGAAAAGGGACCAGAGTGCCAGAAGGAAGCTTAATTTTTAAGGTAAATTTGGATTCCCTTAAAGGACAAGTGAAAAATCTCTGAAGATGCTCTAAACCCAGGGACTCTTGTCTTTTTTTTTTTTTTTTCGTACCTGAAGCCTTTTTCGTTCCCCTAGTCGCCTAGCCCTATTCTATACTTTACATTATATGTGGGAAATAATGCACAGAGTACTTGGCACTTCCTTTTGTTAAAGAGAACATTTTAGATTACTAGAACTGAGATTTATTCCTAAAAGAAAGGAGAATAGCTTCCAGATGTATTTTTCCGTCATGGACTTTCTTTCCTCAAGTATTGACAGAGGGGAGGTTTTATCAAGGTCTTTGTGATGGGCCTGTTTATAATGAGAGGATATTAGTGGAGCACATCTAAGAGTGTATCACCAACAGAAAACTGAAAGGAGCATATGGCAGGAACAGAAATATACATTTGCCCAAATAATGTGGCTTGTTAACACTCCCACATTCATCCTAAACTCTGCGGACATGCATCTAACAGCATCACACACAGTCACTCCTTGCAGCAGAGAAGAAAAATAAAAGTCAAACAATGATTTCCTCACTATGGGATGATCAAATAATGCTAATGTGGACATTTTTATCAAAGATGATGGGATTTCAACTCAGTAATCTTGTGCATTCTGCTTCACTGTTGCTGGCATCCGGGCAGTGCTGTGTAAGGAGTTTAGAAAAATATGAGCTTTAGCATTTTTGTACAGCTTTTTGTGATAAAACAGGAACAATGAAAGGAAACATGAGGATCGAGCTCTTATGTAACACTGAGCTCAGGGGCAAAGAATCTTTTAGTTCAGAAAGCTCTTCTGAAGAATGTCTGTAGATGAGATTTAAGACCAGATTAAGATGAACTTTTTGAACACTGAGGCAGCTTTTACCCAGCATTGGCCAGAACCAAAGCTTATTTCAATTCAAATATGATCTATAAGATCCCTACTAATGAATTATTAAGCTGAATTTATCAATTTGCAGCTGTATTCTGAAACTCCTGCCCCCACTATGGGGCTGTAAAGGAGGAGGTGGGGTAATGCTACAGCACAGGAAGTGCCACTCCATTAGACATTTGGTTATAGAACTCCCTAGAGATGAGTGAGAATTGTAGGCATCATTGCCTGATTCTTTGACACCATTTTATATCTGAGGAAATCCTACCCTCACCAAGCTAGAAGACTTGCCAAAGTTACCAGAACCAGGACTGAAAACAGATGTTCTGTTTCCCAATACAATGTTATTTTTACCGCCCCCCACCAATATTCCTTTCATTTTAAAGTAGATTCTTTTTATAGTTTCATGGCTCTTGACATATTAGAATCTAGGCTTATATATTTGTATTCACCATCATTTTACATTCACCTACTTAACTTTACAAGGAAGCCATATCCATTCTTTGATATGTTAGCACTGGGATTGGTGGTGGTATGGCAAGCCTGGCATTTATGTTAGAATGGAATTGTGGATGGAGAAAAAGGGTGCTTAAGAGCTTTCAGAAAAGTGCTATTTTTTAAACAAAATTATTCTAGAGCAAGAGGACCTCAATTTAGAGAATAACAAAAAACAAAAACATAAGTTGCCTGAGGCTTCAGCTACTCAAAGTGGGTAAAAATGCCTTTGGCACTCTTATGTATGTTTTCTCCTTTGGCAATTCTATTGAATTTCTTGGTTTTAATTATCACCTCCAGGAAGAAAAAAAAATAACCTTCCAGAACTATACCTTCAACTATCATCACTTAAGTGCCTAACTCTTATTTTCGACTATCCCCTGAACACCTTCTCCAGGATCTTCCCAGGCTGCTCAAGTACAAACTGTTCACAGGGAAATCATCTTTGTCTCCACTGGTTACCATTTGGTTACCATTTACCATTTAGTCTATTGTCGTCATCGTCCTGTGGGACAGGCACAAAAATTATGATACCAGCTCTTCTCCTCAGGTCCCATTGCCAATTTCCATTGATTGTACTGCCATCTGGGCCCCATCTCTGTCTTTTCTCCTGCTGACACCAATTGAAATGTTCCTGGATCCATTCAGCTGAAAGTATTTTCTTCCTACCCTGAACTCCTGAAGATCTTATTCCAAACCTTTCTTATGGAACATGCTTGTTAATTAATCAAACAGTATTTGTTGAGCATATAATACACATCAGGCATTATACCTAGGCACTTTGCACACATTTTCATTCCCTCCAACCAGCCCTGAAAGACTTGGATTTTTTTTTTCTTTTTTTTTTTTTTTTTTTTTTTTTTGAGACAAGATCTTGCTCTGTCATCCAGGCTGGCGTGCAGTGGCGGAATCACGGCTCACTGCAGCATCCATCTCCTAGGTTCAAGCAATCCTCAAACCTCAGCCTCCAAGTAGCTGGGGCCAAAGACATGAACCAATATGCCCAGCTAATTTTTTCATTTTTTGTAGAGATGGGAGTCTCCCTATGTTGCCCAAGCTGGTCTTGAACTCCTGGGCTCAAGCAATCCTCCTCCCTGAGGCTCCCAAAGCACTGGGGTTACAGGTGTGAGCCACAATGCCCAGCCTGGAAAACTTTAAAAATGTCTATGAATATTGATGCCAGTGCCCCACCACCTGAGATCCAGATTTAACAGGTCTCAGGTACAGCCGGGACAGGGGGACTTTTCAAGACTTGCTGGTTTATTCCAATGTGTAGCCATGGTTGAGAACCACTGGTGTAACTGCAAACCCATTTGCCAGATATTCTCAGGTAGTTAGTATCACCTCTGAAGCTTTAAAATGCAAACAAATGCTGGACTGTAACCCAATCCTATCAAATTAGAACTCTGGGGGATAGAGTCTGGGAATTCACATGTTAACAAAGCTTCGCAAGTGACTCTGTCACATAACCAGGATCAAAACCCCCTTTCTTGATCAGATACTGAATCATCTCCCTCTTATGGCAATATTAGAAATAATTATAGATGTCTTCCCCCAACTTACAGTCTGTAAACTCTTTGAGGACAGATTTACATTTGATTTACCTTGGTCAGCTTCCTGGCACCTAGCAAGGTCCCTCATAGATTATGTGTCTTAGAAACTAAAGAACCAGGAAAATACCTTTTGTTAACTTTATTCAGAAAAAAAGAACTGCCAGGCACAGTAATCCCAGCACTTTGGGAGGCCGAGGTGGGCATATCAATTGAGGTCAGGAGTTCAGGACCAGCCTGGCCAACATGGTAAAACCCAGTCTCTACTAAAAATACAAAAATTAGCTGTGCATGGTGGTGCATGCCTGTAATCCCAGCAACTCGGGAGGCTGAGGCAGGAGAACTGCTTGAACCTGGGAGACGGTGGTTGCAGTGAGCCGAGATCACACCACCGCACTCCAGCCTGGACTACAGAGTGAGTAAGACTCCATCTCAAAACAAAACAAAACAAAAAATCTTTGCAACACACTTATTTTTTTGTACTAGGTTTTAAATCTTTGATATACTAACCTGGAAACAAAGCAAGTCATTTCAATTGTCTTAGTATCACAGTTGTGCGGCTATTAAGTGCCAGAGCTAGGATTTGAACCCAGGCCATCTTGACAATATTCTTTTCTGTACATCTCAGGCCTTAAAGGCAACTATAAAATGAAAAATTCAGCGATCTACATGTTTGGATACATGCTGTCAGACTTGTTTCTGAAATTTGAACATAACCTGTCACCTGAGGAAAAAAAGCTCTGTTGGCATTATGAAATGAATTTGGAAAAAAATATGTTAATTTAAACCTAAAAATTGTGGGATCTAACAGATATCCCTTTCTTCTCTTCAATTCCACCCTCCCTCAAACCCACACATACACACAGACAGACAAACACACCCTCTGATTGTTCTTTGACATTTCTTGACAACTATTTAGTTACTGCTTTGGTAATTTTCTTTGTTTTCTTTTTAGTTTATATTACTTCTCAAAGATTTTTCAAATAACTTGAGCTTCTAGTTATAAATGAAATCTTTTCAAAAGTTCATATACAGTTTACTTAATAAACTGGCATCTGGTGGCTGGGCGCTGTGGCTCATGCTTGTAATCCCAGCACTTTGGGAGGCCGAGGCAGGAGGATCACGAGATCAGGAGATTGAGACCATCCTGGCTAACATGGTGAAACCCCGTCTCTACTAAAAATACAAAAAAATTAGCTGGGCATGGTGGCGGGGCCTGTGGTCCCAGCTACTCAGGAGGCTGAGGCAGGAGAATGGCGTGAACCTGGGACGCAGAGCTTGCAGTGAGCCGAGATCACGCCACTAAACTCCAGCCTGGGCGACAGAGCGAGACTCCATCTCAAAAAAAAAAAAATTGGCATGTGGTATCTATTTCTAATGTTTCATTCAATGTGAATATGCACACAGGTATAACTAAGTTGAAGTGACTCTTAAACAAGACATGGAAACATAGTTCCAGGCACTATTTGCCATTTACAAGCTAGGTGACTTTGGACAGGGATGAGCCTTCTGGAGCCTCCTTCTTCACCTGAAAATAAAAAGGGAAAGGAGCGAAGATAGACCCTCCCAAATTTTCTTCCAAATGTGAAATTTTATGATCCTTTAAAATAGTCAGTCACTAATTAGGCTTTTGAAAAACACCAAATTAATACTTGGTCCTTGTCCTTACTGGTCGATATTTTTAAAGGCAAACAGAGACGTAATAATAAAATGTGTAGAATTCTTTACAGTTTATAGTCACCGTTATCTCCATTTCACAGAAAAGGAAATTGAGACACAGAGAGGCTGCGTGACTTGCCCGTGGTAACGGAATCAGAAAATTGCGAGTCGAGACTCTTACTGGACCCAACTTTGACCCCCTTCAATAGACTCCTACTGGACCCAACTTTGGCCCCCTTCAGTACCATGATGGCCACAGGCAAAGCTGGAGATCAGAGGCCAGGTCAATCTGACATGCTGACAGCTCCCTCCCGGTAGCCTGTCTGCCTTCCCCAAATGTTTTCCAACCCAGACGCCTTTAAATTGCTTTGGAATAGAATACCAAGTGGGGATTTATTTAGCATATCATTTCTGGATGTGTGTTTTCCTGAGCATTTATAGATCTGTGTTTTTCCAAAAAGCTGAGTGTTCCTGATAAAACAAGACAGATAATGATAAATGAGCATCTATGTAAGCCTAGCTGGGAGGAGGACCAGCGACTGTTAACACCCCTCCTGTGAAGTTAATCCCATTTCTTTTAGCTATTTCTCTATTAGTTAATGAGGTCTTGCACAAACGTGTGTCTGTGATGGTGTTTTAGCATCCTTGCCTCTAGGAACATCTTCAAATATTCATAAAGTAGCTCATCTGACCAAAGCTTAAAGCAAAGGTGCATTAAGTATGAATTTAGTCAACTTCAAATGTGGGTGGTCGAAAAGCTGCTGCTGAAATAACCTAAATAATCCTCCTTATTGGTGCTTCCAGATCCACAGCTGTGGGCGCCGACGTGAAGGGTGACAGGGAAAAGGTATTAGCTGAAGCAGCTAGAACTCTGAAGGGCAGCCCTGTAAGCTTTGATCCTGCTTCCTGACTGACAGTAGTGTGGGCCCACTATTGGAAAACCAAGTAACTTAAAAGAAACAAAAATAAAATGGAAAAGGAATTGCCAGTGGAGCCCCTGGGAAGGAGAGCAGACGCGAGATCATATTGTTCCTGGGAGGCACGAGACCTACTTCCCACTCCAGTTCCTTATAGCAAAGGAGGAAAAGCAGAATCTCAAAAGATAGCGTGGCACTCAGTGATGCATTTGGAGCGGCAAAGCACATATGGACACTCAGCCACTAAACTGAGCTCCATGGTACTGTGAATCATGGCAGTTACCTCTATGACTTGGCTTTGGAGGATTCCCCACACTATAGCAGAGTCGTGGGAACACAGCTAGAGTTGATATGCACATGTGTGCACGCACACCCCCACCCAGCCCTTCCTTCTGCAACCTAAGGCATAGTGGCACAAATCCTGCCTATTTTTTACCCTTTTATGATTTTGTTTCCCCAGAGCATCATTTGAGGAAGTTGTCGCTATGGCTCTTCTATGTGCAGTTTATATGCAAAGTTTGCTTGGTTCCGGGTGGCCTGGACTATTTTGGCCAAGAAACTGAAAATTACAGCCCAATATTTTCCTTCCTATTTCCAGGCAAATACCTCTGAGCTGCCACTAAGATGGTTCAAGTCTTCCTGACCCTACTTTAGTATGAGCTCCAGGGACAAATCATGGGCCAAAGTCCTCTGACCATCAACCCCATAGGGCACTGCAATAAATCACTGTACCACTGGGAACTCAGTGCTGCATAACAGGAAATATCTATCCTTGAAAGAACCCATTCATGTCATTGCCACTGAGTGTTTTATTCATTGGAGCCTTTGGCCTTTTACAATATCAACCCCTGAACGAAGGAGGGCTCAGAAACCACACATCTGAAAGGAGATGGCCATGTAATCCCACTCAAGTACAGACCTGGAGAGAGACAGATGTCGTCCATTAATAAGGGCTAATAATGCACATGTTTCCTTTTGCAGCTCAGTGCTCAACTTATTGGTCATTTTATTTGGTTATGAGTTTTCCCTTAATGTGAAAAAAAAGTCCTTAAAAAAATAGCAACAGCACCATAAGAATGCTGCCTTGAGGAACGCCTGGAATGTAATAATACTATTTCTTTTTTGTCTCTTGCCACAAGGACACTGAGGGCATGCCGACAGCCATTATGATTACAGAAGATACAAGCTAATGTTGGTTGTTCCAGATGTAATTTTGCATTTCTCATAAGAAATGCTGTTATATCTGGGATGTAAATTTGACTGGTGTCCTGTACTTAATGTTGTTTTACAGGTGATTCACATAACAGGCCGGCTACGCCTGAGAGTGTCGCTGTCCCACGGGAGGACCGTCCCCAGCCAAATCATGGGTCTCGTGGTTGTTGCGCATGCCTTGCCTCCCCCTACGATCAATGAAGTCAGAATTGACTGCCATATGTTCGTCACTCGAGTAAATATGGACCTCAATATCATTTACTGTGAAAATAGGTACTTTGTTTTTGTTTTCATTTGCCCTGTTGCACGTTGCACATTGGTGAGGGTTGTGTTTCAGCCGTCTGAAGGATGGTACTCTCCCAGTGAGGTTCATTCTAAATCCTGATCTTGTTTTTAATGGCCACTTGGACTGACACCAAACATGCTTTTTATTTAAAATTTACATTGCTGCCCTGATTTACGTTAGGGACAACAATTAAATGAATCGGGATACCCAGACATCCATATGCTATAAAGAAGGTCCATTTTGGCTGAGAACCCAAGGAGAGAGCAGGGCTTAGATGCCATTGGCAAAATGATGCAGTAAAATGTATTGCCTGATGCCTCATCGGGACCCACTTCTGCCTAATTCGAGGGCCTGGCCTCATGGTGGTCAGTGTTCACACAGACGCTAAGCATGGAAAGAACAAATGAGAATCTGAGGTCCACAGAGGAAAAAGGATGAAAAAGAAATTTACAAAGCTATTAAATAAAACTTTGTCATCCTGAGGATTTCACTTTTATAAATTAAAAAAAGATGACTCATCATACAAATGAGTTGGCAGTTCTTCCTCAAGACTAAGCTTTTATAAAAGGACTTTTTAGCCTCTGGTTAAAAAGTTCACTTTTTCCATTAAGCACAAAGCAAGGGACAAGGAAATGGGACATTGCCCCTTCAGACCTTTCACCTAGAAGTCAGCAGCCCCTTATCAGACTGATTGGAAGAGGAAACCATGGGGTGCAGGGAGGGCCGTGGAGAGGAGCCGCCCACATACCAGGTGTGGGAAGGAAGCTCTGGCGATACTATCCTTCCCCGGGTGCCACAGGGAGAAATACTGCGTCAATTTGGGGAGGATGCTTTTGCAGCGCTGTTGTCAGGCTTATTCACTGAGCCCTGCAAGTGCCTTCAGAGGAGAAACTGAAGATCCGAATGGTCAAGTGACTTGGGGAACTGACCTCTCCAGAGACTAACCAAGAAGATAGCCCCTGCATTCAGTCCACTGGGAAGCGCTGAAGATGTTGAGATCGAGTTGGAAACTGCCTATCATTTCTGAACAGGACCTGATTCAAAGGAAATAATTCACCCTGGGAAAAGATAACCCACCTGAGCTATGAGTGTTCAATAGGGTGGAAGATCTCATGAACCTGTTGCTGTTATTTGATAAGAAACTCTGAATCTGCATTTCAAATTTTGTTGGCATTTATTAAAATGTTTATGATCGTGACATCGTGGGTATGTCTGAGATATTCTGGAAGGGCCACAGAACACCAGGAAACATGCGTTAGCCAGAATGATTCGCTGGAGTTGGCAGTTCCTAATAAAGATGGCTGGCGTTTACTGATCACTTACTACACATGGGGCGTGTGCAAAGCTCATCACCTGCACAATTTCACTTAAGCTTTAGGACAGTCCTGTGAGGCAGGTGCTGCTGCTGTCTCCATTGCCTTTGGGCAATTTCAGCTAAGAGAGAAACGTTGACTGTCTCATCCTCAGCCAAGAGATTCAAAAGCCCATGTAGTTAGCTACATCCTGTGGAGTCTCCTGGAGTCTCTTCTTTTTCTTCAGAAGTCAGACTGAATGGCAAATGACCAGAAAGAATAACCTCTGAGGGGGACTTTTCATACATATGTACCCATGAAAGAACCAAGTTACAGCCCACAAAGCTATTTCTTCTCTAATTAAAAATGTAGAATGCTGGAGAAGGAGATCCAACCAGGGAAGACAGACATCAAATCAGAGGATGGACTGTGGCTTTGCTTTTTTGAAAACACACATCAGCTCCCTTGATTTAGCTACCAGCCACCTCTCCCTCCAAAGAACAGGGCCTCGTCTTATTTACCAAACTTCCAATGATTGTCCTATCCCAAAACATCACTTAATTTTCATTCCTGTGATCAACTCATTAATTCTTTTGACAAGCTCCATGGACCCGAGTGCCTCATGGTGCCACTCTAGTAATTGAGATCATTTTCTGTGACCTGCTTTTGGCGTTTTTCTTCCTCTTAAAAAAAAAAAAAAAAAAAAAAAAAAAAAAAAAAAAAAAAGCTTTTCACAGTCCCCTTTATTAGCCAATACAATACAGCATTATTTCCCATCTACAGATGATAGTAATTATGAAAAATACCTGTATGAAAGGTAATTGCATATTTGATCTGAGGAAAAGCATATTGTGTGCCAGGCACTATGCTGTGTTAATTTCATTCCATTCATTCATCCCCTCACCAACCTTTTGGATTATTTTACAGAAGAAGAAACTGAGTCTCAGAGTAAAAGGTGCCATCAGGATTCTGATCCTGGTGTAGGTCATCCAACTGGTCTGGTGCTTTTGAGATATGTGTTAAGAGACCCTCAAATGCCGGGCTAGTCGCATTCACCACAGTAACAGGCTCTGGTACAGAGAAGGGCTTGGATCGTTTTTTAAGGATTTAATTCAAGAAAAGAATAAACTAAAGAAATGCCTTCCCTAAAGAATGGAGTGGCTTTTTCCTGGGGTTTATTATTTAATTAGGGAATTGTTAACTAGAAACTAAGCCTTGCTCCTTGACTCTGCAGACCATTCTTCTCTGCATTCCCAAGGACGGCCTCAGGCAAAGCCGACATCTAATGCTTTCAGAGGAGCTGGCAAATTTCAGAAACACCAGTGAGGGAGGGTCTTTTAATGACATCCTTGTTCCCTCATTTGCAGAAAGGGGGTTTAACTGTGCTTGGAAGATAGCTAATGGTTTTAAGAAAACACCGACTAATCTGTGTCATACCTGAAACCCATGAAATCCTTAGAAAACCCTCCTTTTTATTTCCCCAGTTAATCTTATCTTACCTAAAATCCTAGTTTGGCCAAAAATATTATTTGAATTGCTAGACACTGAGAAATTCACTCGATGGGTAATATATTTTAATTATGTTTCTTTTTTTGTTTGTTTTTCTTTCTTATTTCCCTGCCTTGGGGGCCAGAAAACTCTCCAACAATGATCACATGTGTTTCTTAAATGTGTCATTTCTAAAGATTTACTTCATATTTCAATAGACCATATGCCGTAAGTCATAAAAAAAAAAAACACATGAAGAGTAAAGAGAATAAATTAAACAAAAAATATATTCCACTTTGGACTGACCAAAAGGAATCTGCACTTGGTAATACAGAGGGTAACAAGCATTTTGACATGTTTGTGTAAACCAGGCGGATTCCCCCAACACGGTTTCCAATTTGGGCTCTATTTTTCCATGCTCTGCCTGAGGACATCGACGTCTGGACAGTCAGTGACAGAGGCTTTTACACACACGTACTGTCGAGCACAAGCCTGGAAGAGCTGCTGAAATGGTTTAAAAGTTTTTGTGTGGAATCCACCACAAAGTACCAGTTAAAAGGGCCAGGAGTGAAAGCCGAGCTCCCAAATGACTAAGACTAAAAAAGATAATACCCCCAGGCATCTGTATGTCTCAGCATTTAAATTATATCCCTTGAAATGCCAATTTGGACTTTGTGCCAAGAAGCTGCTGAAGCCCTTTTTCATGGAAATACCCAATAGAAGACCAATCTGTTTAAATGAAAGGTGTCTCTAATCATTTGGTATAAACATAACATGTTTTTATTTTATTATGTAACCTTGAATTATCTTGGCCTGTAATGAGGATCTTGCATTGTTACTGATTCTCAATAATTTCATGAAATTATGTTGTCTAAATGTGCATTCTTAATGCCAAAGAAAGAGAAAAACCTATCTAATTGTTGAAACACAATCGCTTGATCTAACGCATTTCCTACTTTTGAAAAAAGACTGTTACGTGTTAAAGAAATAATCTTATGTATAAAGGGTTTCCCTCACAGTGCCACCTCCTCACGGGTACAGTAGTATAATGAAATGTGTCAGTAGAACTGTTTCTAAGTTATTTGACAGTTTCTTTATATTTCCTCCTTTCTGAATTCCAGCCTGTGTTCTTCTCTTTGTAGGATTAGTGATTATATGGATCTGACCCCTGTAGATATCGTAGGGAAGAGATGCTACCACTTCATCCATGCTGAAGACGTGGAGGGCATCAGGCACAGTCACTTGGACTGTAAGTACCTCCTGTGTGGGGGAATAACCCCGGCTGGTGTCAGCAATCTCTGAGGCTTGTTTGGTTTCAGTGCTGATTTTTCCCTTCATCTTTCCTGTGTACATTTCAGATGACTGTCAGTGTGCAGTGAGAAAAAGTGAGACATAAATCATTTCAACGCGTGTTAGAATTAGATTGAAAGTTGGACCTCAGGCCTAGAGAAATTGCTGGATCTTTAGGCACTCACCCAGAATTCTGTGGTGTCTTTTGCTGTCTCTCCTATAAAGTGGTGGGGAAACCTTTGTCTTAAGTGCTACCTTGACCCTTTCATTTTCTGGAGAACAACTTCCACTCTGAAATTTGTGGTCTCAGTTTCAAAGTACACATGGGAGAAGACAAGTTCAAATAAGCCAGAGCCTTATAAAAATGCCTATTTGACCAGCCACAAAACTGGGGTGAGGGGAAGCCAGGGAGATGGGGCAGAGCACGTTCTTTAGAGAAAATGTTGTGTGGACACAGCAGCTCTCGAAGACAGTGCTTTCGCTGTTTCTGGAAAGAGAGTTATTCAGAAGAGTAGGTATCTCCATCCCCCAACTCCTGGGGAACAGAAACTTATCTCAGCTCTTTGAATATGGCTCCCAGCCCCTGAGCCACAGGCTGAACTCCAAAAGACCTTCTGTGCATGTGAGCAAAGCAGGAGCATCAGTGGTGTGGCTGGCTCCAGCAACACACCAGCAGAACCATGCAGGACCCCGCATCCAACCGCCCTGGCTGTTCGCACTGTCCATGGAAGGGGTCTGACTAGAGCACTGATCTGGTGGCCCTCTTCTGACCAGAGGTCCTTTATATGACCATTCAGGAGATTCTTCCTGAAGATGAGTCTCCCCTACCCCCTATCCATGTCCCTGGAAGCTTCTAACCCCAGTTCAGACCTCTGAATTTAAATACAGTCACATGCCACTTAGCCATGTTTTGGTCAACTACCTACCACATATATGATGGTGGTCCCATGAGATTGTAATACTGCATTTTTACTGTACCTTTTCTGTGTTTAGATATACAAATACTTACCACTGTGTTACAGTTGCCTACCAGTATTCAGTAGAGTAACATGCTGTACAGCTTTTGGTCTAGGAGCATTAGCCTATACCATATAGCCCAAGTGTGTAGTAGGCTACACCATCTAGGTTTATGTAAGTGCACTCTGTGGTATCCACACAATGATGAAATACCCTAGTGATGCATTTCTTAGAATGTATCCCCATCATTAAACAACACACGGCTGTACATGCAAGGTGCCACAAATGAGATGGTACAGCCTAAAGTTGAAGCATTTATACAGAAAAAGCCAGCCAAGTGGCCTTTGTATTTACCTCCTCTCCCCTTTCTTATCTTGGTCAAAGAGAGCTATTTCTTATCTTTCCTGCCCTTTGCAATTATTTCTTCATTTCGAACTCAGAAACATGGAGATGTTGAGCTAGCCAGCACCTCAAAGTATGAACATCCTGTACTGTGTTTTTAACCCTGCGTTAGCAACACTGACATGGAACCAAGTTCAGTGTCAGAATCTGTATATACCACGTCTCTGGAAAGAGCCTGCCTGCAAGACAGCAGATTCTACTCCCAACACGGAGTGTGTGTGTCTTGATATTGCACACCAGGGATTTAGGGAACACACTTGTTGCTGAGAATGAATGGGTGTTGTGTATCGTAGAAGCAGATGGCTCTTCAATTAATTGGGGAAAAAAATGATGTGGTTTCCTGAAAAGAAACATCAGGTTCTTTGTTGCTCAGAGTTTAGAGAAAATGGAGAAAAAAATCAGGATCTTTGGAAGAAGCCATGGATATATTTTTGGAATAATACAGGCTAGAGATCCAGACTTCACAAATGAATATATTGTTTTGAGGACACTGTCATAGACCATGTGTGCAGAGGGAGATGCCTTCTCATTTTGGAATCTTAATTAAGGTCTAAATTCAGAAACCTGAGGCTGACAAAAAAAAAAGAACTTTGTCTTCCTCAGTTATTATTTGGAAAACATCATGCATCATGCTATCTCTCTGGGATTTGATTTACAGCTTGAAGAAACACAATTCCTCAGGAACAGTGAGCGAGGGCAGTTCATTTCTCCCCATTAAGCAAAGGTCTCCAACAAATATGTTTGATGCCTTTCTTTCCGATTTACTTTTATCTCATTTTCCGTACCCAGAATAATTTGAGAGTGCTGAAAATAAACCACTCCACCATTCACTATTGTGCTATTCTCCTAATTTTTCTGGTATCTTGCCAACTAATAAACAGAGAAGGTATGCTTTCAAATTCTGATTTTTTTCATTACTTGATATTGACATACCGGCTATTGCTTTATGATTCAGCCTACTAACAATGATTGGGTTCATTCTTTTAACTCATACACATGACTTCTAATTTTGAGTTCTTTTAATAACCTTAAACACATGAAAAACAAATAGAATGAGCTGATAATTCTGCATAGTAAAATACACTTCACATATTTAGCTATCATGCTGTGGAATAACTCCACAATGTCAAGTAGCACACAATTAGTAAAACTGTAGGGGGAGGAAAAAGAGTGTTTTGATCCTGAAGAAGTTTGATCCTAATCAGATTGAAATTTCAGCGTTCTTGTAGTGCTTAATATCTTCAATCACACACACAAAAAAATCAAACTGATTCCAGTGTCAGGTTTTGCATTCTGTGACTGAAATAAAATGCTAAAATATACAAATGCATCTCGCTTTGTACAATAAACATTAACATCATTATAAAGTAAGATTGAGTCTAAAATTGTGTGATGGAATGTCTGATGTTTACCTAATTCTCAAACCAAAGCCAGCCCAGTAACAAAATGACAGACCATGTAATAAGTCTTGGTTGTGTAAACACTGGAAGAAAAGGCAAAAAGCCAGCACAGCATCTTGCTTTTCCAAAGCCCTAGGCTATTACTGAAGGATGCCTCAACTGTGCCTTCTTGGCAGGAGAAGGTCATGGCGACATAGAATCAGGTCAAGAATAAGATAGAATTCTAAAACAAAGGGATGGTTAAAAAATAAACCACATTAACTATTTAGTTTTTCTTCCTAGAGCTATTGGCACAATTCCTGGTTCTGTCCTGAAAGATAGGTTGTAGTCATCTGGTAATATTTCTGATTTTTTAATATCTGTCTTATGCCCCAGTTTGATAAAGCGTTTTTTTAAAAGACTTAATAGTCTTTGATAACTAAAAATACTATCTTTATCACTTATATCTTTTTTCCTTGCCTAGGCATCTGTAAATCCATAAATGAACTTGTCTCTAGAATAAGAAAAGTAAAGAGGAATATCAGCTGTGCCAGGATTACAACTCTGATAAATTGAACCAAGAACTTTAGAGCATCTACTCTTCCACTAAGTTAACATGAGATGACTGATAGTTCACTGGATTTCAACAGAAAGAATCAGTAAGAATCACATTATTGACGCCAACATGGTATGTTAGTGAAACTACACTGGAACTCTAAAGCCTAGGGAGTTCTAGGGCCCCTTCTTTCACACTGTGACCAAAGACGTCTGTGATTTCTTTCATTTAAAACCAATTTCACCAATTATTCAGGTCAAATCAACATTTAAAGGTTAGAATTTTAAACCATTCACATTAGTAATTATTGGGGCATCTTCACCTCTTCCTCCCTCCAGTTCTCCATTGCTCAGGAGGTACTGGCTTGGGAGATGATCACTCACAGCTTCCCACAGTTACACACTCCAGTTACTTATGGTGTCTGTGTGGCTCTTCAATTATGAGACGTTTCAGTGCAACCATCTACCACTCTACTTCTGCCTGTAGCCCCCCAAAAATGGAGTGCTAAACCAAACAGAGATGCATGCTTTGCACTGCTCTTTATTCCCATTTAATCCAGCCCTTTGTCTAGAGAAGGAGCTGAATTTGTCTCGAGATATCCCTAGGGTTCTTTGTGGGTCCAATCAGCAACAACTTTCTAAAACCTTAAAGAGTGGCCTAGGGGAAAACTTCCTTTCTCTTTATGATGTTCTGCTCCACCAGGGAGGCTCAAGGCTCTGGAGCTGTGGGATTTCAGAGAAAAGGAGCCAGAGACTGTAGGTGTGGTGGCAGTTTTTTCCTTCCTAGCACCTGACCCAGTCTCAGAAAACTCTGGAAGAGTTATTTCAGAAAGACAGAAGGACTTCAGATTGCCTTTGAGATCACATGCAGTTAAAAAGCATGGCCTATCCAACATACTTGGGGGTTGTTTTTTTTTAAAAAAAAGAAAAAAACAGTAGCTTAAGTGTTTATTTCTTAATTACAAACTTCTATACTTTCTAACAAAACTAATATACAGCTACCTGATATAATGCATTCCATGCTGTTTTGCATCAATAACCCCTACACTTCCCTCCTGAAGGCGTCTCATCGCCAAATGCAAGCAGACTGCTTAATGCGGGACTAATTAGTATATCCCCTTCCAGTCTGCAGGCCCTCCATTGTAATTCCTTCCCAGCTCATTTTTTTCCACAACCGAGCATCAATCAAAGTAAGTGCCCTGCCTGCCTAGGCAACACAAGATGTCCTCCATGCATTTGTCATCTGCCACACAAACAAAGGGGGAATTTAATTGTTGGTTTGGGTATGCAGCCACTGCACACAGAAACGGAAGCTGCAAGTGAAGGAAAGAGAAAAGGTGGAAAGTTTGATGGGTGGGCCAAATGCAGATAGCACGGGGGACTTTTTTCTGTTTTCTGATCTCAGCCTTTCTTCAGGGGTGGGTCTTCAGGGATTTAGCTGCAACCTGGTCATTGGCTGGACTCTTCCCAGAGCAAGTAAGTGTTCCCCTTCTGCCATATGAATATGAAAATTCCCATGAAAGGAAATGCATGTAATAGCTACCATGTCTGACTTTCTTCAGAAGCCAAGTCAGCCTTCATCGTGTGCCTGGCCATTAACCGAAAAAACCGTCACAAGGAGGCAAGATAAAGGCAGGTTTTTATGCAGGGATGAATTTGTATTATTTTGTCTTAGTTTTTTGGGGGGGTGGTGTGGGGGGGCGGGTACCGGCAGGGAGACAGTGCTTGTTTTGGCTTTTCAAGTCCATGGGCAGGCAAGCACGGAGTCAGAGACCAGCAAGAGGGTTGAGCTCCAGCGGCGCATCCCTGCTGCGCTTACTACACTGTGCATCAGTGGGGCAGTGGTGTCAGCACCCCCTGGGAACTCAGAGACGCACATTTTAAGGCCTTCCCCAATCAGAATCTGCAGTTAGCAAGATCCCCAGCTGACTCGTATTCATGTGAAAGCTTGAAAAGTACAGACCATACTAGTCTTTAGACGGCACTATTTTACACGACGTAAACAGTAAATACAAACTGAGTATCTGAAGGGTTTTCTTTTCCTCTCAAATTGGATGAATTCTGAGAACAGTAGCAAAAGGTGAGTAGTGAAATAACTCTCAGGGTACTCGATCAGTATTCCAATGAAACAAGAATAGGATTAAGAAGCTGACTTCTTTACAAAGATATAAAGTTTTAAATATCAACAGGAAAAATTTAACAGAGTATACATAGTACTAATATCCAACCTAGTAAGCAAAAGATCTTACCGTTTTTTTCCCTTGGGCGAATACTTTCCTGTGTACTTGACTGTATGAGTGAATATGAGCAGTCGTTTTTTTCCTATTCAAGTTTATCTAACATTTGTGAGCACTTACTAATGCAAAGCCTGTGTCATTGCTGTGAGGTTTCAAAAGCAACTAAGGTATGGTGTCCACCTTCGAGGAGCTTACATACTAATAGAGAAGGCAGCATGAAACAGCCAATTCTGAATAGCTAGTATGAAATGAGGTCTGTTAAGATGTGCAGACAAAACACAGAAACCCCAGAGGTGAAAGCAACTAAGGGGAGGATGGAGAAAAAGCCCCAGGGGAGGCAGATTTTCCCTGGACTTTGAAAGAGGATGGCAAGAGAGATGGAGGAGTGGTCTAAGGCATTGCAGGCTTAGAAGAGCATAGGAGAGACATAGAACACAAACACATGATCTTTTCTGTCTCCCCAGAGAGCAAGCCAGAACTTTGATTTGACTGACAAATTCTAATAAAATTCTCACATGGATTCGCAAGCTTCTCATTATTATTTCAATTAGTAGCTGCTTTTATTTTTTATTGTTATTTTTATTTATTTATTTATTTATTTATTTTTTTTTTTTTTTTTTTTTTGAGACAGAGTTTCACTCTTGTTGCCCAGGCTGGAGTACAATGGCACGATCTCGGCTCACCACAACCTCCGCCTCCCGAGTTCAAGCAATTCTCCTGCCTCAGCCTCCCGAGTAGCTGGGATTACAGGCATGCGCCACCACGCCCGGCTAATTTTGTATTTTTAGTAGGGACGGAGTTTCTCCATGTTGGTCAGGCTGGTCTCGAGCTCCCAACCTCAGGTGATCCACCTACCTGGGCCTCCCAACGGGCTGGGATTACAGGCATGAGCCACTGCGCCCAGCCTAGTAGCTGCTTTTATAGTTTTTTTAAAACCTTGTATTCAACAAAAAATAACCCATTGCTCTTATAAGGCACGATCAGAAGAAGAAAACAAAATCAATACTTCTGGCCGGGCATGGTGGCTCATGCTTGTAATCCCAGCACTTTGGGAGGCCAAGGCGGGTGGATCACAAGGTCAGGAGTTCGAGACCAGCCTGGCCAACACAGTGAAACCCCATCTCTACTAAAAAATACAAAAATTAGCTGGGCATGGTGGCAGGTGCCTGTAATCCCAGCTACTCAGGAGGCTGAGACAGGAGAATGGTGTGAACCCGGGAGGTGGAGCTTGCAGTGAGCCAAGATCATGCCACTGCACTCCAGCCTGGGTGACAGAGTGAGACTCCATCTCAAAAAAAAAAAAAAAAAAAAATCAATACTTCTGAGTCATCCATTTTCACCTAAATCAGTTAACCTAAATAAAATCAATTCCATTACTTCTTATAATGGCATCGTGTTCTCAATCTTATACAAACTATTTTTTAAATTGTTTCCTGAAAACATTCAATGATACCTCACATATCTCAAAAAACATCAAACTTTTTTTAACTTAAATGAGTGGCATAGGATTTAATTCATGTATGTGTCTAACATGCAACAGTTTTCCCATACATGCAGGGTTAACTAAAGATCAGGTCATTCAAATCTCTTCATGAACTCCCACATCTTCTCTGGCTTCCTAGAACTTTTGGTGGGGCATATCGACTAGAATGCACCTGGTTACAAGTAACAGAAAATCCCAGTAAAAATGACTTAACTTTCTCTTCATGATCAAAAGACTTGATCAAAAGATCAAGATAGCATCCCCATCATCAGTTCCTCATAGGGCAATGTCCAAAGTGCGGAAGGGGTCAGTCGATGTTTTGTGTTCATTTTGGAGCTCACAGAAAACATTTCCAGAAGCACTTCCCCACCACCCCACAGCAGGGAGAAGCCTCTTGTGTCTCATAGTCCCGTGTGTCGAGTGACCAAGCCTAAGCCACTCACTGGCAAGCGGGTAGAATTACTGTATCTGGCTTAAACAATCGAGGTTTATTCTCCTGGGATTTAGGAGGAGGCCATCAAACATAAAACCCAAAATCAGACTTTTGTTATCCAGAAGGAAGTGGCAGAATAGCTGTTGAGCAGACGACCAACAATGACTGCTACATGGAAGAATCTATGTTTTCACAATAAAGTACTTGGATTTCTAAAAATCTACATAACAGATGAACAAATGGAATTTGTCTGGGATCCTGGAAATGTTTCTGACTTTCTGAAACACTAGTTTTTACATACCTGTGCCTCACTACTCATGTATTTCTTTTTAAAGATGTTTGTTTAGTGGAGTTAACAAAATGATTGCCTCCAGAAGCACAGGGTCCACCAGAGACAAAATAAATCTGAGTATAAGGTCCACATCATCCCTTTTGTCTGTTTTCACTTCTGCCTATGCCCTAATCAGATTAACTGCTTCAGTACTTGATAACACTTAATTGTTAAAGGGAGGTGAAGAATGCACCCAGCCCAAGTCAGACGCCCTTTGCGCTTTCATAGACCTACATACCACCTGCCATACAGTTGTCACTGTTGTAAACTTATTAGTGAAAATGACTGATAAGCATCTCTTTCTCATTCAAAGGCAAGTAGAGGTAAATCCCTCTTTCCAGAGTGAATAAACTTTTTCAACAACCTCTCACAGTAGAGACTTCCACTTGAGTTTCATTGCCCAGTGTCTCATCATATTCCAAACCTAAAACAATCCCTGACTAGGGGAATGCAATTATCAAGACTGATGGAGACTAACGTAGGACAGGCCTGTGACACATTTTGCACACTCTGATATCCCCCAGTGACTAGCACAGAGTAGGCACTCAAAAAAAATGGATTGAATGAATAAATCCACCATTGTCCTCAGTTCCTAGCCTTAATTTTTTTAATTCCATGTTGAGGAGTTCACCGCTTCTCATTTATATAACAAATTCCCCCCCCAAAAGAGAAGGTATAGGTCCTAAAAAAAATACTCTATCCTTAACTATTTTGGGTTGAGAAGGGAATGAATGAGTGGGACTGAAACTCCCTGGTCAGACTGAAAACAGCTCGTAAAATACTGTGATCTCAGATGTCCCTCATGCCAACAATTATTTTGATTCTCCTTGTCCTAGAACACTAACAGTGTTTAAAAGCCTTGTTCTCCAATTCAGTACATTATCATGAAGAAAAGGGGAATTTATTTTTTAAGCTTAACAAATTGACGCATTCTAAATCAATGAAAAGTTTTCTGCATGATTCAATATTAACAGTCAATAAAAATCTATCAATTGGCAGTGTATAGGAAAAAACCTCCCCTGAGGTTGTAAATCACACAGATAGCAATTCAAGCAGGGCCTGTCATTAGCGTATTAGGGGGGAAAATCCATCGATGATGCATACTCATTCACAAAACATCTACAGGTCTTCTGTCCTTAAGCTCATAACTCACAGTAAGTATCAAATATCCTTCAATTCTACCAAATATTGCTCAGCATATAGATTTACAAAAAAAAAAAAAAAAACCTAAAAACCAATTTCTGGATGCCTGCTATTTAAGACATCTAGCTCACTAATTGCAAAATCTATAGAAAAGTCTGCACAGCATCAAAGCCTCGGTTGATCCTATGAGCAGTTCTAAATGAAAAACTGTCTCTTTTGCGAGTAAATAAAGCACTTAATGCAGTTTCTGGCTATAATTGTGTTTCTCCTGTGGGTTTTGAAAATGACCTTCCTGTAAGCCTCAAGGACTGTAACTTTTTAGATAAGGAAACTTGTTCTTGTTTTAAGTCTATGTCAGGTTCATTCCCCTATAGCCCAGTTTTCAAAAGCCAAAGAAAAAGTAATCCAGAATTAAAAAGAAAAAAAAGGAAAGAAAGAAAAAGGAAGAAAGAAAGTCCTGTTTCCAGAATGAAGTTCCCTGTCAGCCTGCCTTGGGCCTTAGGTGGAGAAGCAGAGATTAAAGAGTCAGTATTCTTTTTCATGTTTCATCTGCCAGTTTTGTGAATGTAGAAAGGGAACCGGTGGCTACAGCTAAGCACCCAACTGTGGTATTAAGTAGAAAGTGTGATTCTAGCACACCCCCCTCACTTACACACACAGATACACACTCTAGTGAATTCAAAAATAATTTTTGAGTCTGTAGCAGAAGGCACCTGCTCTCCGTTCTCCGCGGCCACTGACGAAGGTACCTCCAGGAGGGGGTGAATGGCGCCACAGATGCGTCCTCCTATCGCCATGACGATAATGAAGCTCTTTGTTCGGCTGTGTGAATGTGAAGGGTGGAATCTCCGATGATCTCACCATTTCCTATTTATTCTATACTTACCTGAATGCACCATGTCTTGCAGCTTTTTAATGCATATGCAAACCACTAAAATGTCCTTTTGTGAGACACTTTGCTAAAAGACCGCTTTTGATATGTGTTCTTCATCTCCTCTTCAAACTGAATTAGACTGCTTCCTTCTTCTTATGACACAACTAACTCACTATTTAGAATCTTTGGCTTTGATTTTGTAGAACAGCCCAACAGGAAGAGACCACGTTCTCTTTTTTTCTCCATATTTCTGAAGGCAAACTTGTACTGATTTGTTTTGATTTACTACCAGAATTATGTTCCTGCCACAGACACTGGCTTCCTTTATGTCCTTTCAGTCGTCAGTCTGTGTCTGTGGACAAAGTTTTCCCAAGGAAAACTGAAATCCCTCTGTTGGTAACTGTGTGCAGGGCCACGGATGTGTACCTCAGGAAAAAGTTCATCAGATTTGCAGGGAGAAGAATTATTCTAAGCAGTACATTTCTTATAGGCCAACCACTAAGCTCAAACCAAGAGACCAGGTGACATTTTAAAAAGATATTCAATAAAACTTAGCATCCAGTCTTGGTGGGGGTGGGGGGCGGGCAGGGGAAACCTGTGTTTGATGTAAAAGGTCACATGTTCTGAAATGTAAGCACTCCACAATTTTCTTTTGATTGAACTGTATTTGCAGCTTCCTTCACAGTTAGAGGTACGTGGTATTAATATTTTGACTTCAACAGCCAAAGACACACTTACTCATGGTATTGTAATTGTTAGCTAAGCAAAGCTGAAACAGTTCAACCAGGAGGATTTAAATCTCTCCCAGTTCATCTCTATAGTATTCTTCTCACAAGTGGAAGGTCACCTCTGTCCTCTGAAGAGCACAGCTTATAACTCTAAAGCTCCTATAACTTGGAGGGTGGGATGGTGCCAACAAGAGCCTCCTGGTTTTCCTTCGAGCAACAACAGCCAAAAGCAACTGGTTACACCCTGGGCTTCAGAGGAGCAAGGAACATGTTCTTGTGTGCTAGCAGAGATGTTCCCAGTTACGTCTGGGACCTTTCAAGATTCTAAGCTAACCTATGCAAGTGTATTTATCCTCTCTATGTCTTCAGGTTTACTTTGTCAAATCTAAGAAGAGGTCATTTAAAAGTTTTGGGATCCTCAAACTAAAAGTAATTACTAGAGTACAACTTTTTTTTTTTTTTTTTTTTTTTGAGACGGAGTCTCGCTCTGTCGCCCAGGCTGGAGTGCAGTGGCGGGATCTCGGCTCACTGCAAGCTCCGCCTCCCGGGTTCACGCCATTCTCCTGCCTCAGCCTCCCAAGTAGCTGGGACTACAGGCGCCCGCCACCACGCCCGGCTAATTTTTTGTATTTTTTAGTAGAGACAGGGTTTCACCGTTTTAGCCGGGATGGTCTCGATCTCCTGACCTCGTGATCCGCCCGCCTCGGCCTCCCAAAGTGCTGGGATTACAGGCGTGAGCCACCGCGCCCGGCCTAGAGTACAACTTTAAAGACATAATTCTAGAGATGCTTTGACACGATCAGTGAATTCAGCGAGAGACACACAGGTTGCTCAGCCCAAAAATTTTGGAGAGTAGAAAGTAAACTTTGGAATAAACCAAAGAAAAGATGCCAGGTTACATGTTAGAGGTACCTAGACCATATGACAAGGATGTGATATTCAAATTAGAATCTCTCCTTCTAGTTCCTCTCCCTCTGTTCCTTTCCCTTTGTAGTTTGTAGACATGGTTATGACTTTACTCCTAAGCTCATTGTGTGATGAGTATCTATCTCTTTTCAAGGGACAATTAACTCTTTTTAAGGACTTTCATATCAAGTAACTCACGTGGTGCTTATTTTTGTTATTCCCGCAAAAGGAATTTTATGAAATAAACTTATTCAAATATTCTCTCCTTTCTCACTGCTTAAACCTAAAACTTGAAAATAAAAAACAACAGCCACTGGATTGAAGAGAATCAAAAAAGTTTTTTCTGTGTTTTTCAAGTTCTCTAATTTATTACACACTAAAAATCCTTTCAAACTGGCACCAAGGTGGCTTTTCTTCTTGAGCTGATTAGGACCACATGAGTTCAGGAAAAGCTGTCAGATCCTGCCTCTGGCGCAGCTGGAATGATCCAACTGATTTGCCAGTATGACTTTTTTTTTTTTTTTCCAAGGAAAGAAGCTTCATCCCAAAGTCATAAATTTACATTCTGGAGGCCCAAGCAAAAGGTATTTCTTTTTCATTTTTTAAAGAAGCTAAATTCCATTATGATTTCTTTTTTCTTTTTTTGAGCCAGAGTCTCGCTTTGTCACCCAGGCTGGAGTTCAGTGGTGCAATCTCAGCTCACCGCAACCTCCGCCTCCCAGGCTCAAGCGATTTTTGTGCCTCAGCCTCCCTCACAGCTGGGATTACAAGTGCACACCACCACACCTGGCTCATTTTTGGATTTTTAGTAGAGGCAGCGTCTCACCATGTTGGCCAGGCTAGTCTCGAACTCCTGGCCTCAAGTGATCCATCCACCTTGGCCTCCCAAACATTATGATTTCTTTTACAAGATCTGTTGCAAACCAAAAGCAACTTGGGTGATTTTTTGGTAAACATGTTGTCCCAACTCTGCACCGTATCTGTAGTTATCTAGATTCCCACTGGCGCTTGGGGGTCTCATTCAGAAAACACCAATCCCTAGGAGAGACCAAGTGAGATTGCCTACCCTTTAGGAATTCTGCCTGTCAGACTGGCCCAGGGTAAAACCACAGGTCAGTCAAACTCGTCCTCTTCAGCCGCCCACGGTGGGCTCCCGAACCTGCTTTGTGGTATTCACCACAGGAAGTCAAGGGCTATCACGTGGCTCCCCGACTCCCCAAGGAAGCCGTGAGCCATTCCCTTCCCCTTCAGTCTTTTTACAGATACCTCCTCACATCAGAAGTCACCTGTCCTGCCCCTCTCATATTTAGCTCTCCTCTCTTGCTAGCTGACCCTTGGCCTGGGTGATAAAGAAAGCTGTATTATTATATTCATGGGCCCTAACAAACGAGTGCTGGATTTATCTTCTCAGGAAACACAGATCCATTTAGGTAGACCCAGAGTCATCCTACTGTAATTCAAAAAGATGACACCATACGGTCCCTTAGCAAAGAAGCCTTTCAGCCCCCTTCGCTACACATACGTGCAGACCACTGGGGAGGCCAAACGTTTGGCTGGATGTCTATTTCCAAATTGGGATTTTATTAAGAGAAAGTATTATCAGGAAGGAGGGGGTGATCTTTACATTGATTCTGCAGATTCTAATTTGATATTATAACTCCTTTATCCCTTTGCCCCTTTTGTATACTTTGTAAAGTGGAGATAATTCTTTTTAAAATTTTGCCTGCTTTTGGTCAAATTCTAGTCTAGAACTCCCAGGCAGGCTGTGCTGATCTGGCCTGCCATCTCAATGTATTCTTCATGTGATTCTAAAAAGGGGCTTCTTAGTCTCTTTGCCTTTGTTAAACATACTAGAACCATTTGGAATTATTCCTCATTCCAGACACAAAGCAGACAGAATTATACCCCCAACCACTGATTGGGGTGCTGTAAGTTTTCTCTGTGAAAATAGTGGACAGAATTATATAACCCATCGTTCCTCTGTTAATAGTTAACCAGGTTGAGAGGATTTGAATAAAAGCACATCTTGTTGCATGCAACAATGGTTTGACAGAAGAGCTGTATGGCAGAGTTAGTATTTTACTGCTTTCAGCTTCACCACGCAGTTTTGTAGCCTGGGAAGCCATGCATGCAGAATGGCAGAACTTACAATTGCCTACAAAAGGAGAGTACAATGCAACCTGTGGAGCCACGCCACCAAGAGAAGGTGACAGTTCCGGGCCTTCAAAACACCCTAAACTGGTGAGGAGTTTCAGAATGAAACTTGTTATGATTTGAAACACTCATCAAAGTGAGGCTTTTTCAAGTAACAGTTAAGACATAATTACCAAATTTTACAACGGTCCCGTTAGTGTGCTGTGAGAAAAAAAAGGAGAATGGAAGAAAACCTTCCAAGTTTATATGTTTATGGATGTAATAGATGGATGTGGCACTTTCAGAGCCAGGAAGAGTGGCTCAGGACAAGATGAGAAGAGCTTCCACAGCCTTAAACACAGCCCTTTTCCAAAGTGACTTCCCTTCACACCCATCCACCCCCCTCCAAAAAAAAAAAAAAAAAAAATCTAAATGTACTTCATGAAACTGTTGTATATGAAGCACTTATTAGCCGTAATTAAATGGACAATATGAATTTACTACGTCTTTAGGACTCTGGCTTGTTCTGGTTTAGAGCAAGATGATTAATGCAAATACATATTACTTGAGATAACCATTTAGCAGCTAATTTAGCCAAATTTATTACAGCAGTTAGAGGTTTTTCATTTCAGCAGACGGAGGCAAGGACATGCCAAAAGTGGGCGACGTAGATGAGTGCACACTGCCCTCTAGTGGCCAGCCAGCCGGTGAGCTTTCGCGGGGCGCCGAGTTGCTGCGATCCGCAGCCAAGTAATAACAGCAGGTTTTCCACATTTCCGGCACCCTTTTAAACCATTCCCATCCACAGCACTTTATTTCAGGGGATGATTTACTGTGCTTTCCCCTTTTACTAGCTCAGGAGTACCCAGATACAAATCAAATCAATTTCAACTTGGCGAGATTTTGGTTCAAGTATCATTTTTAACATCTGCATTTTAAAGCTCTCTTTCAGTGGGTATTTAATGGCACCGTTTCACATTACTGATTGTTTTTACTTGCTCCTTCATTTGGGGCCATATTTCAGAGTCTGTGTGGAGCTGTCACTCTGTTTGGCTCCAGCCAAGTCAATTCTGTGCCTCCCTTAGGCCAGTGTTTCTCTCTGACTCCACTGGGGAATTTATTTTGTTCCAACATTCAGCGAAGTCTCACCAGAATCTCCCCCGACTGACCAGTGTAAATTTAGTTCATCGGAGGACTATAAATTCTGTTAGACAAGATCAAAAGGAACAGACATATAAGGACGCGGGTTGAGATTGCTCACACGGAGGAGAAACGATCAAAGACGAGGGGTAAAGCATCTTTGGAACCATTCAAATATCCAGAATCTCAAAGAGGTCTACCTCCAAGCTATGAATAAATCACATACAAATTTGCCTTTCTTACCATCTGATGTCAAATCCATTGACAATATCCACACCGCATTAGGTGTTCTGTGAGCCAAAGAGATTTGTAGTCCTTTTATTCTTTTCACACCATGGCTGCCCAAAACGGAATAAAGTCTTGCTACAAATGCCAGTAACCCTGGCTCCAGAGCTGCCGCTCCACTGAATTGATTTCATTTGTCCTACTAATGGCATTCTATATTAAGCATACAGAGGGTCACCCTGGCTTGGTGTAGGTCCTCCCATTTTTAGGCTTAAGGTTTTGCAGAGATAAAAAAAAAAAAAAAGTTATTTGATCCCAGTCTTAATACAATGCCTCTGTTTTGTTTTTTTTCGCCAGTGCTGAATAAGGGTCAGTGTGTGACAAAGTACTATCGCTGGATGCAGAAGAACGGAGGATATATTTGGATACAGTCCAGTGCCACCATAGCTATTAATGCCAAGAATGCAAATGAAAAGAATATCATCTGGGTGAATTACCTTCTTAGGTATATTTTCTACTTCTTTTCTATTTCTGTCCTGGTTATAAAATATGCCATATAAAATATGGCTATGGTTAATAGCCGACATGTTGTGAATATTATCTTTTGACAGTACCTGGTGTGGAATTTCATGGCAATTCTGCTGTTCTTTCCACAAGATTCAAATAAATGTGAGAAGATCAAACTATGTTGGAAGGGACTTGCAGGAAAGATTTCAAGATTTTCAATCATTCTTGGTCTGTCAACATTTGGGCATCTCTGCAGAAGTTGCTTTGGTTTTCCCACAAATGCTTAGGCCAGAATAATACAGACTTCAGCCTACAGCTGAAGCATTCAAAAAGCATCTCCTCTTCCCCAGCACACACACACTCACACACTCCAGTTCTTGTGGAAATGAAGTAAAACAGAGCGGGAGAAAAGTGGCAGGGAACATTATATTCCTCTTATATTTCTTCCCTTTGATGCCCTTAGCATATTACATAGGGTTTGACTTCCTGGGCATTAAAGTTTCGGTAAACAAAGTGAGTTGCTTTGCCGGAATCAAACAATAGCGGTGTAAAAAATGAAGGCAATTTTTTTTTTTTTTTGGCCCACTGCTTTGTGATCTTTGGCAAGCTTTACTGCTCTTAAAATGTGTCCTTAACAGTCTATCTGCAAGTGAGCCCAAGCTCAACTGCTTCCTAAATTCTGGTGTGAGACACCATTTCTCTCCCCTTCCCAGTCTACATTCTGCCTTTGGATTCAAACTAGCAGAAAAGTAACCAAGACCCACAGATTGGGCCATCTTGAGTTTGGGGGCAGGCTTTCTGGGAAGTTCTCCACCAATCCTGCACTTGGCCTGGCTCCCTCCCACCCCCATCATTCTGGTCTTTGGCTTCTCCTGGCCTAAAGCCACCAAGCAGAGCCCACACGTGGTCTGAGTAGGAAAATTTCCAATAGGTCTTGGGAATGGAAGTTGGTGCCCTTTGGCTGATAATTTAGACAGGGAGTACCTGAATCCCATTTTTCTTTGAGACAGCCAAGTGGAGCTGGGAAGCTAACAACCATGGCTCATCAGCACACTGGCCCTTCAGAGTGTGTTCACATACTTTGGTGATGACTTGAAGGCATGAATGTGCTTGCTACCAACAGCATATCAATCAGACACTAATGATTATTGCTCTAGAGAGGGCCTTAATGTGCACCACTTAAAAGAGTCTTCATTTATCTACTTTCTATTTCCTTTTTTTTGACCTCTTCTGCTCTACATTAATTCTCTCTAAAGGTAAAAGTATGTGTATTGAGTGTGGCTTTCTCCAAGGCCTGATTTCCGTGCAAAGTCTCCCCCGTGTTTGTGATGTGTTCAAGATGAGTTCTGATATCAAGGAATCCTTGTACATAGAGTTTTATGGAATAATTACTATAGGGAATGCAGGTGGTTATAAAAACTCACATGCCAGACAGAAAATGGAATAAGGTCTTGTGGCACTGACATTCTTTTGCTAGGCAAAATGATATTGTGACAAGGAGACCCATCACCAGTAAGAATTAAACGCTGGAAACAGGCACCCTAGGGCTAGCAGTGTCTGGCTCCCATGTTGATGAAACATAGATACTGAAGTCATCTATGTAGTTGTTACTCCCATTCTCTGAGATTTCTTCCTATCTGGATCTTTCTTACTGCCTCATCAGCCTCATGACTTCCTCCTCTGCCCACAAATGCAAGGAGTAAGAAGAGCTAAGCAATCAGTCTCTGAATACCATTGATCTAGCCTAGGATCCGATGGTACAAACTCATGAGCTTTGGTGATTCTATTCCATCAAATCCCATATGGATAGGAAGGAAGTTTAGGTATCAAAGACCAGTCTTCAACCTCAAAAGCTTCAATCTCAGGCATAGAAGACCTGTTTTAGCTGACCTAAAAACACTCCCTGAAGTCAATGATAAAGGACTGTAAATTGTAGGGCAAGTGATCTGTGAGCCCCCAAAGAAGACTAAGGTAGATGGGCTTTAGCAGGGGAAACTCCACCAAGACAGCCATTTACTGGTATCACCTCTATAGGGTAAAGATCTAGTAAGAAAATGATGTGGCCCTGGCAATATAGCAACTACAGAAGTTTGGTTTTCTTTCCCACATTCTTGTCTATTATTCTTCCCTGAGCAATACTTTCACATCACTTCTTCCTGCCCAGAACCCTTGCACCCAGGCCCCAATCCAGGCTTGTCCTTCCCTGTTCTGAAACTACTGCTCCTCCAGTCTTCTTCCCATTCCCTCGTGATACTTAACAGAATTATAGACTCAGAGTATTCAGAGACAGAGTCCACCTTCCCACCATTAGTCTCATCTGATTATCTAGAGAAAGCTTTGCTGCTGAAGCTAATTCACACGAAGGAGTAAATGCCTGATAATCCATTTTAGTGAATTACCCCTCCCAGGAACATTTGCAGTTTTAGAGTAGTTACTGAAACAGTGACTCTTTACTATAGGAATTTCGCTAGAGATTAGCAAATGAGTCAGTAATCATCAATTTTAAGTCTCTGCTTGGCTAGCCATCATGGAAAAATCGAAGAGGCATTTCCCATTTTGAAGCAGGAGGATTTCCTTGTGCCTTCAGATTACAGGAGCCTACTCTCCTCATCCATCAGGTGGCCTTGGAGTGGCATTTCCAGAAGACAGGTCAAACTGACTCAACATGCTCTCTCTTCCAAAAGAGCCTTGTTTCCAAACTAAAAATAGAACAAAAATTAAGCACATTTGTGCAAGTGAGGTTAGATCCCTTCTGTTAGGGCCTCTTTCACACTGGGACTCTCCCCACTGCAATCAGATTTCCAGCTAACAAGCCACAGGTGTACACCACACGAGCAGATGAAAATGTGATTGTAATGGGTGTGTTGACAGTTTGGTAGCCATAATCCATGCATCCCAAGGTGCACCTGTGCATCTGTCAGATAGGCACCAAAGGCTCTGCTGCCCCACCAATAGCGTGGGAGCCATCTGAGCGGCTGAGAAGCTACATCAAGGGCCCAAAACAAAGGTACTGAGGCCATGGACTCATTAGGAGCCCAAGAGAAGACACGACACACCAGGAGACATGGGAATGAATTGTTGAGAGTACTTCTCATCCTCCCTTCCCCCAGGTGTACTGTCAAGCAGCACAGTTTCCTGACCCCCAGTGGTACCTGATTATTTAAAAGCTTCTCTCCATGGCTTTCAGGGATTTGGGTATTCGATCATTGCAGCAGGGTGCACCTGTGCCTTGGCACATGCAAGCCAAGCTTCCATAAAATCCCATGAAGAGCTGAGAAATGATTTCATGTTTAGTCTTTGAAACTTTCTAAACTCCAGAAGTCTGGGACAAAGAAGTGGGGGAGAAGATGGTCCAAACAAACCATGCAGAATGGGTGTCTGCACTCCTGACCAGTGCCTCCCTTCCACAGCAATCCTGAGTACAAGGACACACCCATGGACATCGCACAGCTCCCCCATCTGCCGGAGAAAACTTCCGAATCCTCGGAGACATCCGACTCTGAGTCAGACTCTAAAGACACCTCAGGTATTACAGGTATTATTCCTTCTTTTCCATGTTCTTCAGTGAAGCTTGCCCACCACGCGCAGGGGGTGGGCAACAGCCAGAGGGCCATCATCAGAGGCAAAGCAACTGGTCACATTTCAGAGAGACATATGTCACATCAAGTTATTACTGAGTGTCTGCCTCTCTCCAGACACACATATATATAATTGTACACCACTACATACCTGTATGTACTATATAGGTATATATACACACAATACATATAGATATGTAGTGCTGGATAAATACATCTGTGTGTGTGTATATATATACATATATATATATATATGTTTTTGTGTGTATATATACTCACAGAACAAAGAGATCTTTTGAGATCTGACAGATCTCTTTCTTTAAATATACAGAAAGAGATTGATTGCTATTAGCAATCACTTAATGTCAATCCACTGGCCATACAGAAGGAGCCCTGCTCTAACCTCATAGCTAGCTCTCGGCCTCTACTAAAGGCAGGTACTAGGGCCAGCTCCAAGAGAGTCTGTGACTTTGAGCCCCAAATATTCACATTCCCACCAAGCTGGGACTGAGCCTCTAAAGTAGGGTACTTAATGGCATCGATCAATGCCTCTTTCAGGGTGCTGGACTGTTACTTATTTCCTGAATCTATGCAGAACAAACGCATGCATTTTCATTTCCTTTGGGGAAGCGGACTTCCTGAGTAGTTCTTTGGGACACTGAAAATTAGTATAAAAATTTGCTTTTCATCCCATCCCCAGCCCTCTTCCAGAGACACACATAAGGCCAGGGAGCACTAAACTTGTAGGATTTTTACAGCTGCAAGAAAATCCTACACCTCTTTTAACCCTACCTCTTCTGCTACAGAAGGGGAGGCAATGACCACAACTTCTAGTCCAGGCTGCCAGTCAGGCTTCTTCCCTCCATGTTCAGACGCTGTGTTACTGGAAAAATCTGTTCTTTCAAAAATGTGGCAGCTAGGTTTTCCTGACAACCCCCTTCTTGAGGGCACCTGTGCTCCAGCATTGTAAACATGTATCCCTTCCTCCAGACCCAGCTTCAGGGAGGCGGAAGGAGGGCAGAGCACTCAAGGCAGATCTTCATTGTCCTCCTCTCCCTAAATTGCATTAATTTGAAAGTTCTTGACAAAGACATAAAAAGTTCTAGAATTGGTAGTCTCTGCCCCTTTTTAATACAGTGCATAGTTGTGAACAAAACAAAGGAAAATTCCTAGCCCATTGAGCTTATATACTAGTGGGAAGAAGAGACAAGTAAATAAAACTAAAATATACAGTGAGGTGGCAGGGTGGCTCATGCCTGTAATCCCAGCACTTTGGGAGGCTGAGGTGGGCGCATTGCTTGAGTCCAGGAGTTTGAGAGCAGCCTGGGCAACGTGGCAAGACCCTGTCTCTACAAAAAAAAAAAAAAAAAATCAGCCACGTGTGGTGGTGGGCACCTCTGGTCTTAGCCACTCGGGAGGCTGAGGCAGAAGGATCGTTTGAGCCGGGGAGGGCAAGGTTGCAGTGAGCAGTGACCACCCTGCTGCACTCCAGCCTGAGGGACAGAGGGAGACCCTGCCAAAAATAATAATAATAAATAATAAAAATAAAGATATACAGTGAATCAGATGGTGGTAAGTGCTGTGGGGGAGAATAACTTATGGAATAGAAAGGAGAGTGGCTCTCAGTAATGAACAAATATTCACCAAGGGAAAATGCAGACTCTTTAGAAAGTCACCTTGCATGCCATCATTTTTCTGTGTCACACCTTAATCCAGGTTATTTAACCTGACTTCCTGAGTATCTTTGTGGGACTTCTTAAACTTGAATGTGCCTGAGAATCACCTGGGGGTCATATTCCAACGCAGAATCTGATTCAGTCTACCTGGGTGGGAGCAGAGAGTCTGCATTTGCAGCGGGTGTCCAGATGATTGCCAATGCTGCTGGCCCGCACTTTGAGTAACCATCCAGCTAACCCAGGCCCTCAGCAGAGAGAAAGCCCAGGTCTTAAGTCCTCTGAAGGTGATGGAGAAGCCCGTGATGAGGACGGACACTTGCCCTGCTCCCCGCCCCAGCCCCTGCAGGTGACAGGCTGGGTCGCCCCGCTAACCTGGTGTCTTCTCTCTCTTCTCTCTCCGCCCCCGCCACCGCCGGCCCCCCGCCCCACACAGAGGACAACGAGAACTCCAAGTCCGACGAGAAGGGGAACCAGTCCGAGAACAGCGAAGACCCGGAGCCCGACCGGAAGAAGTCGGGCAACGCGTGTGACAACGACATGAACTGCAACGACGACGGCCACAGCTCCAGTAACCCGGACAGCCGCGACAGCGACGACAGCTTCGAGCACTCGGACTTTGAGAACCCCAAGGCGGGCGAGGACGGCTTCGGTGCTCTGGGCGCGATGCAGATCAAGGTGGAGCGCTACGTGGAGAGCGAGTCGGACCTGCGGCTGCAGAACTGCGAGTCACTCACGTCCGACAGCGCCAAGGACTCGGACAGCGCAGGCGAGGCGGGCGCGCAGGCCTCCAGCAAGCACCAGAAGCGCAAGAAAAGGCGGAAACGGCAAAAGGGCGGCAGCGCCAGCCGCCGGCGCCTGTCCAGCGCGTCGAGCCCAGGCGGCCTGGACGCGGGCCTGGTGGAGCCCCCGCGGCTGCTGTCCTCCCCCAACAGTGCCTCGGTGCTCAAGATCAAGACGGAGATCTCAGAACCCATCAATTTCGACAATGACAGCAGCATCTGGAACTACCCGCCCAACCGGGAGATCTCCAGGAACGAGTCCCCCTACAGCATGACCAAGCCCCCCAGCTCTGAGCACTTCCCGTCCCCGCAGGGCGGCGGCGGTGGGGGTGGCGGTGGCGGGGGGCTGCACGTGGCCATTCCCGACTCGGTCCTCACCCCGCCCGGCGCCGACGGCGCGGCCGCCCGCAAGACTCAGTTCGGCGCCTCGGCCACCGCGGCCCTGGCCCCCGTCGCCTCCGACCCGCTGTCACCCCCGCTCTCGGCGTCCCCGCGGGACAAGCACCCCGGGAACGGCGGCGGGGGCGGGGGCGGGGGCGGCGGCGCGGGGGGCGGCGGCCCCAGCGCGTCCAACTCCTTGCTGTACACTGGGGACCTGGAGGCGCTGCAGAGGTTGCAGGCGGGCAACGTCGTGCTCCCGCTGGTGCACAGGGTGACCGGGACCCTGGCCGCCACCAGCACGGCCGCGCAGAGGGTCTACACCACGGGCACCATCCGCTACGCGCCCGCCGAGGTGACCCTGGCCATGCAGAGCAACCTGCTGCCCAACGCGCACGCTGTTAACTTCGTGGACGTTAACAGCCCCGGCTTTGGCCTCGACCCCAAGACGCCCATGGAGATGCTCTACCACCACGTGCACCGGCTCAACATGTCAGGACCGTTCGGCGGCGCAGTGAGCGCAGCTAGCCTGACGCAGATGCCCGCCGGCAACGTGTTCACCACGGCCGAGGGACTCTTCTCCACGCTGCCCTTCCCCGTCTACAGCAACGGCATCCACGCGGCACAGACTCTGGAGCGCAAGGAGGACTGAGGCGCCGCCCGTCCTGGGCCCGGCCAGGCCCCGCTTGGAGGAGGCATCGTCGGCATTTTCGTTTAGACCTTTAATTCTAGCACTTTGAATTCGAGCAGGTCAGCGTCTTCTCTCGCCACGACGGTCCCCATTCCACCCCCTCTTTCTTTCACCTGACTTATTCTTTCGTGTAAAGATATGTTTATTTTTTGCCTTCAGAGGGTCAGACGACCAGTTGCCTGCCGTTTTGTCTTCTTCTAAGGTGTGTGTTGGGTTGTTTTGCTTTCCTTTGCATCTTTATTAAGATGTCTTTCATGTGTATATGCCTCTGCCATAGAATACTCAGTCTTGTGGTCAAGAGAGTTCTCAAGTGACAACCATTGGGGTTTCTTCATAAAGATCTTGATATGATCAAGATGGAAAGAGACAAGCATAAACAATGTGCCCTGTTTGACTAAGTCAAATGAAATAGGGTGGTTTTTGTTTCTGTTCCTAATTCCTTTAAAAAATAGGGGGAATAGTATTTTAGAATTTTATGCAGAATTTAATTCTCTTTTTACGGTTAAGATTTTAAGATTTTCTTACTTGCACATAAAAATAATTTGGGTTCTTAAACTTAATTTCTGGCCTGTGACTAGAATGTTTAAAAAAAAAAAAGTCGGACTAAATGTTAATTACTGAAACATTAACTTAATTTCTAAAACCATGGTGCTATCATTTATTAATCTGTAATGTCTTCATACAAAATGCAGCTCCTGGGCTGGGTTTTGGGGGAAAAAAAAAAAATGTGTTCTGTCCTGGTCTGGAGTCCGTTGCTGCAGTCTCCTTGGTTAGTTAAGACAAAGCCCTCATTAACGTTTGCTGCAGGACTTAAAATTTTTTACCTCCCAACTAACAAACATAGCCTCACATTAAATTTAATGGGTCAGTAAAGCCCCTTTTAAAGGGGCTGCTGGAAAACTCAATCAAACTGATTTGAGGAGCAGTTTAGGTACATACTGCCTTTTGTTTAGCTTTTTGTTTTCCTTACTCAGTCTAACTGAGGCTAATTTTGCAACTTCAATAACACTTCGGAGTAAAAGAAGGAAAATATTTAACATGTTTTTGGTTTTTTTCATTTCTTGCTTAAAACAAAAAGGAAGGTTGTATTTGGGGGGACTGGTTTGATTTGATGGAATTTCTTTCCCTTTGGTTCTTATTTCTGGGTTGAAACCAATAAGTTTTAAAACTAAAGAATGGGTTAATAAGCTTCAGACAGATAACTGCAACTGAAAACTGCACATTAAGTAAAAAAAAAAAAAAAGAAAAAAAAAAGAAAAAGAAAAAGAAAAAAAATCCTATTTTGTCTTTGTTGCCAGAAATCAGTGTGGTGTCAAACACTCCAAATGACTGTCAAGTATAAATTCTTCTTCCACTTCATTTTTGGCAGCTGTTTGTTAAGGCATCTAATAACAGATGTGAGAACTGTAATGTGTACAATGTGTATGTGTCCTTGGCTGTCAGTCCCATTGCAGTTTCAATGTGTGTTTCTATATGCAGTATATACTAAGCTAATGTAGTTGTTTTGTCCTTTGTCTTATCTGTGCTCTATCTCTAGTCCGGAGTGGTACAGTCCCATTCCTGCAGTCCTAGTGAATCAGTGATTCTTGGGGGTTAGTGGGTTTTGTGTGGTGGCCTTCCTCTGTAATGTCACCCTATGCTGCTTCTACTGTCTGTGAATCTTCCGTTTTACCTTTTAAAATTCCTGCTGTTGCTTTGCTGGTGTATATTCTCCCTACCTCTCCTCTCTTTCCCTCCCTTTCCCATCTCCCCCTCTCCCTCCTCTTCATTCCTTCCCCATCCCCAAAATCTCTTTCATTCTCAGAGATAAAAAGACTCTTAACTAGCTCAAGGTTAATGGAGCCATTTTTCCCACAACGGAATTCTGGGTATGACTCTGTCTTCTGGAGTGCAACACAAAGCACTGAAGAATAATGCTCAGATATATTAAATAAATTGATGCCATATAGCCTCAGTTGTTAACATTCCCAGAGTCCCTTGTGCTCTACCTATAAGCAGTGGGTGCTTTTCTTTGGTTTCCTTTCAGGTTGGCTGATGGAGCAATATATAAAGCAATTACCAGTGAGACAGAAAATTCTTTCAAAGGTCAACCAACATTTTTAAGAAACAAAATGGGAGGGGATAATGGAATCTAGAATTGTCATATATATTTGTTTACTTGTGCAATGCTAATATAGTAACTCGGCTGTCCTTTGAATATCACTGTGTTGAGTAGATTCCTCTAGGACCTTTGATTTCATGAGTTGGGCCCAAACCGTGGTGGAATAATAACAAAAAGAAGTTAAATGCCACAAATTTTAATAGTGAGCTTACTTGAAGGATTTAAGTAGGTTTAGGAGGTGAAGAAGGCCGATGGAGAAATTTACAGATTAATTTTGGAAGCTCTACTCTAGCTATCGAACAATCAAAGGAATGCACCTATCAGCTACAAAGAACAGCTAGACAGCTGTTTTTTTTCTTTTATAAATGTTTCTGTGTTGTGTCAAAATGATTTCTGGTGATTTAAACTAACAGATAATCACAGCTGCTGTCTAAATTCATAGTGTTGAAAATTACAAAATGAAAAAAAAAAAAAAAACACTTCATTACCTGTGAAGACTGTGTCTGTGTTTTTAACTATTTCTTGTACAAATATATGAAAACTTTTATGAGGAGACTGGTGCCAAGTAGCTGAATAATGGGGAAAGGGATATTCTGTTCGTAAAAATCTTAGCAGTGTTACCAACTCTACGATATATATATAAAAAAATAATTAAAACGTTACAAAGCGACAGCTATGGTACATTTGTTTTGTGTGAAGCTAACCGGACCTAACTTCCTGAGTGCCTGGCTTATTTTGAAACATTTTTTTTCATTGACCATTGATAATGCTGCAAATCAGAAATGTACATACTTCATTTACAACAGGGTTCTTTTTATACTTTTGTAGATTCTCATACATGTCACATACATGGTTGTCTTTATGTAACTTAATTTTTTCATCCGCAGGTGCCATTTTCATAATAAACTTCTCTTGGATTTGTTACTATCTGGCATCATTTCTTTTACATGTAACCATCCTGACTAATGAATGCTGGTAGTATTTGTTTAAGCAGGTACCTTGGTCATTATTCTTTATTTAAAAAAAAAAGAAAAAGTAAAAAAAATGCATTCATATTTTTGCTAGTTTTGGAAAAAATATATAGCTTGTGTACTGATGAGGCTGACAAGGCACATAATAAGATGCTAATCCAAATACTACACCAAACTTGCAACCATCCTAAATTTTCAGCTACCCCAATTCATTGTCATACTGAGCATTATTATGCACATTATCAAAGCTGAACAATGGGCCTGCAACATTAACCACTATGGGAAGTGTGTATTTTTTGATTAATGCACAGTAAGTGATGACAGTTTTCATACATTAATCATTTAAAATGCACTCAATATTTTCATTTATTACAATCTATAATGTATAACCAACTGTTCCATTGCTTATATCTTCTTTTTATACTAAATATGCATTTTCTTTCTCCAGACAAGCTGATTAAGTCATGTTCATGCTGCATTATGGTTAGGGTAGCATGTGGCCTGTTACGTTTTAAGGCAGGTCAGCTGCTTACTCTTTAAAAAAAAAACAAAGTGTCACCCATTGTCTCAAAGTTAAGGATAAGGTAGGTCAACTCTTAAGTCTGTGATCTCCAAAAACTGGAATATGAATGGGCTGAGCTGGGGGAGTTGGGGAGGGGAGGCAAACACTTTCGTCCAGAAGCTACTAAAAATAATAAATATCATTTCCCTAGTTTAAGTCTTCAGTGACGTTAGCCAATGTGGGGGTTGTTTTTTTATTGATGGAAGAAAGCTTCAGACTGGTGAACATAGAAGCGTGGTTAGGGCTGAAGAGCTCTGGATTTCTCTACTGTGCCCTAGATGGGTCTTCAGAATAAGTACTTAAAATAGGGAATAGGGAGAGGCTAATTGAGAACACAGAATTGGGTGTGCCGAACCACTTTTCTAAAATTTCTTCCCCTTTTGCTCTTTAGAGTCAGAAGGATATAGTATAGCAAGATTGAGAAGTCAAAAACTGAGGTAGCTGGAGACTATGCTGAGTGGATTATGGTGAGTGATGAAGCCAGCTTACCCAAGCCACCCTGTCTAGTAGGTCTTGATGGAACTGGTTGTGAGTGCAGGCTTTCAGAGCTTTGCATGGGGCAGGGTCCCACAAGGCAGAGGGGTGCTTGTCTGAGTGTGGGACTGGCTAATGCTGTTGATCAGCCATAACACTTTGCTTCTGGACATTCCTGCAGCCTTGTGAGCTGGAGGTGGTAGCAATGAGGGTTGAAATGGGAAGCAGGACAGGTGATGGGTGAATTGAAATCCTCACAGTATTTGGTGCTTCTGCAGTAGAAGTGGTGGAAATCCTGGATTCTTATCCAAACTCAAGCCTCTCTTAGCATCAGCAAGTTCCCTGTCCTTTATGTGTATCCATCAATGCTAAAATAGGTCACTAATGAAATAAAGAACATCTTTCAGCTAGAAAGAGTGAGTGAGCTCTGGGCTCAGACTCATTGATAATCAGGAAGCCCTGCCACCTCCTCAGCCCCAGTGCTGGCAACCAGACCAGAGCCCTGAGCTCCCCAGAAGTACAGGACTTCGTTGCCAGGCTGGCAGCAAGTCAACTGGTCAAGGCTCTAGTCTCCAGGTGACAGAACAGGGGCCAACAGCCAGCTCTCTGTAGCTCCTCCCTTCTTCCTCCCAGCTGATACTTAAACTAATTTATTTGGCAATGAGGAACAAGACAATTTTTAAATAAAAACAGCAGGCGGGACAAGAGGGAACATATACATTCAGTTGAGCACAAAAAACTGGTTTTAAGGCTGGGTGCGGCGGCTTATGCCTGTAATCCCAGCACTTTGGGAGGCCGAAGCGGGCAGATCACGAGGTCAGGAGTTCAAGACCAGCCTGGCCAACATGGTGAAACCCCCTCTCTACTAAAAATACAAAAATTAGCCCAGCATGGTGGCGGGCACCCATAATCCCAGCTAGTTGGCTGAGGCAAGAGAATCACTTGAACTCGGGAGGCAGAGGTTGCCATGAGCCGAGATCGTGCCATTGCACTCCAGCTCTGGGTGACAGAGCAAGACTCCGTCTTGGAAAAAATGATAAAAATAAAAATAAATAAATTGGTTTTAGCCCTTGTGGACTACAATTCTTACCCGTCCTTCTCCTACTCCTAGACAAAGTCTATTTAACATTGAGAACGTTTAAAGTAATTTGAAAATCAACTTGCCCTATGTATTATATTTAAGAGAGGCGATAATATATCTCAAGCCCAGAAGACAGTCTGTTCAAGCCAAGATTATTATCCAGGTTCAAAAAGTAGAAAGGGTCAAAGATTTGGGAGAGAAGGAAGAATATCTTTGCCAACATTCCATATCATGTAGTGGGAAAAAAAGGCAAACCTAATTCTTGAGCATAATTCCCAAAGATGTATGTCAACTAGCAGGCTTAAACTCTCTGGGACACTAAGGTAAATGAGTACCGTTGGCTGCCTTCTGCTTTCTGTGTCTCCTAGGAAACCATTATGAAGAAAGAGGGCTGATTTGGTAAGTTCCCCACAGGCATAAATCATTGCTTATTCATCTTCATATCCTTCCATAGTGCCTAGCTCAATGATTTACAGTAGTGTTGGCTTGGTAAAGATCTGCTGAATACTGATGGATGAAGATGTGAACAAATGAAACATGACTTGTCAAGAGGCAGAGATTCCACTGGAAATGTCCATGTGGTTTGACAGGATAGCTTGAGCTTGTATCAAGAAAAGATTGTCAAAATGGATAAAGCAGCAAGTTCATTCATTCTTCCTTTCTTGAGTAGTCCATATGGCTGACACAGAGTTGGCCATCCATAAATGTTGGAGGTGGGTGGGTGTGTCCATAATACGATCTACTCTGTATACAGCAACAGATTAGGTAAAGCAAACAGAGGAGGAGGAGGAAACAACCCAAACAGTTGGTAACTGACTCAGTTAACTATGACATTGTGTCCTATGGATAGCTAAGCAAATAGATTCACAAGAAAGCACCACTTAATAGTGTATCCTCACGTATGAGCATTGAGCTATATAATCACAATAGTGATCCAGAGAATCTTAGCAACTAAGAGGAACTCTCTGGTGTAGAAATCGCATGTCCTTAATAATTCTAGCGCTGAGGGTCTTTCTAGCACACTGTCGAATTGTCCTAATTTTTAGAAGGTGTTGAGCTGAAATCTTACCTCTGGAGTTAAAGGGACTAAATCTAAACCCTTTTCCATTTGAGTGGCCTTCAAAGATATGAAGATGGATGTCAGGGTTTCAGTAAATCTCTAGGCTAAATCCCACAGGTTTTGTCCATTTCTGCCAGTGACATGGTGGCAGGATCCTTCACCATCCTAGTCACCATTATTTGAGTGCACCAGAATCTGCCAAGACCCCTGTATTGGTTTCCTGGGTCTGCTTTATTAGCACAAACTGGGTGGCTTAAAACAACAGAAATGTATTCTCTCACAGTTCTGGAGGCCAGAAGTCTGAAATCAAGGTGCCAGCAAGGTTGGTTCTTCTGGAAAGCTCTGAGGGAGGGTCTGTTCCATGTTCTCTCCTAGCTCCTGGCAATCTTTGACATTCCTCAGCTTATAGATGTGTCCCTCTGATCTCTGCCTCTGTCACTTTATGGCCATCTTCTCACTGTGTGTGTCTGTGTCTTCACATGGAGTTCTCCCCGACTGTGTCACTCTCTCCTCTTATAAGGATATTAATCAGATTAGATTAAGGGCCCACCCTACTCCAGCATGACCTGATCTTAACTACCTACATCTACAACAACTCTACCATAAGAAGGAAATGAAAGTAGGCCGGGCGCAGTGGCTAACGCCTATAATCTCAGCACTTTGGGAGACTGAGGTGAGCAGATCATTTGAGTTCAGGAGTTCAAGACCAGCCTGGCCAACATGGTGAAACCCCGTCTCCACTAAAAATTGAAAAAAAAAATTAGCCAGCCATGGTGGTGCATGCCTTTAATCCTAGCTACCAGGGAGGCTGAGGAAGGAGAATTGCTTGAACCTGAGAGGCCGAGGTTGCAGAGAGCCAAGACTGTGTCACTGCACTCCAGTCTGGGTGACAGAGTGAGACTCCACCTCAAAAAAAAAGAAAAAGGAAATGAAAGTAAGGTCAAATGCTGGGTACTCTCATGTTAAGAAACTGGGGGTTAGGACTTCAACTTTTGGTGGGGCACAATTCAGCTCATAACAGCTCCTATTCAAATATGGCACCTTGGGCCAGTCACGTGACTCCAGACATGATCTGATACTTGCGTGGCACAGAAGTTCCATCCTATCTCTTCCTCAAGACTCTGAGCTCCTAGGTAAAACTGCCTGCAATTGCAGTCACATCTTAGCAGCCAGGTCAAATTACTATCTCATCTTAAGCCTCCAGTCAACCAGCCTCAGTCTTTTCACCAATTTTTGTGAAAGTAGGTCTCCCATCTTCCTCTGTGTACATAGCCCTCACATAATGCTGGCATGGGCTTGGGTGAAAAGCAACTTAGAGAAAGCAGCTCATGGGCATGAAAGGGGAGCAAGAACCTGAACCCCTGAAAACACATTTCTCATTTTCATTGCATTTTACATACCCTCTGAGACTACTTCACACAACTCTGCTGGAAAGGAGAGACCTGGCTCCAATATTTGTGGAACCCTGGGGTACAGGCACATAATAAATATAATAAATCCATAACAAACATTACTGGTGGACTACCCTCTTATAAGTAAACTAAGGCAGAGAAAACCAACCATATGAAGGAAATGGAAAGAATTAGAGATAGCAACTACCATATCAGCCATTTTATGGGAGCAGAACTGGTGTGAGAGGTGCCAAGACTCCTGATACAGACGTGTAAAACCCACTCAAAAGTCAAGAAAGAATTTCAAGATAAAATTCTTCAATTTTCTGAAAATAAGTGGGCCTCCCTTATTCCCTTTTATGGACCAAAATCAAAGAGCCTAGGCCAAATGTATTCACTGAGTATATGTTCCATCTGGAATTAAAACTCATAATCCCTAAATTCCCAGCTACTGTCCCATGCACAGTTGTCTTCATTCTTCTGTCCACCTCTGCCTGTTTGGAAATCACGGGATATACCACAAGGAATGACCCAGATAATGTGTCTATGTTAAAAAGAATTTTTCTGGGAAAATAAAATTAATTTCAGCCTTTAAAAATAATTTATGCATACTATTAAAACTACTTTAAAAAAGAAAAAGGAGCAGAGAGTAAGGAGGTGGCACTTCCTTGCACTGAAGGAGTTCTCAGATTTATAGCGGAAGTGTCAGAAACAGGATGTAATATCCATATGACCCCCCCACCTCCCCCAAACAAAACCATTATACCCTTGATGAATTATTGACTTGAGAGTTTTATCTGTGCCATGAATAATCACAAACTTGGGAGTCTCAGGGCACAGTTCATAAACAAATAATTATATCACAATGATAATTTTTCAGGAATTGCAACATCAATCATGGCCATGTTATTATCAAGCACATTTTCTGGTTGCCTCTATTCATCAAACCCTCCTCCCTCTCCACCCTTCCACATCACACAAGCAAAACTCATCACCAGATTGCCTCTTATTTACACATCACTCAAAGCAGGACAGAGCAGGCACACACAAAATGGGCCAACCCAGTGTTTACGAGAGCTGAGTTTTCATTAAGGAAATTCAAATTAAACACATTGAGAAAGATGGAGGTGGGGGGAGATAATTAATTATTCCAGACTCCCCCAAAGAAGCCATCTTTGAAAAGATCTCATTTAGAAGATAAAAACAAACAGAAGTTTTATTCCATTTCAGGCAGTACTAATAAAGAAAAAGGAGTTCGTCTCAGAAAGCCAAGGAAATGACAGCACTACAGTTATGTGCCACTGTTTTCTTTTCACGGTGCTCACACACACACAAAGCTCGGGTGCTGTCTGCAGCCTCCATCTGCAGGTGAAAGAGGCAGGTGGAGGTGGGTACAGAACCTGGGAAGAGTATAAATACTTGATCTAAGTCTCTATACAAATCAGTCATACAGCTGGCCAGAATGCTTAGGTCTGACCTAAACCACTTTTCTGTGACTGAAACAGAAGGCTAATATTTCCAAACAAGTAACAGTACAAAAAGCACTCTTAGTCAAGCTACTTTACTGAGTGGTTTAATGTCACTTAAGGTCATAGGGCTACCCCTTGGATAACATGTTCATCCTACAATTCAAAAGAAAAATAAATGACTAGCAAAGCAACATAAAGAAAGTACCCTCTTTAGATAAAAGATTGTGCAATCGGGTTAAATCCGTAACACAGCGGGGCTTGCCATGAACTCCTTACACAAGCGAGCTCTCTCACCGGTCTCTGTTTCCTCATTGGCAAGCTCTACAGGCAAAGCAATGTGAGTTTAAAATGACGGATAGGAAGAATATTTAGACTCCTCAAAAGGAGGTACCAACTCCAAGCATCTGAGACAATCTAGTCCCCTGGTAACAGCTCAGGACTGTTGAGGACAGCCCTTGAACCCATATGGCTTCAATTTAGATCAAATTCTCTCTTCCTTGGCATCAAAACATGTCTAGGCAAAGGTAGGGCCAAGTGTCACGCAGTGGGCACCACAGGTATGGGAACTTAGGGGAGCTAGACCCAGCCTGATCAGCCCCAAACAACCACCACTCCATCAACCTGCAGGACAGCTGGAGGTTCCAAGTACACTGTACTACTTTATCCAAAACACTATCTTCCCTCTCTACCGCTCTTATTTTAAAATCTTTGAGTTTCCTGCATGTGCCTGGACTATGGTAAGCCCCCTTGCCTTAGGCCGACAATGGTTTTTGTTTTTGTATTTTGTGGGGTTTTTTTGGTTTTTTTTTTGTTTGTTTGTTTTTGTTTTTTGTTTTTTTGAGATGGAGTTTCACTCTGTCATCCAGGCTGGAGTGCAGTGGTATGATCTCGGCTCACTGCAACCTTTGCCTCCCGGGTTCAAGCGATTCTCCTGCCTCAGCCTCCCAAGTAGCTGGGATTACAGGCATGCACCACCACGCCCAGCTAATTTTTGTATTTTTCATAGAAAAGGGGTTTTGCCCTGTTGGCCAGGCTGGTCTCAAACTCCTGACCTCAGGTGATCTGCCCACCTCAGCCTTCCAAAGTACTGGGATAATAGGCGTGAGCCAGTACACCCAGCCTAGGCCAATCTGAATATTTAATCTTATTATCCAACACCACTGGAAATGAGAAATAAAAAATAAATATAAAGTTGGCCAGGTGCGGTGGCTTATGCCTGTAATCCCGGCACTTTGGGAGGCTGAGGTGGGTGGATCACCTGAGGTCAGGAATTCGAGACCAGCCTGACCAGCATGGTAAAACCCCGTCTCTACTAAAAATACAAAAATTAGCTGGGCGTGGTGGTGTGCACCTGTAATCCCAGCTACTCGGGAGGCTGAGGCAGGATAAGCACTTGAACCCAGGAGGCGGAGGTTATAGTGAGCTGAGATCGCGCCACTGCACTCCAGCCTGGGCCACAGAGTGAGACTCTGTCTCAATAAATAAATAAACTTATTAAAAGGAGGGAAAGTAGAGTCAGGGCAGAAAGACACACACAAGTAGACCGTGGCCCAGTAAAACTTCTAGATATCCCCTTCAAAGCATCTATCTCCCCCTAATACAATATTATCTTCAGAAGCCAGCCAAATATCTTCCCTCCTCCCTTCTCCCTGCCTACAGAGAGGCTGCCTCTCCAGTGGGTGTGGCCCTCCCTCTGTCTGGCCTTTTGCCTCCCTCCTGCACCATGAGAGCTCCTCTGGGGTCTGTCTCCCTTTTTCTCCTGTGGGGCGGCTGGACCTCTCTTGCCTACTCCCAACCTCCTCTTCACCTGTCACCCCTCTCAGTGTGATGAGGCCCTCAGCTGGCCAATAAACCAAAGACCCTTTCAGAAAATCTACTCTTTTTAGAAATCTGGGGAGAAAATGATGTAAATTTTTAAAATTTCAATTTTTGGACCATGTTAAAGCATCAAAAAAGTACACATAAACCAACAATGTAACTTCCTTTCCAATCCCAAATCCTCTGGTGGAACTGCTGAGAGCCCTGCAATGAACTTGCCTAGACCCCCGCCCATCCCCTCCCTGGTGGGGAACTCCCTTCTGACAGAGGGAAGTTGGGCAGTTTGGAGATAAGAGGAGAGAGTAAAGAAGGTCACGTAAGCCCTAAGTTGATAACCTGCTCCAGGGAAAGCGACAGCCGTCCACCATGGCCAGAGTCCTCCCGGTCTCACCCGAGAGGCCAGGGTCCCCACACGCCTAGAGTTCACACACCTCAACAGACACCTCTGCATCAGAGTCACATGGGAAAATAAAAGATTTATAATCATTTAAAAGATGTTTTTCCAAAATACAAATGTAACTGCTACTTCTTTCATAGTATTTTCTAGGACAAGAACACCAGCAATTCTTTTTCATTTTGAACATTTTGAGTAAAAGGAAGCTCAGATTTCTTTCTCTAGTTTTTCCACCTGACTTCCCTCCATGCTGCTCCGGATATTTACATAGAGTTGTCCAAGTTAGAGACATTTTTCAGACATTGATTAATCTATAATTCTTTGAAGTAGGGAAACATTATTATCTCCACTTTACAGATGTGGAAACTAAGACACAGAGGTTAATGACTTGCCCAGAGGTCAAACATCCAGTCAATTGCAAACGTGGGTTTCAAATAGAAGCTCCTCTTTCTGCTCTTAGCTTAATTCAAGTTTGTTCTTAGCTCATCTGCCCTATTTACATCACAGCTGCCTCCCATGTCTGGCCACTTCTTAAATTTTGCCTTAAGGCCCTTAATGTGCTTCTTGAAAGAGGAATGCTTGCTTTGCCTACTGTCAGCAGTTGCCCTCTTCCTATTCGTGCCTTTGCTTGTAAATAAGAAATGACAACTCCTTTCTGGAGTATTTTGTAATACTAAATAGTACTTTGTATAAATAGTATTTTGCATCACTAAATAGTACTATTATTTTCTTAATTTTTTATTAACAAATAGAAGCCCGACAGTTCTTTCTAAACCTAGAATCTGTAATTTTGCTTAATTTCTGGTAGTGGCCTGTAATTAATTTAAGTGAGGAGCTACCCAAGCCACACCAGAAATATAAAGATGGATAAAGTACTACCCTCTGTGCTCTAGTTCTTCACAGAGTAGAAAGGGAGACAGATGTCAAAATTAATCATTACAATGGTATGACAAGTGGCATGACAGACATATATATACACCCAGTGTTATGGGTGGCCTGAGTAATGGCAACGAATTCAGGCCATGAGGGCAGAGAAGCTTCCCAAAAGGAGGGGATGCTTAAAGTGGGACTTGAAAAACAAGTAGGAGTTAACCACAGATGCTAGAGAAAGAATGATTCCTGGAAGGTATAAGCAACATCATAGAGGCAGGAGAGAACTTGCAAGTAATTCAGTGTGCTGGAGTGATGGCTACACCTAGGAGATATAGGGAGAGGTCAGCTGACAAGTTCATGAAACCCAGTGTATGCTTTGCTAGCCAGCCCCACCCCTAATTCAGGGCTGCATCCTCCTAACAAAACGATTACCTTACTCTCACGTAAAGGCGTGTGCCACTCACCAAGCCCTCCTTCCACATTTGCTGGGCTGCATCTGTTCAGGGGGGTCATCTTTTTCTCATTCATACAAAGAAGCCACAAAAAACAGCAGCCCTGTGAGTGGCCTACCTTGAATGTTACATGTGGAGTTTGAATGGTACTTCTAGGCAATGGGATGATCAATTTATTCAGAGAAGTAAAACAATGCAGTTTTTGTACTGGAAAGGCCACTCTGATGGCATTTGAAGGATGAGCCAGATTAAATATAGACAGGAGTGATATCCCACGTGGCAAAGGATGAGAGTTGAGCAGGAGTAGAGCAGGTAGAGGGGTGGATTTGAGAGGGTTATGGGAGAAGTGACAGTGACTGGTTGGATATGGAGAGAGATGATGGAGAGGAAAGAGTAAAAGATGACTCAGGTTTCTGGCTTGGGTGTGTGGGTGTCATTGAACAAGACAGGCAGAGAACACAGGAGCAAAGGAAGATTTAAGGGATGAGTAGGAGGAGTTGAAGAGCTCCATTTTAGACATGGTAAGTTTTAAGTGCTCATAGAAAATGCAGGAAATGTCCGGTGAGTAGGTGGAAAAATAGTTCTAGATCTCTGGAGAGAAACTGGTTTTAAAGGTAGCATCAGAAACATCAGCATTCATAGGAGAAGCCATGGGTCTAGATGACATTACACAGGAGAGATGGTGTCGATGAGTAAACGGCCAAGAATGGGGTGCTAGCATGTGTCAAAGGAGTGGTCAGAGGAATAAGCCCATGACAGAAATGTTTAAAAGAGGCCAGAAGAATGAAAGGGATTGGTGTTACAGAAATCAGTTAAGAAAAATGTTTCCAGAAGGCCAGGTAAGGACTGAAGTATTAAATGGACATGGTGAACAAAGACAGCATAAGATGGCTATCCCTTCCAGAAATTTGGCAGTGAAGGAAATAAAAGGGCCATATTTCTAAGAAGCAACTTCTTTTTGTCACTGATTGGTATGATCTTTCTTTGAAAAACTGTAGTCCCTGCATCACTCATATTAAATGGCTACCGAACAAGAGGGCTTGGAGGCAAAGTCTTGCCCTTGCAGAATCTATCTTGTCACCTTCCTATGTGCCTCACGTTGGTTTGTCCCACAGCCTAGGCTCTGGCCCCAGCACTGCATTCAGAGGAGACACTATGCATGCATTAAGGTCAGGCATGTAAGATGTTGTGCCTGTTTCAAGGACTTTCTGTACTCTCAATTTCTCCCCAGAGAAATGAATTGACTTTGTTTGGTATGACCTCTCTGATCATCCACAGAGGCTCTTGTGTGATATTCTATATATTTAAAAAGAAACTTCTAGGAAAGAGAAAGTAATAAAGTGTATGACTGGGGCTTTATTCAATGGAGAAAGAATAAGGTTGGTCCCAAACCTGTATCAGACTAGCGTTGAACTGTGTGGAATCATTGACCCTAGTTAAGCCACTATAGCCATGCCAACAAAATTGTTGGTTGACTACCTGATATCCTTTTGTTTTTTCTCCTTGGTAATGGAACCCAAAACTTTTCTTAGCTAGGCACAGCGCTGCTTAGAATAAAATATTTTGTTTTTTAGCCTCTCTTGCAGCTGAATATAGCCACATGACAAAGTTCTAGCCCATGAAATCTTAACACAGAATGAAAATTTCCAAGCAAGCTGATACACTGTCTTTCCTTCTTATTCTAGGCTGCAACTCAGACATAATGGCTGGAGTTCCAGCAGCCATACTGGATCATGAAATGACCTTAAAAATAAAAGCCATGAGCTAGGATAGGGGAGCAGAGCTTAGTTCTGGGGGCATTACTCTAGCCATGAACTACCTACTTCTGAACCACTTTTATATGAAACTGAATAAACTTCTATCTTGTTTAAGCCATGTCATTTTGGGAAGAGGGATTTACTTTGCTACTGAATTTAATTCTTAACTGATATAACTATTAGATTAGATCAATTATAAATATCCTTTGGCTGTTCATCACTAAACCAAGTTCCCTAGTTCTTTCTTAGAGTTTGTCTTTTGACCTGCATTGCTCCTTACATATTCCAGCACATGGATAGGAAAGCATGAGAGGTCAAATGTGGGAAAAGCTAGAAGCTTCAACATTGTATGAAGGATGCAAAGAGGTCTTTAAACTCTAGCAAACGGTTGACAAGTGATGATTCTAGCTAACTCCACATATCCAACAAGAAAGAATCCCACAGAAACAAAGAAGTACTTCACAGCCTAAAAAGAACCAATTCTGGCTGCACAGACAATACGTAGAAGTTCTATATCCCATTTGTTGCAAGGAGATATCTTCTGTGAAACCACATATCTCAGAAGTATCATCTGAACTGTTCTTAAACACCAGGCACTCTCACAGTTCAAAGAAAAGGTTGAAAAAAAAAAAACTCTAGAGTAAACTTGGAGAATGAATTAGGCAATGCTTCATTTGCTCTCCGTTACAGGGAGAAGGTTCATGCGCACACTGATACCTGGCAGGGATGGAACTGGAAAACCCTTATGGAAGCTGAACTAATAATGAGAATCTAAAATGATGCTACTAAGCAGCTACCAGTTACCTAGAGACCCACACACTCCTAGCTGGGTGCTTTAAATATTGCCTAATGTGAGGAACTAAAAATTCTGAGGACAACTCCAAAAAAACCAATCAGGCCATGACAAGATCACAAGATCATCACAGCCACCATTTACCATATGCCAAGCACTATAGTAAGCACTTTACATTCACTTGCTCATTGCATGCCAATAATGGTAGAAACTATTGTTATCACTATCTTAAGGTCTAGAAACTGAGAATCCAAGAAGTTGGATGACTTATCCACAGTCTCTTAACTAATAATTGGTGGAGCCAGAATAATAACCCAAGCCTCCCTGGTTTCAAAGCTTGATTGATTTTGTAACCACTATGCTATGGGTTCCTCCCCACCTTGATGTTGAAGAGAGAATTATTCCTGAAAGTCATCACACCTATTTTTTAATACTTTATAAAATAGAGATTTTTAAGACCAAAAAAAGTTCACTGAAAATAAAAGGATTGCTTCATAATAAAATGTTTGACTCATCAGAAATTTATTAAAAATCACGTTTGTATTCCCATGTAACAGTCTAAAAATGTACAATGCTAAATTCAAAACTGCAAGTTCAAATCTACAATCATGTTGGAAGATTTAAACATACCTCTCTCCTAGTCATCAGGCAGAAGCAAATATAAATCCCCCTTGAGCACATAATATATATCAGAGCATCACATTATCTCTTCAATTTTAAATACTCCAGGGAACATTCAATCAAAATTAGCCATTCATATGGGTACGCAAGATAACAATGTGACTGAAAATCAAAAGAAACAACAAACAATAAAAATAAACCTAAACAAAATCCAAAGAATGGAATTATCAAATATGGACCGTAACAATAATCAGTGTTTGAGAAGTGAACAGTCAATATTGAAAATTAAGAGAAATGTTCAAATTATAAAAGAACTGAATGGAAAAATTCTGTAGCCAAAGTTTTATAACTGAACTTAAAAACTCAAACAATGGATTTAACAGAAAATTAGATTATTTGAGAATTCCTATTAGTAAACAGGTAGACAATATCCAGAGTAAAGTACCAAGAGATGGAAGTCTAGAAAAACACAGGAAAGAACATATAGGTTATATGGGATAGGATGAAAGGGCCTAGCCTACATGTCATTGTCCAAGGAGAGACAAAAAAGAATGAATCAGAAGAAAAATGTGAGGAGATAATGACTAAGAATTTTCCAAAACTGTTTAAAGCCTTCAAAGTTGCAGATTCAAACCCAAGTACAATGAATTAAAATACATGCATGGACATCACATAGGTATTTGTAGTAAAACTGCCAAAAACCAAAGACAAAGAAAAAACCATGTGAGCAAACAGAGGGGAAATACAGACTTATTTCTTTCAAAAAACAGTAATAAGACCAAAAGCTAACTTACCAGTAGAAACCAGAAAAACCAGAAAAGAATAATATCTCTTCAAAGGATTAAAAAATAAGTCTACAAATCTAGAAGTCTATATCCAGTAAAAAAAAAACACAACGGAAGTAAAATACAGATATTTTCAGATGCAAAACAAAATTTATCACTGGGAAACTGTACTAAAGAAACACTAAAAGATTCTTTAAAAAGAGAAATGACCCCAGATGGAAACTAAGAACTACAGTATGTAATTAAAAACAAAGCAAAGAGCAAAGATGTTAATAAATTTAAATAAATCTTGATTCCATGAAGCAATAATAATAATATCTTGTGGGGCTAAGAATATAGAGAAAACTAAAGCACACCAGCATATACCATAAGTTAGGATGAGGATAAATGGAGTTAACGTGGTCCAAGTTTCTAGCACTGTCAGGAAAATGAAATGTTAGTAAGAATCCACAGAGTATGCCTCACTTCATGGAACAATTCTATTCCTTGGAAAAGGTGCCAATATAGCAAATTTGTTTTTGTTATTAAATGCTATTATAATATCATGGCTATGAGCTCTTACGAAGTCTTAACCATAAACCTCAAAAAATAATTACATCTAGTGATAAAAAGAACATATTTAGATTAAATGTAGGGAAAAAAGCTTTTTAAAGAATATTCCAAATGAATCCTCACAAAAAAATACTACATATTAGACTATGAGTCAAGAAAGACAGACAATAATAACAGCTCTCTAACTTTGTGACCTGCCTTTTGTCCCTTAACCTCTCTGGGGTCCACCTGACTTAACTGCAGAGTGAGGTAAGTTTGCAGGTGACCTCCAAAATGAGAGGTTCTCCTATCTGACCTCAGCCTAGCAGCCAGCTAGAGTCACTGACATGCCCCATTCTTCATGGCTGGTCCACAGAGCATGCTGTATTCTTGCCACTGTTGGGTCAGTCTGTGACTGTGAATGACAGAGTCTCCTGCTCACCAAGAGCCTGTAGCGTGTATACAAATCTGTTGTGCTTGTTATCATAACAATGTATTTAATATTACATAAATACTCAACTATGAGAGCGAAAGAAGATTGTCGTTTCTATGAGAACTAGAGTGAGTGTTTTGTAAAGATGATTACACAGAGACTTGCTTCAGAAATTTGATGTTGATGACTATAAAACATTGAAGGGAAAGTATCTCTTCAGATTGTGTCAGAGATCTTTAAATTTGTACTTCTCTTTAAATAAACCAAAGTTTGGACAATGAAGACAATATTTGGGGGCGTCATTTATGCAAGAAAGATGATGCAGGACTATAAATAGTAGACGTGCACTTTAAAAAGCCTAGAATCTACATCAAGTCTATGTAAATGAGTACATTTAGGTGTCTTAATTTAATACAAAATGTTCTAGGTGCATATGCATTGGGTTTTGACGGCTAGTTTTTAAACACATTCTATGCTTTATCCAACTTTTTAATTAAACTGTCTTGATCTTGTTAGATAACAAGTTTTCTTCTGTAATTTCATAATTAGGATCCCATTTATAAGAATTGAACACAGTGGTTTCAAGCCAGGCACGGTGGCTCATGCCTGTAATCCCAGCATTTTGGGAGCCTGAGGCAGGTGGATTGCCTGAGGTCAGGAGTTTTGAGACCAGCCTGGCCAACATGGTGAAACCCTGCCTCTACTAAAAATACAAAAATTAGCCAGGCGTGGTGGCACACACCTGTGGTCCTAGCTACTTGGGAAGCTAAGGCAGGAGGATTGCTTGAATCCAGGAAGGGGAGGTTGTAGTGAGCTGAGATCGTGCCACTGCACTCCAGTCTGGGTGCAGAGCAAAACTGTCTCAAAAAAAAAAAAAAAAAAAAAAGAGAAAAGAATTAAACACAGTGGTCTTAACAGGCACCCAGCTTCTATAAAATCTCCTTGGCATCCTGAAATGGTTCAAATGTTGATTCTTCAACCCCTGCTTGTGTGCTTTTTAATCACATTATCAGACTTTTCAAAAGAACAGGTCAATCTGAGACAAGTAAGACCACAACAAGGACAAGCATTTGAAATGCCCGTGCCAATGAATAGGAAAGCACTTTAATCTTTGGTCCTCTCCAAAAATTCCATGTCCCATGCTCGTCCTGTTATTTCATAGTCACCTTTCGCTTCTACTAATGGCCTCAGTACCTTTAGATTGGATAGGAAACTTAGTAGAAACAACTTTACCCATCAAATGGTGAGACATAGATCCACAAAATTAAAAGTGATCTTTGAGGCCATTGCAAGAAACTGCCTCAGTTTCCCCATGCTACTCTTCCTGTCCCAAAACAGTGAAGTAGAGACAAATGAGATCCACAAAAAGTTTTTCATAAATTTTCTTGAGGTATTTTAAATGTTATCTGGTACTAACACATTTTAACACAGATGAATTAACCAAATACATAGCTGTGTTTGATGTAGAAATAAATAAAGGATGCAAGATGGAAATAGAATCAGAGTTTTCTAGCAGACGGCGGGCTCACTCTTGTCAATGTCCTGAGGCAATCAGACACAAATACTGACTCACACTAACTATAATGTACAGAAGGCCTGAGGAAGGCATCAGGGTGGCAATATATTAATTTAAAGTGAGAAATAGAATTGTCACACAGACTGGAATTATTCAGGTTGGCATAATAATCTCCTTTTCTCCCTGTAGTCAGGGAAAACCAAATGGTAATCAGAAGCCACTCATTATCATGAGAAATCACTGTGAAAAGACTCAGAAATATTTAAAATCTGTGTATTTTCTGCATTCTCTGTCTCCAGGAGCAGAACTTCACTGGAACCAGAAAACTGCTGCGAGGACACAGAATCAGCAAAAGGGGAGTCAGATGAAGCTCCTGTTTTCACATCAGGTGCACAACAGGAACACTCTTGCCTTTGGGACTGGAATTTCTGGAAATGTGTTGGTGAATTCTCCCACTCCAAGGGACAGAGCTCGTATGGGATTTTCAAAACAGGGGTCTTGGGTGATTCTCCTTTTTTCTATGCTTCCCACAGCTCACTAAGCCCTCTGCTTTGGATGTTTCATTTCTTTAAATATGTTAATGCAATTATACATGCATTGAAAATTACAGTCGGCCGGGCGCGGTGGCTCACGCCTGTAATCCCAGCACTTTGGGAGGCCGAGGCGGGTGGATCATGAGGTCAGGAGATCGAGACCATCCTGGCTAACAAGGTGAAACCCCGTCTCTACTAAAAAAAAAATACAAAAAATTAGCCGGGCGCGGTGGCGGGCGCCTGTAGTCCCAGCTACTGGGGAGGCTGAGGCAGGAGAATGGCGTTGAACCCGGGAAGCGGAGCTTGCAGTGAGCCGAGATTGCGCCACTGCAGTCCGCAGTCCAGCCTGGGCGACAGAGCGAGACTCCGTCTCAAAAAAAAAAAAAAAAAAAAAAAAAAAAAAAAGAAAATTACAGTCTTGCAAGGCTGGACACCAGTCTTCATCTGCATGACAAAACTTTGGTCTCCACAACCTCCTATCTTAACCCAGACATTGCTTTCCATTGATAATAACTCTTTCAACCAATTGGCAATCAGAACATTTTTAAATCTACCTAGAACCTAGAACCCCACTCCTGCCTCTTCGTGTCCCACCCTTCTGGACCAAACCTGTGTATATTTTCATGGTATTTAATTGAAGCCTCATGTCTCCCTGAAATGTATAAAATCAAGCTTTGTCCAAACCACCCTACGTACATGTTCTCAGGGGCTCCTGAGGGCCGTGTCATGGGCCATGGTCACTCATATTTGGCTCAGGATAAATTTCTTCAAGTATTTTACGTAGTTTGATTCTTTTCATCAACAGAGTTCAGAACTACTTGTCCAATGCTTACTGAAGAACTATGGACTATGATCCCTACAAGGAGAACTACAAAGCTCAAAGAAATCAGAGATGACACAAACTAATGGGAAAACATTCCATGCTCATGGATAGGAAGAATCAATCTTTTTCTATGTAGTATTATAAGCACCTAATTATATATTTATGCTAATCTAAATTTCATTTGCTGTTATTTAATTATTCGTATATTTTGTACATGTTCATATCATTTTGTTGGTCATTTCTATCTCAATTTTTCATAGACTTTTGTATTATTAATCTTACCTCAAGTAATATAGTTTGCAAGTAACTTTTCCCAAATTGTCATGATATTCTTTTGACTCAATTTGTGGCATTTACATTTCACGTTATTTAGCTTTGTCTTATTGTTACTATGACATCAATGTTAGATGTTGCTATACCATCCATATTTTCACCAATTATTTAAAATGTCACCTTTATTATATACTATATTTCTATATTAAAAAAAGAACTATGGACCACTGTGATTTAGAATCCTAGTTGCTAGCCTTTCAATCAAAATTCCTTGACCATAAACCATCCAGCTGTGGAGTGCTTGACTCTCCCACTTGATAATCCATCCAAAAATATGTGGTGGTACCGGCCTTGGGCCAGGCCCAGTGCTGTGCTGGCTTTGGGTCTGATCCAGCACAGTCCCAGTGGTGGTGGCCACAGGGGTGCTTGTGTCATCCCTCCCTCAGCTCTGGGCAGCCCAAAACAGAGACAGAGATTCTGTTAGTTAGGGGGAAAGTAAGGGAAGAGAACAAGAGTCTCTGCCTGCTAATCCAGGGAATTCTCCTGGACCATACCGAAGACCACCAAGGTGGTACCTCTATGAATCTGCAAGAGCCACAGTAATATTGGGCTTGGGGTGTCCCCTAATGTAGACACAGCTGCAGTGAGTGACCAAAGACTTAAATAGCAACACCCAAGTCCCTTTGGATACCTTGAAAACCTTCCCGAGAAGAACAGGTACAAACAAGTGCAGACTGTGAAGACTACAATAAATACCTAACTCTTAAATGCCCAGAAACCGACAAACATCCACAAGCATCAGGACTATCCAGGAAAATATGACCTCACCAAAAAGACTAAATAAGGCACCAGGGACCAATCCTGGAGAGACAGAGGTATGTGACCTTTCAGACAGAGAATTCAAAATAGCTGTTTTGAGGAAAGTCAATGAAATTCAAGGTAGCACAGAGAAGGAATTCAAACCTATCTGATATATTTAACAAAGAGATTGAAATAATTTTTAAAAATCAAGCAGAAATTCTGGAGCTGAAAAATGCAACTGACATACTAAAGAAAGCATCAGAGTCTCTTATCAGCAGAATTGATCAAGTAGAAGAAACAATTAGCTTGAAGACAGGCTTTTGAAAATACACGTTCAGAAGAGACAAAAGAAAAAAGAATAAAAAACAGTGAAGCATGCCTAGATCTAGACAATAACCTCAAAAGGGCAAACCTAAGAATTATCAGTCTTAAAGAGGAGATACGGAAATCAGGGTTGAAAACTTCTTCAAAGAGATAATAACAGAGAACACCCCAACCTAGAAAAAGATATCAATATTCAAATACAAGATAGTTGCAGAACACCAAGCAGATTTAACCCAAATCACACCACCTCAAGACATTTAATAATCAAAGAAAGGATCCTAAAAGCAGCAAGATAAAGGAAAGAAAGAACAGAGTGGAGCTCCAATACATCTGGCAGCAGACTTCTCAGTGGAAACATTACAAGCCAGAAGAGAGTGGCATGATACATTTAAAGTGCGGAAGGAGAAAAACTAGTATATCCAGTGAAAATATCCTTCAAACATGAAGGAATAATAAAGACTTTCCCAGACAAGCAAAAATTGAGAGATTTCATCAACACTAGATCCGTCCTCCAAGAAATGCTATAGGAAGTTCTTCAATCTGAAAGAAAAGGACATTAATGAGCAATAAAAAATCATCTGAAGATAAGAATCTCACCAGTAATAGTAAGTACACAAAAAAACACAATATTTTAACACTGTAATTGTATATAAACTACTCATATCTTGAGCAGAAAGACTAAAAGATGAACCTGTCAAAAATAGTAACTACAAGTTTTCAAGACAAACCGTACAATAAAATATAAATAAAAACAATGGAAAGTTAAAAAGCAGGGGCATGAAGTTATAGTGCAGAATTTTATTAGTTTTCTCTTTGCTTGTTTAATCAACCTGTGTTAAGTTCTTACTAGTTAAAAAATGGGTTATAAGATTATTTGCAAGCCTCATGATAACCTCAAATCAAAAAATATACAACAGATACACAAAAAATAAAAAGCAAGAAATTAAAACATACTACCAAAGGTCAGACATGGTGGCTCATCCCAGTACTTTGGGAGGCCAAAGTGGGAGGATTATTTGAGGCTAAGTATTCAAGACCAGCCTGGGCAATGTAAGTGAGATCTCATCGCTACAAAAAAAAAATTTTTTTTAATTCGCTGGGCATGGTGGCACATATCTACAGTCCTAGCTACTCAGGAGGCTGGGGTGGGAGGATTGCCTGAGCCCAGGAGTTCAAGGCTACAGTGAATTATGATTATGCCACTGCACTCCAGCCTGGGCAACAGAGTGAAACTCTGTCTCTTAAAAAAAAAAAAAAACTACTACCAGAGAAAATCACCTTCACTAAAAGGAAGACAAGAAGAAAGGAAAAAAAAGGAGAAGAGAGAACCAAAACAAACAAACAAACAATAACCCAGAAAAGCAAATAACAAAATGGCAGGAGTAAATCCTTTCTTATTAATAATGACATTGAATGTAAATGAACTAAATTCTCCAATCAAAAGACAGAGGGTAGCTGAATGGATTAAAAAAAAAAAAACCCAACAATTTGTTGCCTGCATGAAACACACTTCACCTATAAAGACACACATAGACTGAAAATAAAGGGATGAAAAAAGATATTCCATGCAAACAGAAACCAAAAAAAGCAGGAGTAGCTATATTTATATCAGACAAAATATACTTCAAGACAAAACTATAAAAAGAGACAAAAAGGTCATTATACAATGACAAAGGGGTCAATTCAGCAAAGGGATATAACACTTATAAATATATATGCACCCAAAACTGCAGCACTTAGATATAAAAAGCAAATATTATTAAAGGTAAAAAGAGAAGTAGACCCCAAAACAATAATAGTTGGAGACTTCAACACCTCACTTTTAGTATTGGACAGATCATCCAGACAGAAAATCTACAAAGAAACATTAGACAGAATCTGCAGTATAGACCAAATGGACCTAATAGATATTTACAGAATGCTTCATCCAATAGTTGCAGAATACACATTCTTTGTTTCAGCAGATGGAACATCCTCAAGAACAGACCCTATATTAGGCCACAAAACAAGTCTTTAAAATTTCAAAAAAATTGCAATACTATTAAAATCTTCTCTGACACAATGGAATATAATGAGAAATAAATAGCAAGGAATTTTGGAAACTCTACAAATATGTGGAAATTAAACAATATGCTGCTTAATGACCAGTGGGTCAATGAAAAAATTAAGAAGGAAACTGAAAACTTTCTTGAAACAAATGAAAATGGAAACACAAGTCACCAAAACCTATGGGTACAGTGAGAGCAGTAGTAAGTGGAAAGTTTATAGCAATAAGCACCTACATCAAAAAAGTATAAAAACTTCAAATAAACAACATAATGATACATCTTAAAGAACTAGAAAAACAAGCACAAATCAAATCCAGAGTTAGAAGAAATGATAAAGATTAGAGCAGAAATACATAAAATTGAAACAAAAAAACAACCATGCAATACAACAGATCAACGAAACAAAAAGTTGGTTTTCTGAAAAGATAAAGCTGACAAACTTTTATCCAGACTAACTAAGAAAAAAAGAGAGAAGAGGCAATTCCAAGATGGCCGAATAGGAATAGCTCCAGTCTACAGCTCCCAGCGTGAGCGACACAGAAGATGGGTGATTTCTGCATTTCCAACTGAGGTATGGGGTTGATTTCACTGGGGCTTGTTGAACAGTGGGTGCAGCCTACAGAGTGTGAGCTGAAGCAGGGCAGGGAAAGGGGTCAGGGAATTCCCTTTCCTAGCAAAGGGAAGCCATGACAGACAGTACCTGGAAAACCAGGACACTCCCACCCTGATACTGCGCTTTTCCAATGGTGTTAGCAAATGGCACACCAGGAGATTATATCCCGCCCCTAGCTGGGAGGGTCCCACGCCCAAGGAGCCTCACTCACTGCTAGCACAGAGGTCTGAGATAGATAGAACTGCAAGGCAGTAGCGAGGCTGGGGGAGGGGCATCCACCATTGCTGAGGCTTGAGTAGGTAAACAAACCTGCTGGGAAGCTCCAACTAGGTGGAGCCCACTGCAGCTCAAGGAGGCCTGACTGCCTCTGTAGACTCCACCTCTGGGGGCAGGGCATAGCTGAACAAAAGGCAGAGAAACTTCTGCAGACTTAAACCTCCCTGTCTGACAGCTTTGAAGAGAGTAGTGGTTCTCCCAGCACGGAGTTTGAGATCTGAGAACAGACAGACTGCCTCCTCAAGTGGGTCCCTGACCCCTGAGTAGCCTAACTGGGAGACACCTCCCAGTAGAGGCCATCTGACACCTCATACAGCCAAGTGCCCCTCTCAGGTAAAGCTTTCAGAGGAAGGATCAGGCAGCAACATTTGTTGTTCTGCAATATTTGCTGTTCTGCAGCCTCCGCTGCTGATACCCAGGCAAAAAGGGTCTGGAGTGGACTTCCAGCAAACTCCAAAAGACCTGCAGCTGAGGGTCCTGGCTGTTAGAAGGAAAACTAACAAACAGAAAGAACATCCACACCAAAACCCCATCTGTATATCAACATCATCAAAAACCAAAGGTAGTAAAACTACAAAGATGGGGAGAAACCAGAGCAGAAAAGCTGAAAATTCTAAAAATCAGAGCGCCTCTTCTCCTCCAAAAGGAACGCAGCTCCTTGCCAGCAACGGAACAAAGCTGGATGGAGAATGACTTTGACGAGTTGACAGAAGTAGGCTTCAGACGAATGGTAATAACAAACTTCTCCAAGCTAAAGGAGGATGTTCGAACCCAATGCAAAGAAGCTGAAAACCTTGAAAAAAGATTAGACGAACGGCTAACTAGAATAAACAGCATAAAGAAGACCTTGGATGACTTGATGGAGCTGAAAACCATGGCATGAGAACTACATGACGCATGCACAAGCTTCAGTAGCCAATTCAATGAAGTGGAAGAAAGGGTATCAGTGATTGAAGATCAAATAAATGAAATGAAGTGAGGAGAGAAGTTTAGAGAAAAAAGAGTAAAAAGAAAGAAACAAAGCCTCCAAGAAATAAGGGACAATGTGAAAAGACCAAATCTACGTCTGATTGGTGTGCCTGAAAGTGATGGGGAGAATGGAACCAAGTTGGAAAACACTCTGCAGGATATTATCCAGGAGAACTTCCCCAAACTAGCAAGGCAGGCCAACATTCAAATTCAGGAAATACAGAGAACGCCACAAAGATACTCCTCAAGAAGAGCAACCCCAAGACACATAACTGTCAGATTTACCAAGGTTGAAATGAAGGAAAAAATGTTAAGGGAAGCCAGAGAGAAAAGTCGGGTTACCCACAAAGGGAAGCCCATCAGACTAACAGCTGATCTCTCAGCAGCAACTCTACAAGCCAGAAGAGAGTGGGAGCCAATATTCAATATTCTTAAAGAAAAGAATTTTCAACCCAGAACTTCATATCCAGCCAAACTAAGCTTCAGAAGTGAAGGAGAAATAAAATACTTTACAGACAAGCAAATGCTGAGAGATTCTGTCACCACCAGGCCTGCCTTACAGGAGCTACTGAAGGAAGCACTAAACATGGAAAGGAACAACTGGTACCAGCCACTGCAAAAACATGCCAAATTGTAAAGACCATCGATGCTAGGAAGAAACTGCATCAACTAACGAGCAAAATAACCAACTAACATCATAATGACAGGATCAAATTCACACGTAACAATATTAACTTTAAATGTAAATGGGCTAAATGCTCCAATTAAAAGACACAGACTGGCAAATTGGATAAAAAGTCAAGACCCATCAGTGTGCTATATTCAGGAGACCCATCTCATGTGCAGGGACACACATAGGCTCAAAATAAAGGCATGGAGGAAGATCTACCAAGCAAATGGAAAACAAAAAAAAGCAGGGGTTGCAATCGTAGTCTCTGATAAAACAGATGTTAAACCAAAAAAGATCAAAAGAGACAAAGAAGGCCATTACATAATGGTAAAGGGATCAATTCAACAAGAAGAGCTAATTATCCTAAATATATATGCACCCAATACAGGAGCACACAGATTCATAAAGCAAGTCCTTACAGACCTACAAAGAGACTTAGACTCCCACACAATAATAATGGGAGACTTTAACACCCCACTGTCAACATTAGACAGATCAACGAGACAGAAAGTTGACAAGGATTTCCAGGACTTGAACTCAGCTCTGCACCAGGGGGACCTAACAGACATCTGCAGAACTCTCCACCCCAAATCAACAGAATATACATTCTTCTCAGCACCACATCACACTTATTCCAAAATTGACCACATAGTTGGAAGTAAAGCACTCCTCAGCAAATGTAAAAGAACAGAAATTATAACAAACTATCTCTCAGACCACAGTGCAATCAAATTAGAACTCAAGATTAAGAAACTCACTCAAAACCACTCAACTACAAGGAAACTGAACAACTTGTTCCTAAATGACTACTGGCTACATAACAAAATGAAGGCAATGAGAACAAAGACACAACATACCAGAATCTCTGGAACACATTTAAAGCAGTGTGTAGGGGGAAATTTATAGCACTAAATGCCCAAAAGAGAAAGCAGGAAAGATCTAAAATTGACACCCTAACATCACAATTAAAAGAACTAGAGAGGGTGGGCACGGTGGCTCATGCCTATAAACCCAGCACTTTGGGAGGCCAAGGTGGGTGGATCATGAGGTCAGGAGATCCAGACCATCCTGGCTAACACAGTGAAACGCCATCTCTACTAAAAATACAAAAAATTAGCCGGGCGTGGTGGTGGGCACCTGTAATTCCAGCTACTTGGGAGGCTGAGGCAGGAGAATGGTGTGAACCTGGGAGGCAGAGCTTGCAGTGAGCCGAGATCGCACCACTGCCCTCCAGCCTGCCTGGGTGACAGAGTGAGACTCTGACTCAAAAAAAAAAAAAAAAAAAAAAAAGTACTAGAGAAGCAAGAGCAAACACATTCAAAAGCTAGCAGAAGGCAAGAAATAACTAAGATCAGAGCAGAACTAAAGGAGACAGAGACACAAAAAACCCTTCAAAAAAGCAATGAATCCAGGAGCTGGTTTCTTTTTAATTGAGAGACTGCTAGCAAGACTAATAAAGAAAAAAAAAGAGAAGAATCACATAGACACAATAAAAAATTATAAAGGGGCTATCACCACCGATCCCACAGAAATACAAACTACAATCAGAGAATAGTATAAATACCTCTACGCAAATAAACTAGAAAAATCTAGAAGAAATGGATAAATTCCTGGACACATACACCCTCCCAAGACTAAACCAGGAAGAAGCTGAATCTCTGAATAGATCAATAACAGACTCTGAAATTGAGGCAACAATTAATGGCCTACCAACCAAAAAAAGTCCAGGAGCAGACAGATTCACAGCCAGATTCTACCAGTGGTACAAACAGGAGCTGGTACCATTCCTTCTGAAACTATTCCAGTCAATAGAAAAAGAGGGAATCCTCCCTAACTCATTTTATGAGGCCAGCATCATCCTGATACCAAAGCCTGGCAGAGACACAACGAAAAAAGAGAATTTTAGACCAATATCCCTGATGAACATTGATCCAAAAATCCTCAGTAAAATACTGACAAACCAAATCCAGCAGCACATCAAAAACCTTATCCACCATGATCAAGCTGGCTTCATCCCTGGGATTCAAGACTGGTTCAACATACACAAATCAATAAATGTAATCCATCATATAAATAGAACCAAAGACAAAAACCACATGATTATCTCAATAGATGCAGAAAAGGCCTTTGACGAAATTCAACAATCTTCATGCTAAAAACTCTCAATAAACTAGGTATTGATGGGACGTATCTCAAAATAATAACAGCTATTATGACAAACCCACAGCCAATATCAAGCTGAATGGGCAAAAACTGGAAGCATTCCCTTTGAAAGCTGGCACAAGACAGGGATGCCCTCTCTCACCACTCCTATTCAACATAGTGTTGGAAGTTCTGGCCAGGGAAACCAGGCAGGAGAAAGAAATAAAGGGTATTCAATTAGGAAAAGAGGAAGTCAAACTGTCCCTGTTTGCAGATGACATGATTGTATATTTAGACAACCCCATCATCTCAGCCCAAAATCTCCTTAAGCTGATAAGCAACTTCAGCAAAGTCTCAGATACAAAATCAACTTGCAAAAATCACAAGCATTCCTATACACCAATAAAAGACAAACAGAGAGCCAAATCATGAGTGACTCCCATTCACAATTGCTTCAAAGAGAATAAAATACCTAGGAATCCAATTTACAAGGGATGTGAAGGACCTCTTCAAGGAGAAATACAAACCACTGCTCAACGAAATAAAAGAGGACACAAACAAATGGAAGAACATTCCGTGCTCATGGATAGGAAGAATCAATATCATGAAAATGGCCATACTGCCCAAGGTAATTTATAGATTCAATGCCATCCCCATCAAGCTACCAATGACTTTCTTCACAGAATTGGAAAAAACTACTTTAAAGTTCATATGGAACCAAAAAAGAGCCCGCATTGCCAAGTCAATCCTAAGCCAAAAGAACAAAGCTGGAGGCATCATGCTACCTGACTTCAAACTATACTACAAGGCTACAGTAACCAAAACAGCATGGTACTGGTACCAAAACAGAGATATAGACCAATGGAACAGAACAGAGCTCTCAGAAATAATGCCACACATCTACAACCATCTGATCTTTGACAAACCTGACAAAAACAAGCAATGGGGAAAGGATTCCCTATTTAATAAATGGTGCTGGGAAAACTGGCTAGCCATACATAGAAAGCTGAAACTGGATCCCTTCCTTACATCTTATACAAAAGTTAATTCAAGATGGATTAAAGACTTAAATATTAGACCTAAAACCATAAAAACCCTAGAAGAAAACCTAGGCAATACCATTCAGGACATAGGCATGGGCAAGGACTTCATGTCTAAAACACCAAAAGCAATGGCAACAAAAGGCAAAATTGACAAATGGGATCTAATGAAACTAAAGAGCTTCTGCACAGCAGAAGAAGCTACCATCAGAGTGAACAGGCAACCTACAGAATGGGAGAACATTTTTGTAATCTACTCATCTGACAAAGGGCTAATATCCAGAATCTACAAAGAGCCCAACAAATTTACAAGAAAAAAACAAACAACCCCATGAACAAGTGGGCAAAGGATATGAACAGACACTTCTCAAAAGAAGACATTTATGCAGCCAAAAGACACATGAAAAAATGCTCGTCATCACTGGCCATCAGAGAAATGCAAATCAAAACCACAATGAGATACCTTCTCACACCAGTTAGAATGGCGATCATTAAAAAGTCAGGAAACAACAGGTGCTGGAGAGGGTGTGGAGAAATAGGAACACTTTTACACTATTGGTGGGACTGTAAACTAGTTCAACCATTGTGGAAGACAGTGTGGCGATTCATCAGGGATCTAGAGCCAGAAATACCATTTGACCCAGCCATCCCATTACTGGTTATATACCCAAAGGATTATAAATCATGCTGCTATAAAGACACATGCACACATATGTTTATTGTGGCACTATTCACAATAGCAAAGACTTGGAACCAACCCAAATGTCCAACAAGGATAGAATGGATTAAGAAAATGTGGCACATATACACCATGGAATACTATGCAGCCATAAAAAAGGATGAGTTCATGTCCTTTGTAGGGACATGGATGAAGCTGGAAACCATCATTCTCAGCAAACTATCGCAAGGACAAAAAACCAAACGCCGCATGTTCTCACTCATAGGTGGGAATTGAACAATGAGAACACTTGGACACAGGAAGGGGAACATCACACCTGTTGTGGGGTAGGGGGGCCTGTTGTGGGGTGGGGGGGAAGGGGAGGGATAGCATTAGGAGATATACCTAACGTAAATGATGAGTTAATAGGTGCAGCACACCAACATGGCACATGTATACATATGTAACAAAATTGTATGTTGTGCACATGTACCCTAGAACTTAAAGTATAATAAAATATATATATTTAAAAAGAAAAAAATAAAGAAAACGTGGCACGTATACACCATGGAATACTATGCAGCCATAAAAAAGGAAGACTTCATGTCCTTTGTAGGGACATGGATGAAGCTGGAAACCATCATTCTGAGCAAACTATCGCAAGGACAGAAAACCAAACACTGCGTGTTCTCACTCACAGGTGGGAATTGAACAATAAGAACACTTGGACACAGGAAGGGGAACATCACACACCGGGGCCTGTCATGGGGTTGGGGGAGGGGGAAGGGATAGCATTAGGAGATATACCTAATGTAAATGATGAGTTAATGGGTGCAGCACACCAACGTGGCACATGTATACATATGTAACAAACTTCCATGTTGTGCACATGTACCCTAGAACTTAAAGTATAATAAGAAAGAAAGAAAGAAAGAAAGAAAGAAAGAAAGAAAGAAAGAAAGAAAGAAAGAAAGAAAGAAAGAAAGAAAGAAAGGGAAAGGAAAAGAAAAGAAAAGAAAAAAAGAAAAAAGAGAGAAGGGCAAACTAAATAAAATCAGGAATAAAAAAGAAGATATCATAATCAAGACTATAGAAGTTCAAAGGCTCATTAGATGCTACGATGAGCAACCCTATGCCAATACATTGGAAAACCTAGAAAAAAATGAATACATTTCTAGAAGCAAACAAACTACCAAAATTGAACCACGAAGAAACCCGAAACCTGAACAGAGCAATAATAAGTAATGAGATAAAAGCCACAACATAAAGTCTCCCAGCAATGAAAAGCCCAGGACCTGATGGCTTCACTGCTGAATTCTACCAAACATTTAAAGAAGAACTAATACCAATCCTACTCAAACTATTCTGAAAAACAGAGGAGGAGGGGATACTTCCAAATCATTCTAGAAGACCAGTATTACCCTGATACCAAAACTAGACAAAGACATATCCAAGAAAGAAAACTATAGGCCAATATGTATACTACATAAATATATATACAACGTAGCCACAAAAATAAATATATATACTACGTACCCACAAAAATAAAAACATAGTGGGGCGTGGTAGCTCACACCTGTAATCCCAGCATTTTGGGAGGCCGAGGTTGGTGGATCACTTGAGCCCAGGAGTTCAAGATCAGCCTGAGCAACATGGCGAAAGCCCATCTCTACAAACAAAACAAACCATCTCAGCCAAGTGTGGTGGCACATAACTACAGTCCCAGCTACTAGGGAGGCTGTGATGGGAGGATCGCTTGAGCCTGGGAAGTCGAAGCTGAAGTGAGCTATGATCACGCCACTGCACTCCAGCCTGGGTGACAAAGTGAGACCCTGTCTCAAAAATAAATAAATAAACAAAATAAAATGCACAGAAACTTTTAAAAGATGAACACCAAATTACAAATATAAAATTAAAAGCAAAAAAAGACTGTGGCGGAAACCAGGAAATGTGACTCCCCATTAGACCACAGCATTATTTAGCTTCTCCTACCAAAATCTACTTTGACAGACAAATGTGACCTCCAACTTATGTGCCAACCCAAAGCTGTACTCAAATCAGATGCCCCCCACAAAACTGCTAGAGATGGCCAGAAGCATTCTGAAAACACACCTTAATGAAAAACCGCTTTTCCATCAGATCCGTCACATTTGAATGGAAAAACAAAATACTTTGTCACTTCTAATAAGTACAGAGAGCCTGACAAGGTAAAAGATTTTTTCTCCCCCGGCACTAATCTCAAATATAATAATAATATCTAAATAAGATTTTTATCTTTAGACTTTATGTTATTGAGTGAAAACTGAATTCTTGGCATTGCACTTTCAGTTTGTGTCTCTCAGCCACTGACTCAGAAATAATGATGAGTGGGATATGCTGAATGAACCGGACTCCCGCATGCAATGGTTTATGACAGATGACGATATATGATGAGAATACAAAACCCTGATGATAATAGGTTTATTTATCGATTGCAAATAAAATTCATGAAGTGTGAAGCTGAAAACGGCACTGAAGGGAATTGAGCAGGGAGGCCATCAGCAAGAGCATGTACAACACAGAAACGGAGCTAAGTGCTGCTCGATGGAGACCGGGTGGACGTGGAGGCAGGGCCCCAACTGGAATCGGGACGCTGCTTCTCACTTAGTGATGTCCTTGGACAAAAGGCACAGTCCTCTTTCTGCCTCCACCTCTTCAGGGGCACACCAGGCCTGTGCCATGGCTGGGAGGTGGAAGTAGAAAGACACAGCAATTCAGAAAGCTGGTGCTGCAGAACCAGCTCTGCCACTAGCAAGTTATGTGGCCTTGGGCAGGAGTTTGAATCTCTACTGGCCTTCATTTGTTCCATAAAATAAAAGGTTTCATTCATTCAGCAAACACCACAACAGGCGGTACTGCGCTGCTCATGCCAAGGTGAGTAAAGTGAGAGTGCCCTATTTCCTGGCAAGAGCTGGACTGTAATCGACTACAGTACAGCCCTGGGCTGCAGGTACACACGCAGCCAGCTTGGCACCAGGTCTTGGCACTCCCAATGTCCTTTATGCGTCTCACTTCTACAGTTTTAACTACAAAACCACATTTTCCAGGCACTTGAAGATGCTCCCAACGAGAATGAGCTAAAACACAGCCAAATGTAGAGGCTTTTCAACTCCCAGGCAGAGCCTAGGAAGATCACGGAGGAAAGGACCGTAGGCCTGAGAAGTCATTTGCATATTGCTGGATGATTTACATGCTGGAGTGAGCCAGACTTCCCAGGAATGCCTTCCTGTGGGTTCTCCCTCACCAACACCACTGCAGGGACACCTCCTAAGCCTAAAAGAGGGTTTTTGCCCAATGTACACAGGAATTTGCATAACGTAATTCCACAAAACAAGACCAGAAGCATCTCTTTATTTATCTTCCAACAGGCCCCCAGAAGTAAGCTGACAGGAAGCCCTTAACCACAGAGCTTCCAAAAAGGTGGCTTCCAAAGAGTCATGGCAGGTAGTGATTGAAAAAGGGGATAATTGTGGCTCCAATTTAGCTTAGTGACAATAAAGTCTTGAAGAAGATGTCATCTTGAAAACCATTGAGTTTTCATTTGAAAAACATAGAATCTGTATTCGTTTTGACTGCTGCCTAACAAATTACCACAAACAGCAGCTTAAAATAATACAGATTTATCATCTCACAGCTTCCACGTGTCAGGAGACCAAATGCAGGTTAGCTGGGTCCTTTGCCCAGGGTCTTACCAGGTTGAAATCGCTGTGTTAGCCAGGGCTGTGATCCCTTTTCGTTTTGTTTTGTTTTTCTGTTTTTTTGAGATGGAGTCTCCCTCTGTCACCCAGGCTGGAGTGCAGTGGCATAATCTTGGCTCACTGCAACCTCCACCTCCCGAGTTCAATCAGTTCTCCTCCTCAGCCTCCCAAGTAGCTGTGATGGCAGGCACGTGACACCATGCCTGGCTAATTTTTGTATCTTTAGTAGAGACAGGGTTTTGCCATGTTGACCAGGATGGTCTCAAACTCCTGACCCCAGGCGATCTGCCTGCCTCAGCCTCCCAAAGTGCTGGGATTGTAGGCATGGGCCACCACGCCCGGCCCAGGGCTGCCATCTTGTCTGAGGTAGGGGGTCTTCTACCAAGCTCACTGGCTATCGGCAGAATTGAGTTCCATGTAGCTATAGGGCTGAGGACCTCAACTCCTAGAGGCCACCACAATTTTTTGCCATGTGGTGCTGTTCATAATATGGAAGTTTGTTTTTTCAAAGACAGCAGAAGAATCTCTGACTTCTTTTGTCTTTGACCGCCAGACTCTGTTTTTAAAAATTCACCTGATTAGTTCAGGCCTACCTGGGATAGCTCCTTTTCATTCATGCCAACTGACTAATAAGCTAAATTGTGCAAAATTACAGACCTTTGCCATATAACAGAGTCATGAGAGTAATAGCCCATCACCTTTGCCATATTCCATTGGTTAGAAGCAAATTACAGGTGTGGCCACACTTAAGGGCAAAGGCTAATACATGGATATGGTTATTGGGACTGGAATTCTGCCTATCACAGGATCTCTCTCCATATTCTTTTGTATGGTTTATTTTACTTATGTTGGTTTCATTGTACAGAATTTTCTGCTCTCGTGGAGAGAAGTCTTCCAGGAACAAGTCTCCTTCCCCGATTGGTATTGTATCCAGATTTGGTCATTATTGCTCTGAAGCTTAGAAACAGGGTTCATGGGAAGATTTTTACCTCCCTACCCTGGCCTTCTTATGCCTTCTACTGCTTTCTCTCAGGGAAAAGAGTAAGCAGGTATAATATAGAGATCTCACAAACAACTCAAAATCCCCACGGATAATGTGAAATTATCCCCAGAGAAGGTGAATCATGCAAGAAGATGTTTTTATTGAAAGCATCCCAAGCAGGAGTAGTTTTTGCCCTAAGGGAGATCATAGAAGAGGTTCCGCCCCCAAGGTGTTGTAAGCACTTGTGGTGCCGACTGTCAAATTGATACGTCCTCTTCTTTCAGAGAAAAACCAACTGCTTATCTCTTCCCCTCTGTGGCTTAACCAAGTGCCTGCAGGCCAAAGCAGCAAGCTTCTTGACCTTTCCCCACACTCCTGCAAGGAAGGACTTAACTTCTCAACCCTACCTTTTCAATAAGAAAAAGGTTTGAGGTTAAGGCAAGCAGCAGGGTTTTTATAAAAGATGATTTTGTCTCCACACTCACTCCTGGCCCTTTTCCACACACCTGCCCCTTCCCTGCCCCTCGCCCTGGTACTTCCGGCTCTTTCGCTGCCTGCCTCCTGCTTTGCTGGATAGTGTTCATTTTCACCCATCCCCCAGGCCTTCTGCCATCCCTCCCTGGGCCTGCCTCCAACACTCTCCTTAGTCCACGATATAGAGGTTTTCTGAAAGCAGAAGCCCTTTGCACTAAGACATAAACGGTGCCAAATCACCCCCACAAGATTGAAAGAGAACACTTTCAAAGAGAAGGAAAAACAAAGGGAAAGGAACACAGCAGGGCCACCAAAAGATACAAACCAGTTGAATTTCTGTAAGAGAAAACCAAATCTCCAAACCAGCTGAATTTCCGTAATAGAAAACCAAATCTCCACATCAAGGATGAATCCGACCTTGGGTGGGGAGGAATCTAGACCTAACACAGGCAACTAAGAGGAGGTACTGACTGTGACGTAAAGACCACATTCCTGAAGCAGCAGCTCCAGGGATACCCGAGCTATAGAGCTGGCATAGCAACAACGTCTTTCCAGACTATCAGTGAAAAAAGTAGTTGTCCTCGAGGATAGCCCAGTTTTTATGAATGTGGATCAGATGGGCCTGGGTTTGAATCCTAGTGCTATTACTTAGTGACCACATGATCCCTGTCAAGTCGCTTATGTGCTATATGCCTCAGCTTCTCGCTTTTGTGCTATATGCCTCAGCTGATAAGATGGGGGTAATAAGCGTTGCACTGTGTCACAGTTACTATTGTGAGGATCATATTGGATCTATGGCCTGTGATGTAATCAGCACGACACCTGGCATGTAATAAATGCTCAGTAAGTATTGTTCTTGCTGTTAAACTCTGTTGATCTGGGAGCAAGTAGCCCCAGGCATAATATTCCCCAACTTTGCCCTCCTGGCTCACTTAAATGTAACCAGACTGGGTTCTTTGATTTTAACTTGTGAGAGAGAAAAGAATTTTTTCCCTAAAGTTTCTGAAACTTAAACATTAAAATACTCACTTGAGGAGGAATGGGGTGATTTGCTCAAAAAGTACAAAGTTTCAGGTAGACAGGATGAATTACTATTGTACAGTCACCATGCTGTCCAATAATCTTCAGATTAGTTATTCAGATTATATATTTAATAAGTGTATTAAACACTTGAAAATTGCTAACAGATCTTAAATGTTCTCACCCCAAAAAATACTATGTGAGATGATAGATATGTTAATTAGCTTGTCTGTGGCAATATTTCACAATGTATACATATATTAAAACATTATGTTGTACACTACAAATATATACAATTAGTCAATTATACCTCAATAAAACTGAAAAAATAGTCACTTGAGGCAAGAGCTATGGAAATGTATCTGCCCCCAGATTCGGGTCTCCTAAGTAGTTTTTTTGGGGGATCAAATTCCATAGAAGCATACTGGCAACTCGACCTAGAGGAAAGCCTGGGCTTTTTTTCTACATTTGTGTAACTGATGTCTGAAGAACGTCAGAACAAACAATCAGGAACATTATAGGAACTGCCTTCCTGAAACTGCAGCAAGCCAGATCAAGTAATGAGCTCATTTGGAAACCCTAGAGACACAGTTTCAAGAAGAGAAGCATACAGAGACTAAAGGGGCCATTTTTAAGTAAAAGATAAATAACATTTTTAAGAAAATTGTTTATTTGGAAAGACTTCAAGCCTACAGTCAGTTAGTAAGATGCTAATTGTTTCTTCTGTAATAATTCCCTTAACCCTAAACTATGGTCAAGACCTTTAAAGAAAGCTTCTGCATTAAGTCAGACTCCATTTCATAAACACACGTACTAGCTCTTTTGACAAAGAATCTGGCAGGAAGTCATGAGCTCTGTTTCCCAGCTGAGGTCAAAAGTCACCAGATATGAAGCAGATTATAGAGAACAAAGGTAAGTCCCAAATTAAATTCTATCCATAGCTTGACTCCTAGAGGTCAAACCTCTAGAGCAGGTCTTAAAATTTAGTGTGCCTAGGAAATGACTTGAGATGCTTGAATTTGGGAGCCATATGTTCAGGGTTTCTTGCTTTGCTTTGCTTTGCTTTGCTTTTCTCTTTTTTTGAGTCGGGGTCTCACTTTGTCACCCAGGCTGAAGTGCAGTGGTGCAGTCATGGCTCACTGCAGCCTCAATCTTCCAGGCTAAGGTGAACCTCCCACCTCAGCCGCACAAGTAGCTGGAACCACACGCATGCGCCACCATGCCTGGCTAATTTTTGTATTTTTGGTAGAGGTACAGTTTTGTCATGTTGCCTAGGCTAGTCTCAAACTCCTGAGCTCAAGCGAACCGCCAGCCTAGGCCTCCCAAAGTGCTGAGATTAAAGGCGTGAGCCACTGCGCCGAGCCAGTTTTTTTCTATTGATTCATAATAATTGTACATATTTATGGGGTACACAGTGGTGTTTTGATACAATGTACAGTGATCAGATCAGGGCAATTAGCATATCCATCATCTCAAACATTTTTCATTTCTTTGTGTTAGGACACATTTCATTCTTATTCATTCAGCAAAGATTTATTGAATGGCTTATGTGTTGGGTGTGGGGATACCAACAAGACCCCTATCTTCACCAAAGCTTATTGTCCAATGGGGCACATGAACAATAATCAGACAATTACAATGCAACACCGGCTAAACGCAACACTGTCATCAGAGACGATTCTCACTTACTCTTCAAAGATCTTCCCAGAAATCAGGGAGTTAAGCCAAAGAAACATGAGAACCAACATCTGTTGGACAATCGTGAGGTGCCAGGCCATTTGTACACACTTGCCCATTTAATCCCCAGGCAGGTAATGTTATCCCCCTTTCCCAGGGGAAGAAACTGTCCGCGTACAAAGGTGGGCTACTCTGGGCCTGGAGTCCAGGTCTTTCTGCCTCCAAAGCCCATGTTCAGATCCACGGGATCCGGCTCACAGTGATAACGACTGCATTCAAGGCTGTATGGCTATGAAATGGCACTGGAGTTTGGGTCACCTGGGTTTTCCAATTGATCATACATTACTGTAGAAGATGGAGAGAGAAACTAATGAATGAAAATAATACAGAAATGCACATAAGAAAATCCTTTGGACAGAGCCATTGTGAAGTGCAAGGAAACTCCCCTTCCACGGCCCTGCGTGGGGTTTCGTGGATACCCCTCGGGTCGAGGGAGATCTTGGCCACTAGAGGGCAGAGTGTACATTGAACAATCACAGCAAAAATCCCAAAGCCCGTTATGAGAAAGAGACCTAATGCTGCATGCTTCATTAACTATTCCAGTGCTGGTAAATATCTGCTGCCCTCCTGTGCAGACAAGGAGCAGATAAAAAATTTTAATGCTAGAATATGACACCTAATCACTGCATTTCGGAACACAATGTGGGGGAGGACTCTTCTGATTGTCTCCATCCATTTCCAGTATTCTTAGAATTATAAGCTGCACACAGTTCAATTAACCCTAAGATTGACGAGGAAAGCCTTCTCCAGTATACTATAAACTTTCCCAATAGCATGAAGCACACAGTGAGTTTAAAAAAGTAAAGAGTTGGCCCTTATTGCCGATGTAACAGCAATAGCCAGACAATAGCCACAGTAATAGCAATAACAGGGAGTTTGGAATGGGCATAGGGTTCATTCCTGGGTCTATTTCTTACCAACTGTCACTTTTTGGGCCAAATTATTTAACCTCTATGAACCCCAGTTTCCTCAGGTATAAATAAAACCTACCCAATAAGTTTGTTGTGAGGCTTAAATTATTAAATACAAATTCTTAGCATAGTCATCAGTCGCTACTGGTAGCTGCTTCATTATGATAATTCATTATTAATAGTAATAGAGTTTTAGCTCCACATTGATATCACAGACATTAAAGCCTCTCCAAAGGCTGTCTTGCCTTCCTGTTGTCACAAAGCCCCTGCACCGTACTCATCATCTCCTCTTTCTTGTTGTAAATGAAGACATTTCCCTCCTCATCAGACAAAGGCCAGTTCTTCCATCTGCAGCCTGGAGGCTCCATCTTCCCACCTTCTTGGGAACTTGACGCTTTCAGTCATCATTTGTCATGTGTGGCTCCTGAGTCTTTACCTTCTCCCTCTTCCTTGCCTCCTTCCATTCTCACATTTAAACATGTTCTAGTCTCTTCTATCTTAAAAGCAAAAACAAGTAAACAAACCCTAACCTCTCCCACTCCCCACAGATGCCTTGAGCTACAGCCTCTATCTCTCCTCACTTTGCAATGAAACTTCTCAGCAGAGCTCCCTGCAAGCCAGTCCCGTTTCCTCCTGTCTACCCACTTCTTAGCTCATTCCAATGTCATTCCGTCTGCCTGCCCTCACAGTGCCTCACATGGCCACGCTACCTCCAGTCTAAGCTCTTCAGTTCTCTTCTTACTTGACCTCTTGGCAGCTTTGCCACAGGTGACCTTCTGAGAACACTGCTGTCCCTCAGGCCCAGGAACACCAAACTATTCCTCAGTGTCTGGGGCTGACTCTGCCATCTTGCCCTAGCCTATTGATGCTGGAATCTTCCAGGCTCTGTCTCAGGCCCTCTTCTTTTCTTATTCTACCCCCTTCTTAGGTGCTTTTGTCTATTCCCACAGATCCAGCTCCATCTCCAAACCCATGTTCCTGGATATCACCCCTGAATGTCTCGTAGGCACCTCAAGCTCGATATGAACCAAACTAAATTACCTCCTCACTTCCTGCACCTCCTCCTGCTGCACACACAGTGAACCCAGCTCTTCAGCAGTCTCTCACTGTGAAATTTGCATCCCCATGCAGCCAGGTATTTAAGTCAAATTTGGCAAACGCTCTTAATATTTTCATTTATTTTATTCCTCACATCAAATCAATTGTGATTCCTGTCCACTCTGTCTACTAGATTTTTCTTCAGATCTTTTCCTTTTTTTCTTCCCACTGTCCCCCACCATCAATCTAAGCTACCACCATCTTTTGCCTGCCCCTCTCCATTCCAGCAGAGAAATATTTCTAAATGTTGGTTTTACCCATGTCATATCCCACATTTAAAATCCTGCGCTAATATAGTTCTTTGGGTAAAATCCAGAATCCTCAAAGACTCCTAAACTTGTCATCTTTATCTGGCCCTGTGCTACCTCTCCAGCCTCGTCTCACACCACTCTTGCCTTTCCTTCTCAAAAACCCATGTTTGAAAGTGGGTAAACTAATTGAGGCTCTGTGGTGTGCCAGGCGGCATGGGGATTTCAAAACTGTATCAGTCACCATATCTGCCCGTATCAAGGAACTTACAGTCACGGGGGAAGAAGGACCCAGCTATGACGATTAGTATAAAGTAAAATGTGATAAATAGCATTAAAAATGTACACACGGGGGAGTTCAGAGGAGGAGGTGAGTGGAAATGCAATGCACGGGGAAGGCTGCAGAGATGTGATCTGTGCATGCACCATGTAAGATGAGGAGGCCTGGGCTGTTCCCAGATGGCATGGGAAGACCAAGAGTTTAGAGAAGAATGAATGAAAGTAGGCACATCAGCTATGTCAGGCTGATCAGGAGAGAAATGGTATCAAGAAAGAAGTGTGTGTTCAATGTCAACCACTGCAGACACCCAGAAAACATAGGCACTTAAATTTGACAACCAGAGGTCATTATAGATCTTTGAGAAAGTAGTTTGTATAAGTGGGTAATGGTTGAAGCCAAAAGACGATGGAAAAAGCGGCTCATGAGAACATGAAGACTGACTGTAATATTCCATTACTTCAAGAAGGTTGGTAACAAGGGAAAAAACCATGGCAAGAAGCAGCTTGAGAATTTAGTATTAATCATCATAGCTAGGACCAGGCAGGCAAATTCCCAACTGGGGTTGGGTTAGGTCAAAACAGAATCTCACACCATAGACACTTGGCAGGAAGCCAGGGAAAGGAAGGCATTTAAAAAGGAGTTGAGGCAGGGGGTGGGTGCTGTTTACATCCTGGGTTCACCTGGTGAATCAGTCCCCAGTCCCTGGGAGCAGCCCTAGGGGCCAACAGGAGGCAGGGGCACCCAGCCCTGCTCTCAGCACTAGCTGTAAAAAGTGCAGAACAATGGAAGCTGGTTGTAAAACTTAAGCAGATCAGACACTATAAAATACTTTGTAATGCACCATTGAGGCGACCAAATAAGAGGCTTGAATAAATTTATATTCCAATTGCTAAACATTACAGTCAATTTAAAAACCCACAAAAGTTTTGCTGAACAACTGTATAAATAATAGATCTGTCGCATTGTACAGTACCTAATAGACTGAGACATAAAACAATTGCAGCTAACTCCCTCTCACCTGTTAAATCATCTCGAAATAGATCTGCTAGCTCAACTCTCTATTTTTTTTCCTTTCAAAAAACACTGTAAGGTAATTCTCAGGTTAATGTGAATTGTATTTATTATTTATTTGCATTTTTTTCCCCTCAAAACAGAAAGCACTAGAAGCTGACAGGGCCAGAAATGTATTGTATCTGAGCCTGCCTTCCTCCCTGGAAGCTCTCCGTCCAACTTTTGGGATGTTTCTCTTCCATTGAGCTATAGTAGAATTATCAGTTGGTGGCTATTTTGTAGAAGTTGAAATCAACGTGCACACACAGTCACACAATAATACACATGCATGCACACATACCTGTATGGGTGTGTGTGCGCACACATATGTGCACAGAGAAGCAATGCAACTTAAAGAATAAGAAAGTAGGCCAAGAGCTAAAGAAAGCAAATTCTGTGTTTCTGTCATAAACATGCTGTGAGAGTGTGGGCAGACTCCCTTTCCCACTGCTTCTGGGTTCCCATCCCAAAATCATTTGATTAGCTACCGATTGCAAAACACACACTGAAACAGTACAGACATGAGGAAGAATAATCTTTCCCTCAGGTATGCATCCACATTTACAACTCAGGAGTTGAACAGCAGAGCAGAAACAAAACCCAAAAAACAACCAAACAGAAAACAATGCTTTTGCAATTCTCACAACCAACTGTAATATCGAAACAATAATTATCCCCCCTTTTCAGACACGGTAACTGGGATATAAACAGGTTAAGGAATTTGCTCAATATCATCTAGCTAATAAGTGGCAGCCCTGGGATTTTAACTCAGATTTCCCTGAGCATGCCATATAGAAGACAGCTGTAGTGCAGACAACTCAGGAACAGATAGGAAACTAACTCCCTTTTCCCGTAATCTATTTGAGGAAGATGGTTCCGAGCTGGGAAGGGGCTGCAGGTGGGTTACCTGTCTGTGTCTCCTACTCAGTATTAGAAACTCGGGTAGGGGAGCTTCATCTTTCCATTCCCGTAGCCTAGTCATAATTCTGTGTTTGGGTAAAGCAAGATTATTCTACAGAAAGAGCGTTAAATCTTGAAGAATGTGCAAGTAAAGAAGCTCGTCTGAGCCTTATGTGATATAGAATCTCTTCTATCCCTACTATTAACCGAAAAATTTCTTTGGGATTCCTTATTTCAAATCCCTGCCTTCCCCCATCCCCCATCAGAAAGGATGCATCCAGTTTATCTTCTTTAAGCCTGACCACAGAACCAGCTTATGAAATGACTGCTCTTGGATCACAAACCCCTTCCCTGGGCCAGTTCGGTGAAGGGAGGAGGAGAGGAAGGGAAGGTCTCCTCACACAGCAGGAGACACCGCCACCTGGGCGGCAGGAGCTGCAGTCAAGCAGTGGGTTTCCCTCAGAAGTGGAGAGGGGGTGTGGGAGGATGGTTGAAGTGCACAGGGTGACTTATCTAATTGAGAGGTGAAATAAGTTGCCCAGGTGTTTCAACTTACCTTCCTTACTGTGTGGATAAGGAAAGCCAGGCCCAGGAAGTCAAAAGACTTGCCCAAGGTGACCCAACTTCACTGTGGCTGAACTAGGACTAGAATGCAACTCTTGTCTCCTGGTTCAGTGCTCTATCTTCCAAAAATGAGTTAAATGCCTGAGAGGGCAAGGAAAAAAGGTCTAAGGACACTGCTCAGAAGCACGTAATCATGTGAGGAGGAAAGGTAAAGGTGGCCCAAGTGTGCCATGATGGATAAAGATGAAAGCTGGGCCAACCCCCTCCAGACTCGGCTCTGTGCTTAAAAAAAAGAAAAAAGAAGAAAAAAAAATACTGAGTGGTGGGGGTGAGGGGTTGGGTTGTGGGACAGGACATAAGTATATATGCTGGTGGCAGAGGTGGGGATAACAAACATTGCTGATGGGAATAACTGCCAAATCCAAAGTAATTGTAGCTATGTGTCCCCCAATTTACAAATCAAATACTTTCATTGATGTCATTACTAAAAAATGCTAACTTCTGCCTGTTTTCCCAGCACTTTGGGAGGCTGAGGCAGGTGGATCACCTGAAGTCAGGAGTTCAAGACCAGCCTGACCAACATGGTGAAACCTCATCTCTACTAAAAATACAAAAAATTAGCCAGGCGTGGTGTCATGCGCCTGTAATCCCAGCTACTCAGAAGGCTGAGGCAGGGGAATCGCTTGAACCAGGAATTCAGAGGTGGCGGTGAGCCGAGATCACGCCACTGCACTCCAGCCTGGGCACCTGAGCAAGACTCCATCTCAAAAAAAAAAAAAGCAAAAAAACAAAAAACAAAAACGCTAACTCCATAAAGGCTTCAAAGGCCCATTAATAGAAAATGAGAGTTGGAATCTCATCTCCTCCATGCCGCTTGGGGGCAACACCTTCATATTTGATTTATTGAGACTTCCCACCTGTGTTTGCCTCTGGAAGCTGGGAGAAGTTGCTAATCTGAAGGTCATCTTCTCTTCTTTCAATGGCTGCAGCACATTTCCAACCTGCCCAAATGCTGGACCTCTGGACATTTTCACAGATTTATTTATTTGAAGTTAACAAAACTTTCCAGTTATCTCAGGACAGGACAAGATGAACGTCAGCTACAAACACTGGCTTGTAGGTTCGGGTTGAGATCTCCCACAGGAGATGAGAGGGAGTTCTCAGCAAAGGCGGATCAAAGCTTCCACAGGCATCTCCACAGACTGAGGCAACCCAGGCCAAGATGACCTTCAGCAACCGGAAGGCCCAACATTTGGTGCCTGGCTTTTTTGCAGGTGGATGGAGCACATGCCGTGGTACAACATTCGGAAAGCCAAGATGCAGCATGCAGCCATCACTGAGGACAGGACTAGGCCAGCAAGGAGGCAGCCACCATGGGGAAGCTCAGGGAAGAACTCCAGGCCCTGGGTGGGTATCCAGCCACAACAAGCCAGGGCCCCAGGCAGAAAGAAACTCAGGGGCTCAGGTCCAAGACAGGTCCTCTTTCTACCTACGGGCTAGTTCCAGGTATGAGCCTTTCCCAAGCAGCCTCAAACTTCTTTCCTGACATCCAGAACTCTACCTGCCCACAGACTTCTCATCTAAGATGTTCCACCAGTACAATGAATGCAACATGTCAAAATGGAACTCAGCCTCCTCCCTTCAAAACAAGCTCTGTCTTCTTCGAGTCCTTCATCAGACAATAGCACCTCCATTCACCCAAGTAGGCAAATAAGAATTCTCAAAATAGCCCCAACTCCCCCCCATTCCTCACTAATTGTGCTTAATTGGTCCCAGCCCTACGACTTCAGATCCATCCCCCTCCTCCACTGTCTCCGGTCAAGTCCTCACCATCTCTTAAACTCCTGTAACAGTTTCCTAATTGGTCTCCCTGGCTCTGGCAGTCCCCTTCCAAAGCATCCTCCACACTGCCACCAGAAACCCAATCTGATCACGTCATTCTCCTACTTTGTAAACTTCAAGACAGTAAAACATGAACCACATAGCTTGGATTTGAAGGTCCTTGTACTCTTGTTCATACCATTTTCCATTCGCCAGCCTGGCAAACTCCTACTCATTTCAAACACCCAAATCAAATGTCAACTTTTCCATGAGACTGTCCCCAGTTATCTCTCCCTCCACTGCTCTTCTTGGCATAATTAATTCCATTCTCTTCTATATGCCCATTGTGTTTCTACTGCGACATTCAAAACATGGGGTTATTATTATTCATCTAGCCGTTGCCTCCTCTGTGAAACAGTAAGTCCATTGAACACAGGCATTGTTTTCTGTATACCCAGTGTTTGATGGGGTATCAATGTAGGGACTCGATCATCCTACAGGGAACAGCAGGCAACTAGGATGCTGTTCTACTCCTCAGATGAAAAGTGAATACTCCCTAGGAAACTGACGCTTTGGTAATTGCTCCTTTTGGATAAAGTTTCTAAATTTAGTATAAATTGGAAACTCAGAACCCTAAGTCAATCACTAAGAAGGATTTTTGTTTTTTACCTGAAACCCTGCTTCACAGCTGACCTGGGTTTCCTAGAAGTCCCTTTTGCACTGGGTATACAAAACAATGCCTGTCTCCAACATAGTAGGTGCTCAGTAAACATTCAATTGATTCAGCCAAGTGCCTAGTTATTAAAGGCAATAGAAGTGAGTTGATGTTGACTACTGATCTAGAACCTTTACATGCCTCTTACATGATATTGGAAATGGTCCTACAAAACAAGCAAGTATTTAGGTAAATTAGACTTAGTTTTGCTTGCCTTTCTCAGAGAATTGCACCCTGTCTACAGCCCCAGCTGACTTAAGAGGCTAGAAGCCTAACAAGCACATGAAAAAATGCTGAATATCACTAATCAGAGAAATGCAAACTAAAACCACAGTGAGATACTATCTCATACCAGTCAGAATGACTAGTATTAAAAAGTCTAAAAACAACAGATGTTGGCAACAAGGCGAAGAAAAGGGAACAGTTATACACTGTTGGTGGGAATACAAATTAGTACAACCCTTATTGGAAAGCAGTATGGTGATTTCTCAAAGAACTAAAAATAGAACTACCATTCCATCCAGCAATCCTACTACTGGGTATCTACCCAAAGGGAAAGAAATCATATCAAAAAGATACCTGTGCTCACATGTTTATCATGTTCACAATATTGTGAGCACTATTCACAATAGCAAAGACATGGAATCAACCTAAGTGTCCATCAATCACACATATGCCACGGAATACTTCTCAGCCATAAAAAAATAAATAAAATCATGCCTTTTGCAGCAACATGGGTGGAGCTAGAGACCATTATCCTCAATGAAATAACTCAGGAACAGAAAGTCAACAAATACTACATGTCCTCACATATAAGTGAAAGCTAAGTAATGAGTATACATGGATGTACAGAATGGAATAATAGACATCGGAGACTCCAAAAGGTGGGAGGGTAGGAGGGGGGTGAAAGTTGAAAAATTACCTGTTGGGTTCGACCTTCACTATTCAGATGATGGGTTCACTAAGAGCCCCGACCTCACCGCTCCACAATACAAGCATGTTAAGAAATCTGCACTTGTGCCCCCTAAATATATATATTTTAAATTTTTGTTTTAAAAAAAGCTATAGTCCAGGTTTATGCCATGTGACCCTATGCCTTTTGACAATAGCTGGTTGGACCAGAGACTGCTCGCCGACCATATGTTTTGGAAACCCATTCTCAAAAATCAAAAGACTGTATAGCATCAACACCAGCATTGACTTTCTATCGAGCCAAAGCTACAGGTAAGAAAGTTAGGACAGAGCTCATCATCATAATAAATGATGATGATGCAATAATAGCTAACATATCTAACACTGTCGACATGCCACATATTGTGCTGAATGATTTTTATCTAATTTCATCCTTACAACAAATCTGCGAAATAGCTATTTCAATGTCTTGTTAGTTCTCCTCCTGTTCCTTATTTTTAACTTAAATCAGAGTTGGTTTCCATTGCTTGCAACAAAGAACTCTGACTAGTACAATTACACTCTCCATTTCACAGATGGGACATCAAACTTAAGACAATAGAACCTTCCCAGTTCATACAGGTAGAAACAGAGAGGTATAGAAGTGAAATCTAGTCCCCCCCACCTCCAGAACCTGTGCACTTCATGATTTACTATCATTTGTACCTCCAGTTTCCATTAGGCCTTTCTGTATGCTGTTTTTGCAATATCTGTATCCTTTATTGGAGATAGCATATAAGCTATCTTTACATTGCTATATTCAAAATGAAATAAAGAAGGAAGAACCAGACAGGAGGTCATGAAAGCAGGTAGTCAAGTGACTGCAGCTGTGGGGAGAAGAATGAGGCCAAAGCTGGGAACCAAGTAGAAAGTGACTCTCCACCCTCACAGTTAGGGATCAAGTCTGTCCAGCTGCTGTGGTTCTGACAGGCCTACATAATTATGGAAAAGCAATCAGAATCTCTCCGTGTCCTCATTAGGTTGAGATGGGCAAGGAACAAATGCTCTGCTTCTCGTCTGCTCTCTGCTCGTGGAGCAGAACGTTGGTTCCTTTTTACATCCACAGCCTCCCAGACAGCATCAGGACACTGAATCCTGGGACTCCATTGTCCTACAGGAACAGCAGGAAACAAGGCTGCTGTTCTACTCCTTGGATGAAAAGTGAATGCTCCCTAGGAAACGGACACTCTGGTAATTGCTCCATTTGGATAAAGTTTCCAAATCTAGTATCTATAGATTCAGAACCCTAAGTCAACCACTAAGAAGCATTTTTGTTTTTTCACCTGAAATGCTCCTTCGCAGCTGATCTGGGTTTCCTAACAGTGCCTTTTGCATGAATGACCTCAAAGCCGCCACAGAGGGAGCCACGGTGCCAGCAGGGCTGCTCTCCTGTTTGCTAGCTTTGCTCTGCTCCTCACTAATAGAAAATCCCCAAGGATGTGGGAACCCTTGGGAGGCCTCTGAGCAAGGCTGTGCCTCAGGGCATGGGAGGAAGTCATCACTAGAGGGCCCCACTGAGCTCCCTTGCCTGCCCAGCAGGGACACCTTCAGACATGGGATTCAGGAATTCAGCCACACAGGAACACCAGAATGAGACCAGAGCTTGGACTGGAGTCATTGCTCTTGAGTTTTTCTATTATACAAACAAGCCTTAGAGGCTGAGACAAACCTTGCAAATCTTCCTCCACCCCAGGTTGAGTCCTACACCCTACCCCTGAGTCCACACCTGGTGCTGACAATCACAATACTTACCACTCTGTTTATGGAAAATATACTTGCTGCATTTTGAGGACTCTGCTACATGATTTCTATGTATTATTATTTTAATTTTTACTTTTTTAGAGACAGGGTCTCCCTCTGTCACCCAGGCTGGAGCGCAGTGGTGCAATCAGAGCTCACTGCAGCCTCCATCTCCTGGGCTCAAGCGATGCTCCCACCTCAGCATCCGAAGTAGCTAGGAATACAGGTGCACACCACCATGCCTGGCCTATTAATTCATTTAATGCTTACAACAGTCCTTTGAGGTAACTATTATTATCCCCATCTACATATGAAGAATCTGAGATTAAGAAAAATTAAGTAACTTGTCCAAGGTGATTATAGCCAATAAGGAGTGAGATTGGAAAATGAATTCAGGCTGACTCAGGAGCCTTTTTTTTTTTTTTTTTTTTTTTTTTTGCGATGGAGTTTTGCTCTTGTTGCCCAGACTGGAGTGCAATGGCAGGATCTCGGCTCACGGCAACCTCCGCCTCCCGGGTCCAAGTGATTCTCCTGCCTCAGCCTCCCGAGTAGCTGGGATTACAGGCATGTGCCACCACGTCCAGCTAATTTTGTATTTTTAGCAGAGATGGGGTTTCTCCCTGTTGGTCAGGCTGGTCTCGAACTCCCAACCTCAGGTGAACCGCCTGCCTCGGCCTCCCAAAGTGCTGGGATTACAGGCTTGAGCCACCACGCCCGGCCAGGAGCCTGACTTCTAAGCCATTAAACCATACAGGCTGCATTTGTTAGCCCATATATTTCTATTGTGCTATTACATCACCCAAGAGCTATCCCAGACATTAAGAAATTGCCCGGCCGGGCACGGTGGCTCACACCTGTAATCCCAGCACTTTGGGAGGCCAAGGCAGGCGGATCATGAGGTCAGGAGATTGAGACCATCCTGGCTAACATGGTGAAACCCCATTTCTACTAAAAATACAAAAAATTAGCTGGGTGTGTGGTGGCAGGTGCCTGTAGTCCCAGCTACTCGGGAGGCTGAGGCAGGAGAATGGCGTGAACCCGGGAGGCGGAGCTTGCAGTGAGTCGGATTGCGCCACTGCACTCTAGCCCGGGCGACAGAGCAAGACTCTCAAAAAAAGAAAAAAAGAAATTACCCTTAGGCTGGGGGTGGGGAGTAAAGAAACGAGATAGGCAATTATTATGTAAGAACAAATATGCAAAAGTATAGAAAAGTTGAGGTACATAATCCTGTCTTGTGGTCAAGGTAAACTCCCCGTGAGAAGGCCGTAGTCCGAGGAGAACAGGGGCAGCAGTATTTGAGGAAGAGGAAACAGCATGCCCCCAAGTCCCAGGGAGGAGAGGCTCACGTAGTCTGCTCAAGGACCCACGTGCAGTTCCCCAGGGCTGGAATGGAGAGGCAAGCAAGGCTGGGTAGCCAGGAGACCAGGCAGGGACCCAGAAGCCGGAGCAGGAGGAGCTGGGACTCCACACTGAGGGCAGTGAGGACCTTGGAAGGGTGGTAAGTAGGAGTGCCCTGACCAGGTTTGTACTTTAAAAACATGCCTGTGGCTTCTGTGAAAAGAATGGATTGGAGGGAGAAGAAAAACCGTGAGGAGGCTACTGGGACAATCTAGTGCGAAATGGCAGGAGCCACAGCACAGAAGTGGATGGGATGCAGACAGAGTCATGTGATAGAGACACAGAATAAACAAAATGCCTGGACTAACTGGATAAGAGAGCAACTGAGGAATCAAGGTTAGCTCCTGGTTTCAGCCTCAGATGACCGAGTGGATGGTGGTGCTGATTTTGCTGGAATAGAGTCAGAGAGGATGAGCAGAGGTAGGGGGGGTGAGTGTAGTAAGAAAGAGGCCAGGATGGAGCCCCAAGGCTGAAGTGGCTGTCAGCGACTCAGTGCACACAGTCAGAGGGCAACTGGATAGACACAGGACTTTAAACGCACAGGTGTTGGTTTTGCCTGTCTCCACTTTGATTGCTAATCATCTAGGGGCAGGGACAACCTCTCTGTTTTTGATTCTCACTGCCTAGGTCACGGGGGCCACTTATCAAATGCTGGATAGGTGAATACATGATATATGCATCTCATACATGAACAGATGGGAGGAGGAGTCCCCGGGGAGTGGAGGGGAGAGTACGGAGAGAGGGAAGGACAGGAGGAACAAACACCAGGACAACAGCAAGAGGGCATGGAAAAAAGGTAGATGGTGATGAGTCTGAAACAATTCTGATTAGTTAAAGGAATAAACTTGGTACGAGTTAGGAAGTAAGTTTTTTTCCCCAAAGTTTAAAAATTAGAAAAAGATGAAATCAAGAGACCCGATACTGGTAGAGTGTTAAAGTGACACAGTTGTGTGACAAGAATATATTTCTCTCACATATTTAGTGAAAATGTGTCAGAAAGAACAAAGCGATATCACTGGCAATAATAGAAACAGACCATTTAAATAAAGTCGCTATCAGAGCTGAGACCAGCTGCCTGTGTGCCTGTGAAATGATCCCCTCCCCCCGTGCCCAAGCTTCATTTGCCTATCAAATACTGACTCCCTTAAGGACCCGTCTAGAATGTCTCAACTCTGCAGGTTTTTGTTTGGATTGTCTCTGAAGCTATTAATACTTTCTAACAGCCAATAGTATATTCACTCCACTCATCTTTAAAAACTTTGGAAGAAGTAAGTTTTAGAAATATTAGGTTAGTGCAAAAGCAATTGCAGTTTTGCCATTAATAACAGTTCAGCGTTTGGGAAGAGATGGGAGAATGGGGATAGGAAACATGATGACCCCAGTGACACAGGGCAAGAAAGGAAGCCCACGAAGGCATGGAGTCCAGGAAGGGAGAAGAGCACAAGAGCAGGTGATGGGTTTCAGGTACAAAGAATTTAAGGCCGTCTTTTGCCCTCATTTTTATTGAGAGGAAAATTAGAGCCCAGAGATTTAGATTTGTTGTTTCTTTATTTAAAACTCTCCAAAGTGTCCCCAATGCCCTTGATATGAACTCTAGCCTTTGAGCCCTTCCCCCACAGCTCCCCATGATCTGCTTCTTGCCTCTGCTTATCCAGGGCTGAAACTAAGACCAAGCCATACTTTTGGGGCTTGGGGGAGGAGAGGGAGGTGGCTTTGGAGACTATACAAGTTTTCTATTGCTATGTAATGAATTACCACAAATTTAGCAGCTTAAAAACAACACACATTTATTATCTCACAATTTCTGTGGATCAGGAATATATTAGGATCTCACAAGCCTGCAACCAAGGTGCCAGCCAGGGTTGGGCTCTCATCTGCAGGTTCTACTGGGGAAGCATCTACTTTCCCACACTCATGGTTATTGGAAACATTCAGTTCCTTGTGGCCACAAGATTCATGGTAGCTTGCTTATTCAAAGCCAGGAACAGAGCCTCCAGCAAGAGGGATGCGTCATTCTTATTTGATCATATGTACTCTATTGCCTTTGCCATAGTCCATTGGTTACAATCAAGATAGAGGTGCTGCCTATACTCGAGAGGAAGGCATTATGCGGGAGGCGTGAACACCAGGAGATGGAGATCACAGGGGCTCCTTTAAACTCATAGTAATAAACTTCCTAAGGGTTAGGAAATAAGTTCTTTTTCCCGAACAGTTTAAAACCTAGAAAAAAATGGAATAAAGATTGATAAAATGTTGAAGTGATACAATTGTGTAACAAGAATATATTGCTCTCACATATTTAGTGAAAATGTATCAGTAAGAACAAAGCTATATCACTGGTAATAAAAGAAAGACATAATTTAAATAAAGTAGCTATCAGAGCTGAGATCAGCTGCCTGTGTGCCCACAGGGGCTACGGCCTGCAGCCTACCTGGGGCACTGAAGCTCTGGAGAGTTCTTCCCACCAGTGAGTGTTGGGTTGGAAATAAAAGATGGACAGTATCGTCTTCCAACACAAACACTAATCAAAATGCTTTAAAAATTATTTTCTCTTTCTAGAAAGTCTTTGGAGGGAAATTTATATATATATACACACATATATATATATATATATATATATATATGTGGCTTGGGGGAGGAGAGGGAGGTGGCTTTGGAGACTATACAAGTTTTCTATTACTATGTAATGAATTACCACAAATTTATATATATATATATCATATATATAAATATATATATTATATATAAAATATATATATTCTATATATATAAAATATATATATTCTATGTATATATATATAAAATATATATATTCTACGTGTATATATATATAAAATATATTCTACGTATATATATATATAAAATATATATTCTACGTATATATATATAAATATATATATTCTACGTATATATATATAAATATATATATTCTACGTATATATATATATAAATATATATATTCTACGTATATATATATATAAATATATATATTCTACGTATATATATATATAAATATATATATTCTACGTATATATATATATAAATATATATATTCTACGTATATATATATAAATATATATATTCTACGTATATATATATAAATATATATAT